>NC_000024.10:18379149-18988697 GCF_000001405.40 Homo sapiens
GAAACATCTTGAAACTAAAAGCCTTATTAAATTTGATTTGGTTTCAATTATACGTAATTAATCACATGTGTTCCAGAGTTTGGCCTCAGTCTTCTCCTACTTGAGGCTCACGATCTGTTGAATTTGCTCAGCTCCCTGCTCAACAGCAGGAAATCAGTTAGAATTACTTAAAAACCTCATTGTGACTGGAAGCGGTGGCTCATGCCTGTAATCCCAGTAATTTGGGAGGCCAACATGGACAGATCATTTGCTGTCAGGTGTTTGAGACCAGCCCGGCCAACAGAGACAAACCCCATCTCTACTAAAGATACAAAAATTAACTGGGTGTGGTGATGCATGTCTGTAATTGTAGCTACTTGAGAGGCTGAGGCAGGAGAATCACTTGAACCTCAGAGGCGGAGGTTTCAGTGAGCCGAGACGGTGCACTGCACTCCAGCCTGGGCAACAGAGAAAGACTCTGTCTCAAAATAATAACAATAATTAAATAAATATAAATAAAAATCTCATGTTTCTAACAAAATTTCTTTTGAATATCAATTGTATCAACTTGCATATTAACTATAATCATTTTGTTTACTTTATATCTAATCCTGAGAAATCTTTGAGGACTAATTTCACTCTTTTCTGCCATTTTGGTAAATATATCAAATTCCATCAAACAAAATGCACAAAATTCCTGAGAAATAAATTTTATCCTTGAGCAGTAGGCTTGCTTTGTTAGAGGAAGTCATGGTTACCAAGCTTCTAATTTAATAAACATAACTGGAATACTCTATCTTAATATGAGTACCTAGGTACTCACAAAGCATCTAGAAGGTTAATATTTATGGTCTGAAAATAGCCACATTTTTAAGCTGGCCACAAATTACAGTTGCAGAGTATTTATGGCCATACAAGACAGTTTCCACCAAGCCTGAAAAATGTATAAATATCCTAGGTGTGCAGCATTTTTTCCTTAAAGATAATATTAATGAGCTAGCTTAGGTCAATGGGGTAATGATCATTGTTAAAACCAATAGCTCCTGACTTTAGTGAATACATCTGCACCTTCCAAGTTTATTAATAACTGTTTCTCTTTATACTTACTTATAAGTAGAGATACTCATAAAAGACAATGCATTCCTGCTTTTGTTTTCTGACGATGCCCAACTCTGCAATGGAGTCACTTATAATAATCTTGCTTCTTTCACTGTGCTCTCTGATTCACCTCAATTTTTTCCTACACAAGATCTAAGAATCCTACTTTGTGGTCAGTATCAGGACCCTCTTTTCCAGCAACATCTTTCAGCAACACCTTGAAGGGACACCAAGACAAGACCCCCACTCCAAGGAAAACAATCCATACAGAATCAATCACCTGGCAAGCAGGCCATCTTTTAGAGTCGTGAAGCCATTCTGGCAGGCAAGAATGATTATCCACTACTACTAAAGTGAGAGGCCCTAGTGCATAATGTTAGGGGGAGAGACTTAGCCCAAAAAGTTAGAGACCTGGGGGTGTCATACTCAGATTAAACGCCAAGCTCACAAGGTTAGAGGCTCTGGGGTATGTTGAGAGGAATGGACTTGGCTAAACAAGATGTTTGCCACTTTCTCTTTTTGGACTGTCCACCTGGTGCTCTCTGTCCCTCACCTGAGTGCTCTGCATCTTGTCACCTTTCGGCTCACTGCCTCTGTTTTGTAGTAGTCTGTAGGCTGCCCCATGAAAGAGGACCAAAACAGTTTAGCTTTTACTTTCCTCAATAATCCTCTGACTTTTAGCTGATTGCTTATTTAATTTGCCACTGGTCCAAGTGACACTGAAGAAAAGAGGTGTCTTGGAACCTAGTATTTTTTACCTTAATTATCAGAAAAGATCAGCAGTAACCTCTCCATCATTATGACTAGAAGTTGAAATGTGGCATTTAACAGTCTTACATGATAAGATCAGATATGCCTGTTTAGTGACAACCTCTTTTATGACAACCCTCTGCAAACAATTAGCATCAATATGGAGAACATGAGACGTTTGCTTAAGAGTTTTCTCTTATTTCTTAAGCATAAGATCATCTTTGAAGAGCTGGTATAGGGCAGCTGGACCCTACTTTCTAAACCCAGCATGTCATTTTTTCCCTGAAAGTGTGTCAGTTTTGTCATAGCAGTGTGAAAACGGACTAATACATTTCAATATACAAGTTACAGCCTTCCCATTTCCCCTGTTTGGTCTGACTCATTCTTTTGCAGCTTAATTTGTTTTATAGAAGAGAAAGTGAAGGGGAGGAAATACATTATACACAGGCATCTCTGATGCTTGGTCAGGATTAAAAAATTAAAATCAGCTTGTATATGTTTGATGGAAGAAAAGACAAAATAGGGACGGCACATAATTGATTACCTTTTCAATGCAAGTGCCTCTTAATATCAGGCTTTTCTTAGCTGAGGCTGAACTCTGCACTGCCAGTCCAAGCACCCCATAAGAACGCAGTCAGGCTCCTTCCAGTTCTGGTGAGGTGTGCAACATGTTATTAATTCCTTCTAGTTTTCCAGGGTAATCTCGTGTCCAGACATCATCTTTGCCCTGCCCTTCGAGTCCTATCTTACATAGATACCTGAAAACACCCGAGCTTCACCAGAACAACATGCCCTGGGGTCTCTTATCAGCTGGCAAAGTTGAATCTTTGCCCTCTCTGGGAAGTGGCAAATGATAATAGGGACACTATATAGCTATATGTACCCTTTTCTATGTCTGAATCAGCCACATGCAAGGAAAAACTGAAACAGCTTTCAGAGGTTCCAGGAAAATTCATAGACAAATTTAAGAGGCTAACCTTGAAGTATGATCTGACCAGGCAAGATTTGCATACATTTATGTTTACCTGACACATGATAGAAAAGCAGCGTATTATGGGAGTGACTAGAGCACATGCTAATAGGGCGGCAGCCTGCAACCAGAGACATGGCAACTATCAAGTAGGAGGCACAACAGTGCCTGAGCAGGAACCAAAAGAGAATTAGGATCTAGAAAAGGGAAATCAATTAGGAAGAAAGTGGGATATACAGAGAAAAAATTATGATCATTTGACTCCTTGAAGGAATAAAAAAATGCATGATGTAACTTTTTAATTTTTATAAATCTGGAAAATTGCTCAGGGAGAAGATGAATACCTAGCTTTATTACAAGGGTGGATAACTTAGACCTTGAGGAAATACACTAACACTGCCCGACTCCAAGAAGGGACAGGCATTGCGACATTGCTAGGAGTTTATTTTATAGCCCAGTCTGCTTCTGATATCTGCAGGAAGCCGCTGAAAGCAGCCTTAGGGAGTGCTTAGGGACCCAGACTCCCATGGGTCAGCTGTTAGACTTGGCTTTTGCAGTTTTCCATCACAGGAATAGGGCAGAGGAAACAAAATAAAGCAAACCTCCCAAGAGGCCAGCTTCTAGCTACAGCCTTGTGCTCTCCACCCCTTCAGAGGCAGCCCCCTTAACCCCTGGCCGTCACAGAGGAAGTGAGAAGGTAAAAGTCCCAGTCTGTGCCTCTGGCCCACTATGCCTTGGATATAAATCAATGTGACTTCTGTAAGAAGGTCAGCCACTGCCGAAGGAAATACACTGTGCTTCCAAGGGAGCCATCATCAGCACCCAGCAGATCCAAAAGTGGTAGGGCCTGATACTTCCTGCATCTGCTCTCATTGGACTATTACCTATCGAGAGATGGAAGAGCCTCAGCCGACTCTTGAAGTGGAAGGTAGGATTATTAACTTCTTATTAAGTATGGGAACAGATGACTCCGTCCTGAGTAAATACAATTGGCTCCTGTCTTCTCACGATGGACAAGCCCAAAAACACTGCTTTTCTTATCTTCTAAGTTGTCCTCCAGGGATTCTGTGTTTCTCACCTGCCTTTTTAGTACTGTCTGAATGCCTGACCTCTTACTGGGGAGAGGTTTATTGAATCAGGAGACTATGTCATGGTCACCTTCACAGATCATAAAGCAGAGAAAGTGTTACTTTTGTTCCTGACCCCTCAGGGGAAAAAGAAGTTAAGAATGAGCTGTCACATTTACCACCTGAGCTGTTGTCTCAAGTAAATCCTAAGGTTTGGGCCACACAAGCTCTGGGAAATGCACTAAACACCTCCCACATTCAAATCCAACTTCAGCCTAGTGCTCCTCACCCTCAGAAGAGACAATACATTTTAAGGCGAGAAGCATGAGGGGAAATTCAAACCCTTATCGCCATATTATTGTCATATGAGTTATTAAGGCCATGAGAGTCTCCTTACAATACTTGCATGTTACCAGATGAAAAGCCTGATGGAAAATACAGATTTGTCAGAAACCTTACAGCATTAATAAACGCAGTTGTCTCCATACACCTCATTGTCCCCAATACTTACCCAAGTCCCAGGGGATGCAAAGTGGTTTACATTCTTAAACCTGAAAGATGAATTTTTCTGCATTTCAGTGCATCCAGTTTCACAATATGTTTGCCTTAGAATGGACTGATCTGTATATGCATTCAGCCTCAAAATTAACCTGGACAGGCATCTCTGAAGGGTTCTGGGATAGCCCCCACTTATTAGAAAATGCTCTAGCTAAGGACTTAAGAAATCTACGATTGCAAAGGACACAATTATTCAGTATGCAGGTGACTTGCTCATTGCTAGTCCAACTAAAGAAGACTCAAATAATAAAACTGTTAAATTGGTAAATTTCCTGGGAATTTGCAAATATAAGATATCACCATACAGGGCTCAGATTTTGACTGAAAGACTTAAATATTTGGAATCTGTCTTAACCTTTGGAACTGATCAACATCCCTAGAAGATAAAAAGTTATTTTAGTCATGTGAGGGTCCCAGTCCAAGAAATGACTGTTGGGCTGTTTTAGGAGATGGCTGGGTACTGCTACTTATGGGTACCCAGATTTGGACATGTAGCCAACCCTTATATGATACACTAAAGAGAAAGATTTAGAGCTCCTAGAATGTAATTAGAGCTACAAGCAAAACTTCAATACTTTTAAGGAGAAATTGGGCTCTGCTGCAGTTGTGGGAGTCCCCAGGTTGGATCAACCATTTGTGCTTTATGTGGCCAAAAAGCAAGGCATAGGCCTTCGGTAATCTTGTCACAAAACTGGGGAATATTCCAAGGCCAGTAACCTAATTTTCTAAGCAGATAGACCAGGTGGCCTCAGGGTGGTCTTAATGTCTTAGAGCTATTGCTGCTACAACTTTTCTAGTAGGTAAAACTAATAAACTAACATTAGGACAGCACCTACAGGTTTTTGACCCCACATCAAGGGAAGGTCTTCCTAGAAGCTAAATGGCACCAGTGGATAATAGGAGAATATTTATGAAGGTATCAGGCCTAATTGCTAGACACTCCAGACATAACTCTTAAAGCCTGTCAAACCATAAACACAGCTACTTATCTGCCAGAGTCCACAGGTGCTCCCAGCCTTTCTGGCATACAGGTTGTATCAGTCTATTCTCATGCTACTAATAAACACATATCTGAGGCTGGGTAATTTATAAAGAAAAGAGGTTTAATTGACTCACAGTTCTACATGATTGTGGAGGCCTCACACTCACGGCAGAAGGCAAATGAGGAGCAAAGTCACATCTCTTACATGGCAGCAGGCAAAAGAGATTGTGTAGGGAAACTCCCTTTTATAAAGCCACCAGCTGTAATCCCATCATTTTGGGAGGCCAAGGTGGTGGATCACCTGAGGTCAGGAGTTTGAGACCAGCCTGGCAAACATGGTGAAATCCCATCTGTACTAAAACTACAAAAATTAGCCAGGCATGGTGGTGGGCACCTGTAATCTCAGCTACTCAGGAGGCTGAGACAGGAGAATAGCTGGAACTTGGAAGTCAGAAGTTGCAGGGAGCTGAGATCATGCTATTGCGTTCTAGCCTGGGCAGCAGAGAAAGACTATGTCTCAAAAATAAAAAAAATAAAATAAATAAATAAATAAATAAACAAACCATTAGATCTCATGAGGCTTATTCACTGTCACGAGAACAGCATGGGAAAGACTCATCCCCCAATTCAATTACCTCCCCCTGGGTCACTGCCATGATATATGGGAATTATGGGAGCTACAATTCAAGATAAGATTTGACTGGGGACACAGCAAAATCATGTCACAGGTTATAAAACAAATTTATTCTAGGAGGCCAGACTTACAAGAGATGAGCCCCTTGCCCCTTGACCATCCCAAGGAAGAGTGGTTAACAGACGCAAGTTCTTTTTTGCATCAGGGAAAACAGAAGAGCTAGATATACTTATTAGCACAAGAGAATCAAGGCACAAGCATTGCTGGCCTCTACCTCAGCTCAGAAAGCTGAGTTAATTGAACTTACTAGGCCCCTGCAGTTGGTAAAGCATTTAAACGTTAACACTTACACTGATTCCAACTATGATTTTTTAGTGCTTCATTCTTACGCTGCAATTTGGAATGGGTAACTACCCCTGGCTCCCAAGGGCTTTTCCATAGAACATCATTCAGATTTTTAGCTTCTTAGAATGCTGTTTTGCTGCCAAAACTGACTATAATTAATTGCAGAGGTCATCAAAACAGAGACGGACCATGTAAAAGGAAATGCCCTGGTAGATGCTGCAGTCAAGGCCCCTGGACTGAAAAGGCCAATTAAGCTATGGGTGTGCTGATTAGCATTCACAGAACATAGGGTCAGAATACTCTGAAGAAGTACAAAATTGGGCCAGGGATTGCAGTTCAGTCCAGGACCCCTCTGGCCCGCTGAACGATGGTAATAAATTACTAATGCCAAGTACCAATCATAGGAATATAATTCAGCACTTTATGATTATTTTCATCCTAGAAGAGATTCTTTGTTTCTGTTAATATCTCATTTGTTTATAGGGGTAAATCTTTTCAAGACAATAAAACAGGTGGCTCACCCCTGTGAGCTCTGCGCCTGACATGTCCCAAAGGCCAGCAATTTTCTCCTTCTCCAGTTAAACGTGTCCAATATTGATGAATCTATCCAGGTGAGAACTGGCAACTCTAATTTACTCAGATGTCTTTCTGCAGGAGATTCAAATATTTGCTAACTCTTACTGATACCTTCACTGGTTAGATCGTTGCCAGAAGAAATAACTTATCAGTCTGAGTAATCTAAAAGCCTGCAAAGTGACAATGGTCCATTTTCAGTGTATCCCAACACCTATCCTCAGCTTTAGGAATCCAGTATTACTTTCACTCTGCGTAAAGACCGCAGTCCTCTGGAAAGGTGAAAGGGCTAATCCTACTCTAAAGAAGACTCATGCTAAATCAAATGCCTAATATCTCTAACACCCATAACTTACTGAGGGTTTGAACTGCTCCAAAGTAAAACTTACCATTAAGTCTTGTTGTGTTTACATATGGAAGGCCTTTCCTACCACAGATCTCCCAATAGATGAAAAGACTCATCAAGTACAAAAATATGTCATCAGTCTAGGATAGGTGCAAGGCACTCTGTGAATACCGAAATAAGAGGCTTCCCCTCCCACATGGGAGGAAAATTCAGTTTCATGTCAGCTAGGGATTTAATCTTAGTAAAGACGAGGGAGGAAGTTCTCCAGCTGACCAGCTTTCCCCAACGTGGAAAGGACCACAGCAAGGCCACCTGAGCTCCCCAGCAGACGTTCAGCTCCAAGGGACTCACAGGTGGGTACACCTGTGTGGAAGTAAAGCTGTTGCTTATTCTGGGAGCCCAATCCGAGGTTGAGGGAGGCGGGCGAGGGTCTATTTAAATGTTGGCAGAGGGCGGGCTGGGTCGCTGCACATCTGCTCTTCCTTCTCGCATTTCTCCTGCCGCCCTAATCCCGCCTTGGCCATGAGGGAGATTGCGCTCACGCAGACCCGGCAGTGCGGGAAGAAGATCGGTGCCAAGGTTGGCATCCGGGGCTCTGAGGTCCCAGCTCCGGCCTACTGGGTGGCCAGGGAAGATGTTGGCAGTGGCAGTGGCTTGGGCGGTGCCCCTGAATTGCAGCCCCTGGGCTCCCTGCCGGGGACGCAGTGGAACTGGGAGGCTGACTAGTCGGCAGGGGTGGACCCCAGGGACACGGCAGCCTAGGGATGTGGTTGCGGATGAGGGTGGGGGTGGTAGAGGAGCTAGGAGAGGGGCTGGGGCGCCTCCAGCTCCCTGGCCTCCGTGACTCAGCCCTGGTCTGTCTGACCCCACCCAATCTCTTGTAGTTCTGGGGGGTGATCTCTGATGAACATCCCATTGACTCCGCTGGCACCTACCACGGGGAGAGCAACCTGCAGCTGTAGCGCATCAACGTGTACTACAACGAGGCCAGCGGTGAGAACCCAGACCTTCTCCGATCGCCATCCTGGGAACGGCGGCCCTCCCCCTCGCTAATACCCTCCTGTCCCACTCAGGTGGCTGGTACGTGCCCTGCGCTGTGCTCGTGGACCTGGAGCCGGTCACCATGGACTCTCTGCGCTCGGGGCCCTTCGGGCTCATCTTCAGGCCGACAACCTCATCTTTGGTGAGCTGCGAGTGAGGACTGCGGTGCGGCTCCTTAGCCGGAGCAGCTCATCTAGTAGTTCCTGAAGGTCATAGCTGTGGGAATTGTGCAGCCAGGGCCCCTGAACATCCTCCTATTCTCCCAATGGCTCAATCTGCCTCTCCTAAATGGGCTTCGGGAGGAAGCCCCAGGCGTCTCCTCAAGGTGAGGAGCTAGTGTTATAAACTCCCTGCAGGGAGCTGAGCTGGGGCCGTGGCTACTCTCTTCCCTGAAAATAGGTAGGAGCCACCTACAGCGAGGTCTCTTAGCATGTCTGAGTTTTGAGTCCTGACTTAATTTCTAAAAGGGGAGGCTGCTGTCCTGTAACTCTGCGGTACGGGGTTTCATTTGCTCCACCTGAAGGATGAATGGTGCTTTCACCTCACATGTGACACTTGGTCCATTTTGCATTGTGGTGGTGACCACTGATGACCATACACCTGGCACTCAAGTGACTGACTGTACTGTCATACAGGTCAGTGTGGGGCTTGAAACAAGGCCAAGGGGCACTATACAGAAGGTGCGGAGCTGATGGAGTCAGCGATGGACATTGTCTGAAAGCAGTGTGAGAGCTGTGAATGCCTGCAGGGTTTCCAGCTGACCCACTCCCTGGGTAGGGGAACTGCATCTGGGATGGGTACCCTTCTCGTTAGTAAGATCTGGGAGGAGTATTCAGACAGGATCATAAACACATTCAGCATCCTGTCCTCGCCCAAGGTGTCAGACACCATGGTGGAACTCTACAATGCCACCCTGTCAGTCCACCATAGAAACTCATAGAAAATGCAGATAAGACCTTTTGCATAGATAATGAAGCTCTATATGACATCTATTCCAGAACCCTAAAACTGCCCACACCTACCTATGGTGACATGAACCACCTGTTATCTGCTACCATGAGTGGGGTCACCATGTGCCTGGGCTTCCCAGGTCAGCTGAATGCTGACCTACAGAAGCTGTCTGTGAACATGGTCCCATTTCCCAGGCTGCATTTCTTCATGCCTGGCTTTGCCCCACTGACCAGCCGGGGCAGCCAGCATTACCAGGCCCTGACTGTGGCTGAGCTTACTCAGCAGATGTTTTATGCTAAGAATATGATGGCTGCCCCTGTCATGGCTGCTACCTAATGGTGGCTGCCATTTTCAGGGGTTGCATGCCCATGAGGGAGGTGGATGGACAAATGTTCAACATTCAAAATAAAACAGCAGCTACTTTGCTGACTGGCTCCCCCACAACGTAAAAACAGCCATCTGTCACATCCCACCCCAGGGGCTAAAAATGTTGGCCACCTTCATGGGCAACAGCATTGTTATCCAGGAAATCTTCAAGCATGTCTCAGAAGAGATTACAGCAATGTTCAAGTGCAAGGTCTTCCTCCACTGGTACACGGGCGAGGGCTTGGATGAGATGGAGTTCACTGAGGCTGAGAGCAACATGAATGACCTGGTGTCTGAAAATTAGCAGTACCAGGATGCCAAGGCTGAGGAGGAGGAGTTTGAGGAGTGTGCTGAGGAGGAGGTGGCCTAGAGCTTTCCTTTTCTTGGGGAAAGGATGGAAACTATGTGGATTCTTTTTTGTGTTCTGACAGCCCTGTGTCACTACGCAATTGTTCATTTGTGTCTTCTCATCTTCTCCTGATGTATTTTAAAGCATTTTTATAGTATGCGATTTTGCCTACTAAAGTACTCTCATAACATCTGGTTTCACCTCTAACTTCTTTCTTTAGGCTCTCTGGCTACTGCTGCTAGATGCCCTTAGTTGTCCTGCAAGGCTGAAGCTGTCTGGGCTTATCACATGCCCAGTAACAAGCATTCGGCTGGCTCCAGGAGGGGTTGGCATGGGCTGTGGATGTGGCAAGTAGTATTCACATGAACGTATGGATGCCCTGGGACTTGGGCAGCTATGTGATGGGAAACCTGTTCCTGAAGGCAAGCCTTGGCTTATCCCATGTAGCAAACTTCCAGGGGAATAGCTGGCCCTCTGTTTCTGGAACTTTAAAAGTGGTCAGTGACCCTGGTGGACAATGTCCCAAAGTCCTACCTCAGGGTAGGAACGTGGTCAGACAGCTGATTATGAACCAGCATTGAAGGGTGGCAAAGTAGGACCCCAGCCACTCTATCACCATGATGGACTGGGTGTGAACGTGTGTCTTCATTCTCTTAATGAGGTGGGCATGGGGTATCTGGCAGGGACTGTTGGGCAGGAATCAAGTCCAGTGTCTGCTCACATGCACTGAACCCTATGTAGAAGGTTATTAGGTCCTGGGGGCCATAGATGGTGGTTGCTGGGCCTGTGTGCTCGGGGCAGTCTCTCCAAAGGCAAAGATGGGGTTTCTGAACAGGACCTGGGGAGACAGGCAGATGCTCACAAGTGCTGTTTCCCCCATCTGGCAATCAGTGAGAAAAACACACAAGTGGAGGTCTTACCTGCCCCAGTCTGGAGGGCTGATGCTCTCTGGAAAGGTGGTTAATACACACTGTCTGCTGTCTCTCTGTCTCCCACTTCAAAACTTCAGGGCAAAAATAATCCAAGATTGTCAGGATGAGACTGGTGAGGGTGTCACCTTTGGGGATAGGTCCTTTAGCCTGGCAGAGTCTCCACCCCAGGCTTCCTGGGGAGCCTGGACTTCAAAGCCTGCTTTGGGGAAGCTGTCAAGAGATGTGTGTGTGTGAGCTGGGTGCTGGGCAGCCTGACAAGACAGTGCTTTTCTACCTAGCTCTTGTAGAATTTGTCGGTGGCCTGTGTAATTACCTCTTGGTAATTCCCACCCCACCCTCATCACACAGATAAAATGAAGCCAGCATAGCCTGGGGGTCGGCAGATGTACAGGTTCTACCGCAGGAACCCTGGGCATACCCACCTGCCTCAGGTGTGTCAGGGAAAACAGGTGAGGCCCCTTTCTTTTTCTTCATTGAATGTTGGCAATGGCCTTTTGCAGCCAAATGGCAACAGGCAAGCAGGAGAGTGCCTCATCTTGAAAGAAGTGGCTCCTGGAAGCAGCTAGGAGGTGGCAGAGGTCCCCCATACTCCCTTAACCTGTTCTCAGAGCAGGAAAAGGGGCCTCTGTGACAGCCCTCCTCAGTGGCTCTCACTCTCTGAGGGGTGTGCTTGCCCACCCAGGTGTGCCCCCATATGAAATGTTTTTGTGTGGACCTGGTTGGGAAGGTTCAGCTGAAGCAACCACTGGAACCTGCCCACATGTAGTATCTCCAATGACACATGGGATCAGATGGTCCTTCTGAAGTGGTACACCCAGAGTTGCACAGAGGGCGAGTCCCTGCTGCAGTTCCCATCGGGTCTGAATGTGGATTAGGCTTGGTACCCATGTATTTCCCAATTACCTGGTTCCATCTGGGGGCTTCATGGACAGGAGTAGTGCTTTTCCAGGCCTCTTCTCCATATGCCAGCTACAGGCCCAGATTTCCCAAGTATCTGGAGACCCCCTTCCAGCCTGGCAAGCATGGCATGTTGTGGGGGAAGGACATCAAGTCTACAGGCAGCAGAACCTGTCTGGCTAGGTTCTCTACCCCTGGAGGCCCCTGGTTGTTTACCTGTTTGGGTGAGAGTTGGCTTAGGAACTCAACATTCTTGTAGGACTTCAGAACACTATAGACAGGGGCCCAGGAGGGAGCAGGGGCTGGCAGCTAATCAGTGTAGTGGCGGTTGTAGGGCTCAGTTTGGTCTTGCAGGGAATTCAGAGGGCTTGGATTTGCTGAAGCTCTAGACAAGTTTGGGCTTGGATATGGAAACAGCATGGATCAGGGGCCCTTCTGCATGCAGAAGTCTGAGTAGTTACACCCTGGTGCATCCATAAGTGTTTCTCACCTGGAGCACAGCTGTGGGTAGAAGCTGGGAGAGCTGTGGAGGGAAGAGGAGGCAGAACGAGTCTCAGGGCAGCCACAGCAGCCACGCAGGGCCTCTGCAAGTGAGATGCAGATCCAGCCTGTTGGTCACTTAGCAGCTGCTTGGACGGCTGCAGATCACCTGACCTCTGCTCACCAGTAGATGGGGGTTGCATTAGCACTTACCTTCAGGGACTTCTGCAGCTTGAAGGGGAAGCACACACCACAGGATGAGAAAGCACCTGACTCAGGCAAGCTTCTCCAAGAGCACCACATCAGATTAACATCCAACCTGTACAGGACACCATGAAATCTCCCCACCCCTCATTCCAGCTGTAAGAAAAGGGAGTCTTTGTCCTAGGGGAACAAGCACAGGCATACTTATGCAGTGAGCACATGGCCCAAGTTGCGGAAAGGCCCTTGGATGAATGCTGGTTTCACCAACAATCTGTGGGTTGGGTTTGGCCTGGACCCTTGGACCCCAGCAGTCCAGTACCCCCCTGCATGGGACAGGACTGGGAGGTGGGTGGGAGGGCTGAGCTTTGATGGAAGCCATTATTTGGCTTCCTGTCAAGTGGTACAGGTGGTTGTTGGTGGCTCAGTTTTGAAAGACCTGGGTGATCACCCAAGGAGTGAAAATTGCCTTTTTATGAGAAATTACCAAAATTCATGCAAGCTCATCTGTTGAAAAGGTAAGAAATGCTGACAGTTGGCTTCACCTGCCCCTTCCCCACAAGTAACTTGTGTTCAGGGGTGGGTTTTCTTCCTTCCCAGACTTTCCCCTTTGCATGTAACTGTGTGCATGTACTTTGGCATGTACACACACACTTTCCCTGGAGGGGTTACTTTTATTTTTTTATTTGGGGGGATAACAAGTGAGTCAGCCTGACACTTGCTTATTTGGTCTTTTAAGTGTGGAGTCCTCTACGGAGTGGGCATCAGGTACTTACTAGCTGGCCTCTGCCAGCTGTTTGGCTGCCCCGGTTTCTGCCCTTCACAGAAATGCTGGCCACCTGGTGTGACATTCAGTTTCCTTGTTTGCAGCTAGTATGAGACAAGTGGATCAGGGACATTATAAACTGAAAAAGCGCACAACATGCAGAGGGAAAGAATAAATGACCATGTGTGTACTGAGATGACAAACATTGTTTTTGCCTAACATTTGGGCCCTGAGAAAGGGCATTTATGTTTTACTTTTTATTTAAAACAGAGATAGAAGAAATATTACCAGGCTTTCTTTTCCATTATCCCCAAATCCCAAATCCTACTTTACCCCCTCAAGTTTACCTACCTCTGAGAGAAAGAGGAGCTCGCCTGGTTAATGAGAGCCTGAAATAATTGAACCGGGTCACAGGGTAAAGGTCATACTGCTTCTGTCTCCTTGTGAATCACTTGCTCATCTCAGATATTTCATAGCTCCCTGTATAAAGGTAGATGTGTTATCCTCCTAGCCTGCTTTCTTGGTTTGATACATGCCTGAGAGCACGTGAGAGCACTTAAGGTCTAGGCTGATTGGAGGACTGTTCTGCCCACCCCATCTCATCTATCCAGCTCAGCCTGCATGCATGCATTCCCTCATCTGATTTCTGAGTAGGGGATGGGAGGTCTCACATTGACCTCAAGTTTCTGTGACTTTTTCCACCTCTGTTTTCCAAGGCAGCCTCTGCTGTGGGACTTGTAATGAGATTTGTGAAGTCAGTATCTACTTTTCTTGTGTGGGTGTTTTATAAAGTAAAGCCCTGGAGGGGAATAAATGTTAAAGGTACAACAAACCCCTAACCTATAAACATCTAAGCCTGACCCTTTTTTGGTGGTAAAATATATATAACATAAAACTTACTATTTTTTCCATGTTTAAATGCACAGTTCAGTATATTCACAGTGTTGTAAAACCATCTCCTTAATCCGTATCTACAACTTCTTTATCGTCCTAAACTGAAAGACTATACCCATAAATAAGTCTTTGAATAGAAGACTGATGCAGTTGACTCCATAAAAATTCAAACTTTCTATGAGAGAAAAATACTTCAAATGACTCATAGACTGTGGAAATAGATCTGCAACATACGTGACAGACAAAAAGCTAATTTACGTAATATATATATATCCTAAATTATTAAAAGACTAGCAGTCAAATTGAAAAATGGACAAGGGATGTAAAGAAACAGTTCAAAGCAACACATAGATTTTTAAATATTTGCTAATTTTTTACTGTGGTAAAATATGTGTAATAGAAAATTTAAGTACATTAGGTACAAATACATTGCTGTGCAACTATCACCGCTATCCATTTTCAAATCTGTTTTATCATCCCAAAGTGAAACACTGTATCCACAGAACAATAGCTCCCGTTTCCCTTCCCCCTATCCCCTGGAAACCACATCCCACTTCCTGTGTCTATGAATTTAACCGTTGTAGGTTTGTTATAAAAGTGAAAAGCATGGAGTATTTGCATTTTTTGTTTTAATCTTTTCAAGGTTTATGTTGTAGGATGTATTAAAATTTCTTTTCTTTTTAATGCTGAATAATATGTCATTGTGTGTATGGCTCACATTTGCTTATCCATTCATCTGTAGATGGACCTTTGGGCTTTTTCTACCCTTTGGCTATTCTGAATGCTGCTACGAACATGGGTGTTCAAATTCCCACTTTCAGTTTTCTGGGGTATAGGCCCAGATGTCGAATTACTGGATCACATAGTGATTACTGTTTTCCACAGTGGCTGTGCCATCTTACTTTCCCACCAGCAGAGTGCAGGAGTCCTGACTTCTCCACATCCAGCATTTGCTGCTTTCTGGAGCTTTGTTGTTTGTTTTAGTTTGCTGCTGGTGGTTTTTTTGATGGTAGCTATACTTACATGTGTCAGTTGGTATGACATTGTGGTTTGGATTTACTTTTTTCTCATGATTACTGATGCTGGGCTCCTTATACTGTGCTTACTGGTCATTTGTATATCTTCTTTAAAGAAATGTGTATTTTAAAACCTTTGCTCATGTTTAAATTTGATTGTTTTGTTGTTGTTTCTGAGGTCTTTATATAGCCTGGATATTAATTACTTGTGAAATACATAAATGTGTGAATATTTTCTCCCCCTCCGTGAATTGTATTTTCAATCTATTGATTGTATCTCAGATACACAAAAGCTTTTCACTATGATGAAGTTATTTTTGTGTATTGTTGTTTTTGTTGTTGTCTATGCTTTCACTGACATATCCAAGAAATTATTGCCAGATTCTATGTTATGAAACTCTTTTCCTATGTTTTTTTCTAAGGGTTTTATAGTTTCAGCACTTACAATTAGATGTTTGGTCTATTTTAAATTAAGTTTTTTATGTGGTGTAAAGTAAGGGTTGAACTTCGTTGTTTTTCATGTAAATATTCATTTGTTAACACCGTTTTTAAAATACTGTCCTTTCCCATTGAATAGTTTTGACTACCTTGTTAAAAATCATGACCATATGTTTTGGTTCTTTATTTCTATTGCATTGGTCTTTCTGTCTGTCTCTATGCCGGTACAACATTGTCTTGGGTACTGAAGCGTTGCAGTAAGTTTGAAACCAGGAGGTGTTAGTCCTCTAATTTTGTTAGTTTTTAAGATTGATTTGGCTACTTGGGGTTTTTTGAAATCTCATCTGAATTTTAGAACAGGTTTTTCTATTTTTGCAAATATTGGAATTTTTATAGTGATTTTATTGAATTCATGGATGACTATTGATAACAATGGCATCTTGACAAGGTTTTGTCTTCCAATCCATAATAAACACATGACGTCTTTTCATTTATTTGTATCATCTTTAATATTTTTCTGCAATGTTTATAGTTTTTGCTGTACAGGTTTTTCATTTCCTTGGTTAAGTTTGTTCCTAATATGTTATTGTTTTGATGCTATCATAAATTATACTGTTGTCTTGATTTCTTCTTCACATAGTTTATTATTATTGCAGAAATACAACTAATTTGTGTGTATTGATTTTCTATCCTGCAGTTTTGCTGAATTTTATTTACTGCATCTGACAGTTTAACTCACAGAAACTAGAAGATTTTTAACATATAAGATTATGTCATCTGCGAACAGATAATTTTACTTTTTCAAAAATTGGAATATCTTTCACTCTTTTACTTGCCTTTTTGTTTTAACTAATTAGAATCTTCAGTACTATATTAAATAGAAGTAGTGAAAACAGGCATCCTTGTTTTTGCTCTTAGAGTAAAATCTGTCAGTCTTTCACCATAAGGTTAGCTGTGTGTGTGTGTGTGTGTGTGTGTGTGTGTGTGTGTGCATTTTTTAATATAACATTACATCGATATTTTATTTATTTTTATAGCTTATTAAGTATATTTTTATGATTGTGGGTTAAATTTTGACAAATTCTTTTATTTGATTAAAATGATCACATGAGGGTTTTTTCCTTCTTTATGTTAATGTGATATTAAACTGATTTTCATGTGTTGGAACATAATTTTATTTCAGGAGTCAACTATACTCATTCATAGTGTGTAATCCTTTTAATGTACTGATAAATTTCAATTGCTGGTATTTTGTTGAGGATTTTTGAATCAGCATTTGTAAGGGATGTTTGTAGTTTTCTTATAGTGTCTTTTTCTGGCTTGGTGTCAGGGTAATTCTAGCCTCATAGAATAAGTTAGAAAATGTTACCTCCTCTTCAACG
The DNA here is from genome assembly GCF_000001405.40 of Homo sapiens. NCBI lineage: Eukaryota > Metazoa > Chordata > Mammalia > Primates > Hominidae > Homo > Homo sapiens. The sequence goes on from NC_000024.10 coordinate 18,396,165, forward strand.
TTTTGAAAAAGCTTGAGAAAAACTGGTGTTAATTCTGCATTAAATGTTGGGTAGAATTCAACAGTGAAGCCGTCTGGTCCAGGCTTTTCTTTGTTGCTGGGTTTTTGATTACTGATGCAGTCTTCTTGCGGAATCTCCTTTCTGAATAGGTTTATTCAACTTTTCATATTCAGTCTTAGTGGGTTTTTTGTTTCTAGGAATTTGTTCGTTTTATTTATGTTATTCAATTTTTAAGTGTACAGTTTCTTATGGTACCCTCCTACATTCTTTTTTTACTCCAAAAATTTGGTAGTAATGAATCCATTTTATTTTTGAGTTTTGTAATTTGAGTATTCTTTTTTTCTTAGTCAATCTAGTTAAAGGTTTGTCAGTTTTGTTGAACTTTTTCAGAGAACAAACTTGGTTTTGTTGTATTTTGATATTTTTCTATTCTCTTTCACTTATTTCCACTGCTATCTTTATCATTTTTTATTTTGCTAGCTTTTAGTTGTTCCCTCTTTTTCCCTCTGTTTTTAGTTCATTAGCTATATAGTTAAGTTGTTGATTTGATATCTTACTTTTTATAATCATTTATAACTATAAATTTTTCTCTTATGCTACTGCTTTTGATGTATGTCTTAACTTTTGGTATTTCATATTTTTAATTTGTCTCTAGATATTTTCTGTTTTCTCTTGTGATTTATTCTTCTATCCATCCTTGAGTGTTTAATACCTGTATTTTTAGACATAAAATGTGTAACCCACAGAATTTTCTTGATTTGTTACAATTTTGTTTGTTGTAAATTTTTGTTTCAGACTTAAATGTGTGTATCAGCATTTGTTATGTTCTCATAAACTTTGTAATACATGAAGATTCCTGGTCCACATATGCAAGCCTCTACATGAATATTATTTTGAAGCATTATCCTTCTATTTTAATATTCCAAATGTCTATATGAAATTGAGATCTTGGTTTCTGAGATGAAATCATGATAGGTGACTGAGAAATCCTTAAAAATTAGCCAAAACTTAAAATTAAGTTACAGTTTACCTTCAAGATTCAACCTGAGTCACTCTGTATTGCTGGTAATAAAAAAATAAGTCTTTAATGGAATAAAAGCAAATTTCAGAGAATGTTTTTTTCCCCCTCGTTGACATTGAAATTAAAAGCCATAAAAAACTTTATGGCCTTAGGCACTGTTTACTTTAGAATTCCAACTTTTCCTAGTTAAAATTTTTCTAAACAGATTCCTGTGAATTTGAAAGAAATAATTTTTTAGTTGAAATGCTTAAGCATATTTAAGAAGTTAAAGCTGTTGTGCTTATTCTTGCCTTAAATAGTTTATGTAATGTAACTACATTTTAAAAGTTTCATTGTTAAGTTTCTCTAAACTTTGGTTAAGAAGCAGAAAGCATTACATGAGATTTTTGACATATGCTTTCAAGAAATCTCTTTTAAAAATGTTAAAGGAAGAACTGTTTAACATAAAAATGAATCTTTATGTGTTTGCATAATTTGAAAAAGTACGGCCCACAGCTTTTTTAATGCCCAAGAACGACACATATTTTCCTTTAGTAATATGAGGATAATAATTGTAGTTACCATGAGTGTTATGCCACATGACATGCAAAATTCTTTATGTATATTCATCTTCTAATCTTCAGAATTGTCTAATAAGTTTGACAAATTTATTATCTCCATTTTTATAACCATTATTCTTGATTCATTATACACCCTCATCAGTTTTCTGTGCTTGATTCTTTATGTATGTTTAGTTTGTTCATGTGCTTTTATTTCTAATAAACATTTAGAAATTAGAAATTTGAAAACTGAGATTTAAAAGTGGAATAAATTGTCCATGGGACACCCAGCTACGAGACACAGAGCCAGGATAAAAACTGGCATCTGTCTGACTCTAAAACCTGCAATGTTAACCACTGTAATCCCAGACAAACTTCCTTGATCATTCTACATGAATTAATGTATCTGTCTCTTTCTTCTCTCATTCTTCTTTTTTGTTCTTAGTACTCATTACAACTTGACGTGCACATGTAGATTTTTGTTTATAGAGATGGGGGTCTTTCTCTGATAATCATACACGTATATTTTTAATTTGCTATCTTTCTCTCTTGCTGTTTCATTCAATGTTCTCCTAAAACAATTACAGGCATTTGTACTGGTCTGTATGTATTGGTTGATACTTAAATAAATGAATGAAATTAGTGTATTCTGTACAGCATTAGTGCATATATTATTAAAGCTGTTATAGATTTTGTGTTTTCCTCTCTTTAAATTTTTCTTTCTATATTGCAGCACTCCCCAGTCTTTTCAGCACTAGGGACTAGTTTCGTGGAAGACAACTTATCCATGGACTGGGCAGGGGGACAGTTTCAGGATGACTCAAGCACATTACATTTATTTCATACTTTATTATATTGCATTGTAATATATAATGAAATAATTATACAACTCACTGTAATGTAGAATCAGTGAGAGCCCTGAGCTAGTTTTCTTGCAACTAGTCAGTTCCATTTGACGGTGATGGGAGACTGTGACACTCAAAATGTGGTGCTTATGTCCAGTCTACTTCATAATTTTGTTTTGATTGCTGTCACTGGAAAAAAACTCTGCTTCAGAAAGACAGGATTTTGGAAATGGAAGCAGGAGTTTCAGTGATACTGTTAACAAAGAGATGTCAACGCTGCTATGGAGAAGAACAGCAATGGCTTCACTATCCTTAAATTTTACATAACATTTGCTATTATAGGTTCTTCTCCCTGTTCTTATTTTTTCCTGATATCTCTCCTCTTAAATGGTACATATAATCCTGTTATTTTATTTCAAAATTTTTAATGCTTTTCAATACCTGCAGGTCTTTACTGAATACTTCTATAATCATTTAACTCTAATTCTATTTCAATAGCTAAGCTGCCCATTTGATATTTCCATTGGTTATTATACCTATCACAAACTTGATAAATCTGAAATTTGGTTCTATAGATAATTTTCTTGTAATAGTTTAAATATACATTCAAAAATTATTTGAAACTCTTCAAAAAGTATGAAGGATCTTCAAAAAGTTCATGAGAAATGCATATTGAGAATAAATTCTGCATAGACTTCAAAAATATTTTGCAACTAAATAAACTTTTACTAACTTTGTTATAACATGTCTGAACAGGATCTAATTTGGGGAATTATAATAAGGAAACTAAGACACCAATTTGAAAAGAGATCGTATTAGAGCAGCATGAATTCTACTAAAATTAAAGCAAGAAAAAACATCAAATTTATGGCCATTTTGGGTGAAAGAATAGTAAAATAACTAATTCTTTATAACAATTTATGGGGACAATGCCCCCCGACATTCACAAGCATACAAATGAATAACTCATTTTAAGAAGGGATGATTAGGTGTTGAAGATAAAGCCCACAGTGGAAGACAATTCACATTAACTCACCAGAAAAGAAATTAATCTTGTTCATGCCGTGCTTTAGGAGTGACAACGGTATAAACAACAGTTTAGGAATGACAACGGTATAAACAACAGTCAACACCATGGCCATCTCTTAAATTCACACAATTTTGAGAATTTTTCCACTCAATAGATTAGAAAACTCTTGTTCCTAGATCAGCTGCAGACAAGAACAGAGCTTTCAACTGAAATTGTACATAAATGTTATTAAGATCTTGAGGCATTTCTTCAAATAATTGTGTGAGGAAGTCAAACACAGCTGTTCCATGAAATTTTCAACATAAAACAGAAATAAAGCAACGGCTACCAAGAAGTGAAAGTGGTCCAGTCTCAGCAAAAGGTTACTGGTCTAGAACAAAGCTCATAGCAACAGTGTCAGGGTGCTCAAGGCATTTTGCCTGTTGGCTTTCTAGAGGGCCAAAAACAAAACAAAACAATACATAATGCAATAAAACATGCTATTATGGAGTATTTTGAGACAGTTACCCAAAGCGTTAGGGGAAATATTTCCAGAAAATTTTACCATAGAATTCTTCACCACCACAACAATGTTCCTCCTCTTTCCTCTCATTAAAAAAAATCAAAGGACAATTTTGCTGGACTTGCCATGGAAAATTATTAAGCATCCACCTTTTAACCCTGATTTGGCTCCCTCCAACTTCTTTTTCTCTTCTGATTTTAAAACAGCTTTAAAAGACACCCATTTTCTACAGTTAATAATGTAAAAGAGACTTTCCTGACATTGTTAAATTCCCAGGACCTTACTTTTTGTGGGGATAGACTGAAGGCTGGTATTATTGCTTATAAAAGTGTCTTGAACTTGACTTGATGAAGCTAATGTTGAGAAATAAAGTTTATATATTTTATTTTTGTGTTTTACTTTCATTTTTTCACAAACTTATTGAAGTCCTTTCATAGACCCTAATTCTTTTCTTCTTGAAGGTATGTCAAGCTTAAAAATCCTTTCTGGTGAATAGAAGGTGACAGAAGTGTCCATGTGTGACTTCTGAGTCTAGGTCATAAAAGATTTTGCCACTAATGCATTGTTTTTCCTAAGCCACTCTCTCTGAAAGAAACCAGCCACTATTTGGTGAGAACAGTCAATCATCCCTACAAAAATATCTATGTGGAGAGAACCTGAGACCTTCAATTAAAAACCCCACCAACTTGCAGGCCATGAATGTTAGCAAAGTTGAAAGTGGATCTTCTAGTTGCTGTCAAGAGTTTGGATGACAGCCCCAATTGAAATCTGACTGTAACCACATGAGATGGCCTGGGGCACAACCACCAGGATAATTGTTCTTGAATTTCTCATCTACAGAAATTCAGGTAATAAATATTGTGATTTTATGCCATAAAGTTTTGGGGTTACATGTTATGAAACAATACATAGCAACTTCACTCTTTCAACATCCATTTTATTTTTTATACAACCATGCATTTTTAATAATGAGGATATATATTGAGAAATGCACCATTGTGTAGTATTATTACTGTGTGAACATCATAGAATGTACTTACACAAACCTAGGTGGTATAGCCCATTGGAGACCTAGACTATATGGTATAGCCTATTGCTCCTAAACTACAAACCTGGACAGCATGTTACTATGCTGAATACTGTAAGCAATTGTAACACTATAGTCAACATTTGTATACATAAACATAAAAGGCACAGCAAATTTATGTTATAAAAGATTTAAAAAATGGTATATTTGAATAAGGCACTTACCTCAGGTGGTCTGCTAATTTTCATGGTCACATGAAGATTCCACTGAAATATATTCTGAACTACCCACTGCCATAGGTGGCAGCCTTGACTATGTGCACCACCCATGAAGGTCGCCTTTCCCTTGCTTTTCCTGACTTTTCAAGTGCATGATTATGTGCTAAGTCATCACAAGAGCTGAACTCTGTTCTCTTTCTGTTGGGTTCTGCAGCTATTTATTATCAGTTTGGTACCTAGATTTTGTAGACCCTATTTCGTTGACATTCTTGGTAGAATCAGGCCATCTTCATCCCATTGTGCTATCCTTGTGTTACTGTCATGTATTATAATGTGTAAAGTCATTTTTTTTAAGAACAATCTGAGGGTAGACCATAGGCATAGGACCTTTGTGCCTATTGTTTCAGCCAACCTCACAGAGAGAACAGTTAGTGGTTTTCCCTTGATCAGCATTAATTTGGATAAACGTTGCTGTCAGTTACTGTGAAACTGGTTACATTTTCCTTTCACTTTTTTTCATCTTAAGAAAACATCTTTAATCCATACAGCATGTTTTCTCTTGTTTTATACCCACTGGAGTCATAGGCATTTTTCTGCTTTAAGTTATGGCCAACCATTGGATTAGGGCTGAGACATTAGGTGCACAGGATTACACACAAACTGTTCTCCAAATACTCTTCATTTTAGGATAAAAGTATTGGTACTTATATATACTTTAATTACAATTCTTACACTTATTTCTCTGAATACCATTAGTTCAATGATTATTTGAACCTTTAATGACCACATTAATGAATGTTGACGAGACAAACATTCTTCCTTTGAGAGGCACTTTAGAAAGACAAAGAATCTTCAGGTCCAATGGGAAGTATTTCTAGTTGGTACATATAATGAGCCAAGAAGACTGTACACATAATTATGAATGAGACATTGCTCCACGAAAATATTCTATTGCTAAAGATGTCTAAAGATGAAAAATTTACAATCAGAAGCAACAAAAACCAGACACATTTTTTAGTAAATGTGTCTCCTCCTTGTCCTTCTGTTGCCTCCTTGCATGTTGCTCTCCCTCCTGCCCCTTATGATTCTAATATCTCATCTTTTGCCCAACTATTGACTTCTCCTTCTAGTTTTTTAATATGAAATTATTTTCTGAGCTGTCACACATTCCCAAATTGTTTGTTTCACCTAAGTATCCACCTTTCCCATGACCCAGATTGGTAAGCAACTGCAGAATTCAAATCTAGTGCATGAGTTCAGAGTTGCACATGAACTAACAAGTTATAATTAACGATTTTTAAAAACTAAACAAGAAAATTAAATATTCATCAAATAATTTAGAATTATTTAGGGCACATATGGCTTAGGGTTACTTGACATATCAACTTGTACACCTGTTAGATGGAACATCAGATGCTAAATCCTGGATGACAAAATGTGATTGGCCTGACCTGCTAGGAAACTTGTAGAATTCCTCTTTCCAAAATATCAGGGTCAAAATCATTCATAAAAACAATAATACAATTATTAAACTATAGAAGATTTGTAGATAGAATATAAAATTTTTTGTCACAACTCAGTTAAAACAGGTTTTTCTGAAGATCAATATTTATGTAAAAGTTATAAAACATAAAATAATAATAGGGATAATTACATAATAAAAGCTATCACAAATACTGAACAGAAGACTTCAGAAATTATACTAATTTTGCCATTTATATTTTACTATCAACTATAATTATTGTTTTTCTTAAAAGAAATAAATATACCATTATGAGGTGATCAGAAGCAGACAAGGAGGTTAGACATTTCCTCATTTATTCACTCAGCGACCCTGTCACAGAACTAAATCTGTGCTAAGTGCCATGATGGGCCCAGCATGTGGTGCTGAGAAATGATTGAGTGGCCCTTTCCCCAACTCAAGAAGCCTGCAGTCTGAGGATATATGGACAAAAACCCTAAAGCAAGTACAAGTAAATGAAGAGTAAATGCTATAATTAAAATAAAGTAGGATGTTGAAAGGCAGGGCGGGGAGCCATAGCATTCTAGGGACCCAAATGCCTCTCTGTGGCAACAGATGACCAGCCCTGCACAACTCTGGGGATACAGTGTCAGTGAGATGCCACTCCTGGTGCAGAGAAATGCAGGCAGAAGTGACTTTGGCAGAGGATGAGAGAAAGAGGCCGGCAGGGCTAGAGGGAGCCTGGGGAAGAGAAAAGGAGAGGGAAGGAGGACTCTGGGACCTAGAAGAATAAGACAGTGATCTGCTTCTCTCTGACAACATTCTCCCCAAACTTAGCATCTTTAACAACAAATTCTTACTATCTCACAATTTATGTGGACCAGAATCTGGACACAGCTTTGCTGGTTGCCTGCACATGGGGCTCCATGAAGCTGGGGCTGTGCTCTCAGCTGAAGCTGAGCTGTGAGAGGATTAGATTCCAAGCACACTCATATGGGTATTGTCCAGATTCAGTGTAGACTGAGAGCCTGAGTGTTTCCTGGGGCCTGGGCACTCCCTCATTCTCTGTTGTGTAGGCCACTGCATAGGCAGCTCATAACTCTGGATCTTGTTTTCTGAACTTGAGGGATGCAGTAGAAAGACAGGGAAATAAATACACATTGAAAGAGAAAGAGAAAGACATTGGCAGAAAATGGGAGAGAAAACAATGGGCAGAGTAAGTAGAAGAATGAGAGAAATAGATTGAGGGACAAAACACAGAAGAAAGAGACGAGGAGAAAATGAGGTGAAAGCCTCAGGAACAGTATTACTGGCTCTATAAACAAAACAAAACAAAACACAACAAAAAACCCAGAGAACTCCATCCTCCACTATCTGTCAGGCAAATATAGAATGTAAAGACTACAGTCTGAAACTCAGAAGAGAGAGTTCTCACTAGAGCTCGACCATGCTGGCATTCTGATCTTCAACTTCTGTCCTCCAGAACTGTGAGAAAGAACATTGAAGAACATTGTACTGTTGATAAGCGGCTCATTCTATCTTTGCTGTAACAGCCAATCTAAGACAGAAATGTTATCATATCACATTTATTGCATTCCATTTGTCAGAAGTGAGCTGCAGACCCCTTAGTGTTATGAGCCTTCCTATAGTCTGCCAACCACATAGGCCAAAATGAGGGACATGGGTCTGATTCTGAATATAATGAGAAGGCTCTAAAAAGAATAATGTCAGAGGATGACAACATGTGAATTTCATTTCACCTCAAATTCTTACTAGTGTAGAATGAAAAATGAGGCTGAGAGGGGAAGCGACTTTCCAATATCACAGTGCTGGACACAGGCCTGCTTGTGTTGTATTCTATGTTACCTCCCATTCCTTCTTATAATTATTTTATCTCTAAATGCGTGCATTGTCTACATGGGATGCCACACCATGAGTTTTACAGGTCTTATCTCATACACACCCGATGAGTTCCCTAGGGAGATGCTGGCATATTACCCACTGTACAGGTTGAAAGGCCCCAAAACCTACAATAACTTTTCTAGTGTCACAGAACTAATAAGAAATACTAGGTTCTTACCCAGATCTATGACCTCAAACCTGAGACCCTGGCTTCATTCAGGTCTTTTCAGGGAAGTGAGGAGGGCTGTTCTTGCATAATTGTGCACAGCTAAAGAGTTGACACGCAGGGATAGTGAGCAGTCAGTAGCCCAGAAGGTCATTTTAGATGGGTTTTATGGAGGAAAGCAAGGAGCCAGAGGATGAAACTTTGAAAAAGTGATCTTACTTCCTTTGTGACAGACCCCAACAGAACTTAGAACTCTGGTAACCAAGCACCTACATCCTAGAGACAACCCTGTGCCCAGGTCACTCATGGAAAATGTTTAACAGAGCACAATATGCTCCTGGTAGATCCCAATACTCTTAGGCTCTTGATTCAGGAAGGCCTAAAGTGAAAACCTTTTCTGAGATGCTGACATTGGCTTATTCCACACACCAGATGTCTCTGGAAATTTTGTAGGGGTTGCCCAGAGATAACAAACACTAAGCTTAGGGCAAGCCCCTCCAGGCTGGGTCTCACCAGTGCTTTCATTTACCTTGCATTAGAATGTATGGAAAAAACAGGAATTTAAAATAGCAAAGATTGACCCAAACTACTTTTTTATTAGATTCCCTAAGGTTCTGTATTGGTGTTGTTGTTGTTTTGTTTCTTTGTTTGAGACAAGACCTAACTCTCACTCAGGCTGGAGTTCAGTGGCACAATCACAGCTCACTGTAGCCTAGATCTCCTGAGCTCGAGCAATTCTCTCACCTCAGCCTCCCAAGTAGCCGAGAGACTACTGGTGCACACCACCACACCTGGCTAATATATATATATATATATTATTTTTAGCAGAGATGAGGTCTCATTGTGTTGCCCAGGTCTGTCTTGAACTCCTGAACTCAAGCAATCCTCAATTTTTGATACATAAATATGCTAGGTGTAGGATTCTTAGTCGAGAGCTTTATTTTTTTTTTCTGTGAGCAGTGACCAAGGAAAGTTTCAAAAGAAGAAATAGAGAAACTTTAAATAAGGCAATTAAATGAACAAATAAAGAGCTAAGAAAAAACAAAGATTGAGTATTGAGGTTGTATTTATGGCAGCTAATGATAGACTGGATCCAGTCAGAGAGTTCAAGCAGAATTGTATTTGCAGAGAGTAGAAGTCAGAGAGTGAGGGTGTCCAAAATGAAGCCAACTGGAATATTTTTTTGTTACAGAATCAAAAACAATGCATGGGGACACACCATGCCAAACCCAAACAGGCTGAGCTGTTGCTCTGCACTAAGAAATATAGGTTTATGGGAAGAAAAGCTACCATCATAACAACAAGTGTATTTGTATTTAAAAAAATCATAAATGTGCAGTTATAATCAGGATTAAGGTTAAAGTTATATTTCAGGTTTGGTTGGTGGGTGTCACAAAGCAAAAAATGTGTCTGTTGCCAAGAAGTGGGCATTCTAGTTTGCAAAATAAAATATCCCCATGACTAGAGACAGAAGATAACAAAAAGGGATGGGATGGGCCGGGCATGGTGGCTCACGCCTGTAATCCCAACACTCTGGGAGGCCGAGGCGGGTGGATCACAAGGTCAGGAGATTGAGACCATCCTGGCTAACACAGTGAAACCCCATCTCTACTAAAAAATACAAAAAAATAGCTGGGCATGGTGGTGGGTGCCTGTAGTCCCAGCAACTTGGAAGGCTGAGGCAGGAGAATTTTGTGAACCCAGGAGGCGGAGCTTGCAGTGAGCCGAGATCACACCACTGCACTCCAGCCAGGGTGACAAAGCGAGACTGTCTCAAAAAAAAAAAAAAAAAAAAAAAAAAAGAAAAAAGAAAAAGGGATGGCATGGAAAACACAAGTTCCTGGAAATTTATGTCAAAATCAGATATATAAAGAAGGACAATGTGCATCTCAGTCATCAATTCTGCCTGTAATTGAGGTTTTTTTCTGCCCTTGATAAATATACCAGGCCTACTACGTGACAGGTGAAAAGCAGCCTACATTCTGTTTCCCCTGCAAGATGCCTTGACTTAGGGATCTGTTCCCAGGGGAAAAAGCACATCTTTTAAGTACTTTTGGAGCATGAGTTATCTTCCAAATTCCAACAAAGTAGCTTATATTTCTAGGTGACCCTAAGACCACTAAAGAAGAAATAAATGAAGACCATGAAACTTTCTTGAACTTGTGGAAATCCATGAGAAAATCTGACATTAAGTTCTATTCTCCTGGAAGGTAGAAATATTGTTTGACTTCTGTTTTGCTGAGAAGAAATGTGGTCCTGAGCAAGGCTACCTGGGACAATGACCTCACACATGGAAAACGTTGGAGCCCATCTGTTTCCTATCTGCTGTTTTTCAAAAATTAGGAGAGTTCAGTTTTCCCTTTGATACTGTCTGTTTCTAACAATCCCAGTGCCAGGGCTGTCCTGCTTCTTCAAGTGACAATGACAAATACAGGCCTGAAGGAAGATGAGCTGATGGCATTCCCCGCTTATTACCACTCCTTGGGGGCCTTATCTCCCATACATGGATTCAATTCTTAGACTGAGTTGGGTGAGTATCTATTATTCAGCTGCATTAGAAGTGGCTGGTTAGGTCGGTAGTAGTGGCTCACTCATGTAATCCCAGCACTTAGTGGGGTCGAAGCAATTGGATCATGAGGTCAGGAGATTGAGACCATCCTGGCTAACATAGTGAAACTCCATCTCTACTAAAAACGCAAAAAATTAGCCAGATGTGGTGACAGGAGCCTATAGTCCCAGCTACTCGGGAGGCTGAGGCAGGAGAATGGCATAAACCCGGGAGGTGGAGCTTGCAGTGAGCTGAGATTTCATGACTGCACTGCAGCCTGGGTGACAGAGAGAAATTCTGTCTCAAAAAAAAAAAAAAAAAAAAAAAAAAAAAAAAAGAAAAGAAAAGAAAAGGAAAAGGAAGTGACTGCTTAAGACTCAGGTGTGCATTGAAATGAGGCAGAATTTTCTCAATGGAGTGTTAGAACTTTCTCCTCATAGTTACCATCTTACTATCACTAAATCATAGCTAAAATAAGGAAATTATTTAAGAAGAAATAGAAATATAATCTTATGAGGACATAAATTTAGAGATTTATGGAAAAGCCTTCATAATTTTATGGTGTTCTCTTTGAGCTGGGATTATAGTTGACATTTCATTATGGTATATTAGCTATACCAGACTTTTGCATTTATGTAAAGTTTTTAAAATTATACTTTAAGTTCTGGGATACATGGGCAGGGCGTGCAGGTTTGTTACATAGGTATAGACATGCCATGGTGGTTTGCTGCACCCATCAACCAGTCATCTACATTAGGTATTTCTCCTAAAGCTATTCCGCCCCCAGCCCCCCACCCTCAGACCAGCCCTAGTGTGTGATGTTCCCCTGCTTGTGTCCATGTGTTCTCTTGTATTGTCCAACTCACACTTATGAGTGAGAACATGTGGTTTTTGGTTTTCTTTTTTTTTCTTTTCTTCCTTTTCTTTTTTTCGATGGAGTTTCGCTCTTGTTGCCTAGGCTGGGGTGCAATGGCACAATCTTGGCTCATTGCAGCGTCTGCCTCCCAGGTTCAAGCTATCCTCCTGACTCAGCCTCACAGGTAGCTGGGATTACCGGCATGCGCCACGGTGCCTGGCTAATTTTTTGCATTTTTAGTAGAGACAGGGTTTCTCCATGTTGGTCAGGCTGGTCTCAAACTCCCGACCTCAGGTGATCTGCACGCTTCAGCCTCTCAAAGTTCTGGGATTACAGGTGTGAGCCTTGGTGCCTGGCTTGGTTTTCTTTTCTTATACTAGTTTGCTAAGCATGACGGTTTTCAGCTTCATCCTTGTCCCTGGAAAGGACAGAAACTTATCCCGTTTTATGGCTGCATAGTATTCCATGGTATATATTTGCCACATTTTCTTTATCCAGTCTATTATTGATCGGCATTTGGATTGGTTCCAAGTCTTTGCTATTGTGAACAGTGCTGAAATAAACATGTGTTCACGTGTCTTTACAGAAGAATGACTTATACTCCTTTCGGTATATACCCAGTAATGGGATTGCTGGGTCAAATGGTATTTTTGGTTTTAGATCCTTTAGGAACTGCTACACTGACTTCCACAAATTTTGAACTAATTAAAACTCCCACTAACAGTGTAAAAGCGTTCGTATTTTCCACGCCCTGTCCAGCATCTGTTGTTTCCTGACTTTTTAATAATCACCATTCTAACTGGTGTGAAATGGTATTTCATTGTGGTTTTGATTTGCGTTTCTCTAATGACCAATGATGATGAGGTTTTTTTTTTTCAAATGTTTTTTGGCCGCATAAATGACTTCTTTTGAGAAGTGTCCTCTTGTTTCCTTTGCCCACATTTTGATGGGATTGTTTTTTTCTTGTAAATTTGTTTAAGTTCTTTGTAGATTCTGGATTCTGCATATTAGCCCTCTGTCAGATGGATAGATTGCAAAAATTTTCTCACATTGTGTAGGTTGCCTATTCACTCTGATGATAGTTTCTTCTGCTGTGCAGAAGCTCTTTAGTTTAATTAGATCCCGTTTGTCAATTCTGGCTTTTGTTACCATTGTTTTTCCTGTTTTAGTCATGAAGTCTTTGCCCATGCCTATGTCCTAAATGATGTTGCCTAGGTTTTCTCCTGGAGTTTTTATGGTTTTAGGTATTATGCTTAAGTCTTTAATTCATCTTCAGTTAATTCTTGTGTAAGGTGTAAGGAAGACATACAGTTTCAGTTTCCTGCATATGGCTAGCCTATTTTCGAAACACAATTTATTAAATAAAGCATCCCTTCCCTGTTGCTTGTGTTTGTCAGATTTGTCACCACATGCTTGCATGTGTATGGTCTTATTCCTGAGTTCCCTATTCTGTTCAATTGGTCTATATGTCTGTGTTCGTTCAAGTACCGTGCTGTTTTGGTTACTGTATCCTTATAGTGTAGTTTGAAGTTGGGTAGTGTGATGCCTCCAGCTTTGTTCTTTTTGCTTAGAATTGTTTTGACTATTTGGGCTCTTTTTTGTTCCATAAGAATTTTAAAATAGTTTCTTCTAATTCTGTGAAGAATATCAATGGTAGTTTAATGGGAATAGCATTGAATTCTTTTACAAATTACTTTGGGCAGTGTGGCCATTTTTATGAATTAATTCTTCCTACCCATGAACATGGAATGTTTCTCCATTTGTTTGTGTCCTCTCTGATTTCTCTGAGCAGTGGTTTGTAGTCCTCCTTGAAGAGGTCCTTCATTTCTCATGTTAGCTATATTCCTAGGTATTTTATTCTCTTTGTAGCAATTGTGAAAGAAGTTCATTCATGTTTGGCTCTCTGCTTGCCTGTTGTTGGTGTATTGGAATGCTAGTGACTTTTGCATATTGATTTTGTATCCTGAGACTTTGCTAAAGTGGTTTATCAGCTTAAGAAGGTTTGGGGCTGAGATGATGGGGTTTTCTAGACACAGGATCATGTCATCTGCAGACAAAGATAATTTGACTTGCTCTCTTCCTATTTAAATACCTTTATTTCTTTCTCCTGCCCAATTGCCCTGGCCAGAAGTTTCAATACTATGTTGAATAAAACTGGTGAGAGAGGCCATCCTTGTCTTGTGCCTGTTTTCAAGGAGAATAGTTTCAAATTTTGCCCATTCAGTATGATATTGGCTGTGGGTTTGTCATGTATGGATCTTACTATTTTGAGGTATGATCCTTCAGTAGCTAGTTTATTGAGAGTTTTTGACATGAAGGGATGTTGAGTTTTATTGAAGGCATTTTCTGTATCTATTGAGATAATCACACTGTTTTTGTGTTTACTTCTGCTTATGTGATGAATTACATTTATAGATTTGGCTTTGTTGAAGCAACCTTGTAACCCGAGGATGAAGCCATCTTGATCATGGTGGATCAATGTATCTGTATCAGTCTCAGGTTCAGTCTTTTTACATAATCACATATTTCTTGAAGTTTTTGTTCATTCTTTTTGTTCTTTTTTTTCTATTCTTCTCTTCCTGTCTTATATCAGAGAGACAGTTTTCAAGCTTTGAGATTGTTTCCTCCACTTGGCCTATTCTCCTAATGATACTTATGGTTGCATTGTGAAGTTCTCATGTTGTGTTTTTCAGCTCTGTCAGGTCAGTTATATTCCCCTTAAACTGAATATTCTGGTTATCAGCTCCTGCACTGCTCCTTCAGCTTAGTGAAGTTTTTTATTACCCACCTTCTAAAGCCTACTTTTGTCAATTCAGCCATCTCAGCATCTGGCCAGTTCTGCACCCTTACTAGGGATGTGTTGTTGTCATTTAGAAGAGAAGAGGCATTGTGCCTTTTTGAGTTTTTAACATTTTTGTGTTGATGCCTTCTCATCTTTGTGGGCTTATCTACCTTTGATCCTTGATGTTGCTGACCCTTGAATGGGGTTTTTGTGGGATCTTTTTTGTTGATGTTGTTGCTTTCTGTTTGTTTTTAACAGCCAGACCACTCTTCCTAGGGCTGCTGTGGTTTTCAGGGGGTCCACTCTGGATCTTAGTCACCTCAGTCTCTCCTGCACCTGGAGGTATCACCAGTGAAGGCTGCAAAACAGCAAAGATGGCAGTATGGTCCTTTCTCTGTGAGCACCATTCCAAGGGGGTACTGACTTGATGCCAGCTGGAACGCTCCTGTAGGAGGTGTCTGGAGACCCCTTTTGGGAGGTCTTGCCCAGTCAGGAGGAACAGGATCAGGGACTGCTTAAAGAAGCAGTCTGGCTGCCCCTTGGCAGAGTAGGTGTGCTGTGCTGACCCCTGGGAATCTCTAGAGACATCAGGCTGGAAAGGCTAGGTTGGCTGAACTGGGGAGACAGCAGCTATCCATCTCCCTGGGGACTTCATCCCAGGGAGAAATCAGAGTTCTGTCCATAGAACTCTGGCTAGAGCGGCTAAATATCTGATGGGGAGGTCCTGTCTAGTGAGGAGGGATGGATTGAGGCCTCACTTAAAGAAGCAGACTGGCCACATTCAGGCACAGCACCTGTGCTGTGTTATGGGGAGCTCCTCCTGGTCCTTGGTGCCAGCGGGCTACAGCGGCCAACTCAAACCACAGATAACAGTGGCTGCCCCTCCCTCCCTCCGGGAACTGGGTCCATCTCCAGCTGTTTCCAGCCTGCTGCCGCTGGCCAGCTGGAATTCTAAGTCAGTGGGTCTTAACTTGTGACGTGCTGTGGGAGTGGGGCCCACAGAATGATGCCACTTGGCTCGCTGGATTCAGCCCCCTTACTAGGGGAATGCATGGATATGTCTCCCACTTTGCTGGAATTCTCGGGGCAGAGTATGCAAAACTCCTGGATTTCCATGCATGCCCCAGTGAGCCAGCGAGCACTAGGCTGAGACTCCACACAGCTCTGTGTTTCAGACCCAAGCCATGGTGCCTGGGCCTACGAGGGGATCTCCTGATCTACAGGTTGCAAAGATCCGTGGGAGAAGCATGGTTTGCCAGACAAAGTCGCACAATCACTCACCGCCTCACTTGGCTGCGAGTGAGTGCTCCCCCAGCTCGTGCCACACCTGTGTGGGCCATCGCCCCACTTGCTTTTCCTCACTGTCTGTGGGTCGAGCTGTCTGCCTAGTCAGTCACAATGCAAGAGCCTGGGTACCTCAATTGAAGGTGTAGAATTCACTCACAGTTTTCATTGCTCTCCGTGAGAGCCACGGGCCACAGCTGCTTCTAATCGACCAGCTTGGCCCCATCTAAAGTATGATTTCTTAATACATGAGCTGTTTTAAATAAATAAAAATAATGATACTTATCACAAATAATATTTTTTCACAAAGTGATATAAAAATTGCTAATAAATCAATTCTTTTTTGATTGCCACAAAACTATCTGGAAATGTATCGTCTGCCATTTATAAATTTTTTGTAGAGTTAATAGAACTTTACCAGAAGGCTGGCAATATGCATCACGATTTCAAATATTGTATTAATTGTTTTATAATTTTGTGTTTTTTAAAACTAAACTTATTAAATTGGTTATATATTACTTTAGGTAACACTATTTGGTGATGAGAGAATAATAATTTGTAAAATATTAAGAATATGAGTTCCTTATTACAAAAATGTCCTCTGTTTTATATTACTACCATTTCCTCTGAAAGTTTAGAATTGCAGTTTTCTAATTAAAACATATATTCACAAATGTGACTTGTAAATGTTACTATTTGTAATTTGTTTTTGTTTTTTTTTTTTTTTTTTTGCATTTGGTAGTGACAGGATTTTTTGGTGTCTTCTTCTTCAAAATAAAAGGTAGAGAGAATGGAATCAGGAAAGATTAAAACACAAAGGAAAACAATGATGATGGTAGAGATTATTCATTTGCAGCTGGCCAGGGCCTAAAAATATCAAGAAGAAACATGATGAATACAAAACCTGCATGTCCCTGAATATGATGGAATTTTTAATTTCTATTAAAATTATTCATGATAAAAATCTCTGTACTTTGCACATTTAAGAGAGAGAAAATCAGAGTGCAGGGACCTCCCCTGATCCTGATAAGAGCATCCAAAGTAGAAAGGATGTGTCTTAATCTCCTCCCAAATCCACGGTAGAAACAGTTGCTCTGGGTATCTTATTACAGTGATGCACAGGGACATGTTGGTCAAAGAGCTTGCACACTTTAAAAAAGAAACGTTGGCTGGGTGCAGTGACTCACACCTGTAATCCCAGCACGTTGGGAGCCCAGGGCCAGTGGATCACAAGGTCAGGAATTTAAGACCAGCCTGGCCAAGATGGTGAAACCTCGTCTCTATTAAAAATACAAAAATTAGCCAGGCACAGTGGCAGGAACCTGTAATCCCAGCTACTCAGGAGGCTGAGGCAGGGGAGTCACTTGAACCAGGGTGGTAGAGGTTGCAGTGGGCTGAGATTGAGCCACTGCACTCCAGCCTGGGTGACAGAGTGAGACTCCATCCCAAAAAAAGAAAAAATTCTATTATGTTGAGATTTAAAAAACAAATGACATGATTTGTCTACACATCTCCATTACTGTAGATCTACATCATTTATATTAAATTTATGAACAACTTACATAATAAAATAACACACTGGGCTATTTTTTTTATTATTATGATTATGATTATGATTATTATTATTATTATTATTGTGATAATTTCTTTATCAACACCATTTTTACCATACTGTATAAACAGCATTGTAAGACCTGTGACTGGTCATTGACAATATATACAATATGTACATTTTTTTACACAGGATCTAGATCTGTCATTCTTGCTGGAGTACAGTGGCACAGTCATAGATCAGTCCAGATTCAAACACCTGAGCTCAAGCAATTTTCCCACCTCAGCCTTCCTAGTGGCTGGGACTACAGGCACATGCCACCACAGTGGGCTAATTTAAAAAGAAATTGTAGAGACAGGGTCTTCTATGTTGCCCAGGCTAGTCTTGAACTCCTGGTCTGAAACGGTCCTCCAAAATTGACCTCCCAAAGTGTTGGCATTACAGATTTGAGCCACCATGCCCTGCCTGCTCATATATTCTTAAATAATGAGATAAGAAAAACCTATCACCAGGCAGGATTTTTAGAAGTTTCCAAAAATTGTAACATGAATTGTGATCAAGCCCCTCCCCTGTTTTCTGTCTTTTGTCTCTGCAATAGCAGCTCTACTACTTTTTTCCTCAACGAGCTAAGAATTAAATGTATTGAGATCATGAATATCTATGTTAGTAAACAATGTTATTCTGGCTTCATCCTGCATTAAATTAAATTGTCAGAGAAATTTAGACGTATTTTAGTTCTTTGGTTATTACAATTATTCTTTTGGCATTTCTGCATTTCACAAGGTTCTTTTCATGGAAATATCTAGTTAGAAAGAATAATACTTTTCTAAAATTGTGAAATCAGTTTCTCAGGTTGCCAAGTATTGCCACTGCACAAACCAACCTTCCTTCATCTGTCCCATGAAACTGTCATAATCACTTTATGTTGTTGATATCCAGCCATAGGTCTCACAGTGCTGTTTATTGAATATCACCAAAAT
Organism: Homo sapiens; assembly: GCF_000001405.40. Classification (NCBI taxonomy): domain Eukaryota; kingdom Metazoa; phylum Chordata; class Mammalia; order Primates; family Hominidae; genus Homo; species Homo sapiens. The sequence continues at coordinate 18,414,879 of NC_000024.10, forward strand.
GATTGTGAACAAGAAATTATCAATATAATAATGAAACACCTCAGTATTTTATTATATAAGTTGTATATACATTTAATTTAAGCCAGAGCACAAAGATCTGTAGACAAATCATGTCATTTTAAAAAAATTTCAACAGATTTGACATTATCATAACGATGAAGAAACAGATTTATTGAGCTCCATTTTCTTTAAATTATTTTTTATTATACTCCCTTTCTTTGCTTCAGACATCTGATCTAAACATCTGCAGTATTTGTGAGCAGTCTTTTGTTCTGGTACATTTAATGGTGTTGTTTTTCCCACAACTACTCATGATTATATATATACTTAGGGACTTAACACAATTTTGAAGGGTAAGCAAGCACAGTGAGAATGAACTTGATTTGCATTGTCTGTCTCTGAGAGTGCTCAGCGACGTCCCCCTCAGCCCAAGGACAATCTGGTTGCCACATCTCCTGGTGAGAGCTGAGATGTACATCCTGATTTCTGTTTTTAATGTATCATATGGGACTCAGTTTTCTTTTATACTCTTACCAACCCATATGACCTCTAAGGATTTTTCTTTCATTCTTTTTTCCCCATGTCTGTACAATGTTACCATAAATCCCATGATACTTCTATAATGGATGTTTCAGATTCACTGAAAGAAAATATAAGAAACAACAGTAAAGTTTAAAACTGGGATAAGCAATGAATAACTTTTTAGTATGGCTACGCAATATTTGCATATTTGTATGTAATATGTTTAAGCAAGTATTGGAAGATATTTATACAAATAATTACCTTACTTACACAAAATTCAAATTGAGTCAAGTGTCTTATAATTTTTTAATTTTTAATTTTCGTAGGTACATAAGTGTATATATTTATAACATACACGAGATGATTTGACACAGACATACAAAGTTAAACAATCACATCACAAAGAATGGGACATCCATCCCCTCAAACATTTATTTTTGAGTTGTGAACAATCTAATTACACTCTTTAAGTTATTTTAAAATGTACAATTACATTATTATTGACTATAGTCGCCCTATTGTGCTATCAAATAGCAACTGTCGTTCATTCTAATTATTTTTTGTACCCATGAACAATGCCCACCTCACCCTATCTCCCCAATATCCTTCCCAGCCTCTGGTAATCATCCTTCTATGCTCTATGTTCATGAGTTCAAGTGGGTTGATTTTGAGATCCCACAAATAAGTGAGGATATATGATGTTTGTCTTTCTGTGCCTGGCTATTTCACTTAACATAATGATTCCCAGTTCCATCCATGGTCTTGCAGATGACTGGTTCTCATTCTTTTTTAAGGCTGAATGGTACTCCATTGTGTATATCTACCACATTTTTTAATCCATTCTTGATGGACACTCAGGTTACTTCCAAATCTTAGCTATTATAAATAGTGCTGCAACAAACACAGGAGTACAGATATCTCAACATACTGATTTCCTTTCTTTTGGGTATATACCCAACAGTAGGATTGCTAGATAATGTGGTAGCTCAATTTTTAGATTTTTGAGGAACATCAAAACATAAAAAAACCTCAAAACTATAAAAAACATTAGTGATGTTCTTTATAGTGATTATACTAATTTACATTCCCCCTAGCAATATATGAGGGTTCCCTTTTCTCTAAATTCTCCCTAGCATTTGTTATTTCCTGTATTTTGAATATAAGCCATTTTAACTCCAGTGAGATGATATTGCACTGCAGTTTCTATTTGCCTTTCTCTATCAATGATGTTGAGCACCTATTCATATGCCTATTTGCCATTTGTATGTCTTCTTTGGAGGAATATATATTGAAGTCTTTTTTGCCATTTTTGACCAGGTTATTGGATTTTTTCTTGTAGAGTTGTTTGAGCTCCTTATATATTGTGGTTATTAATCCTTTGTCAGATGGATAGTTTTCAATTTTTTTTCCCATTTTGTGGCTTGTCTCTTCGCTTTCCTGGTGTGTTATAGTTTATTTTTCATTTGTTATTTTAACTTTATTTTTCTATAAGTTGTTGGGGTACAGATGGTATTTGGTTACATGAGTAAGTTCCTTAGTGGTGATTTGTGAGATTATGGTGCACATATTACCCAAGAAGTATACACTGCACCATACTCATAGTCTTTTATTGTTCACCTCCCTCCCACTTTTCTCCCAAAGTCCCCAAAGTCCATTGCATCATTGTCGTGCCTTTGTGTCCTCATAGCTTAGCTCCTACATATCAGTGAGAACATACGATGTTGAGTTTTCCATTCCTGGGTTACATCACTTAGAACTATAGTCTCCAATCTCATTCAGGTCATTGCAAATGATGTTAATTCATTCCTTTCTATGACTATGTAGTATTCCATCATATATATATATATGTGTGTGTATATATATATATACACACATATATATGTATACACACACACATATATATACACCACATATATATATCACATATGTATATACCACATATATATACCATATATATACACCATATATATATACACACCATATATATATACACACCATATATATACACACACCATATATATATACACACACACACCATATATATATACGCACACCATATACACACACACACACACACACACACACACACACCACAGTTTCTTTATCCACTTTTTGATTGATGGGCACCTGGGTTGGTTCCACGATTTTGTGGATTATGCTGCAATAGACATGCGTGTGCAAGTATGTTTTTCAAATAATGACTATTTTCCTCTGGGTAGATACCTAGTAGTGGGAATGCTGGATCAAATGGTAGTTCTACTTTTAGTTCTTTAAGGAATCTCCACATTGTTTTTCACAGTGGCTGTACTAGTTTACATTCCCACCAGCAGTGTAGAAGTGTTCCGTGTTTACTGCATCCGTGGCAACATCTACTTTTATTTTATTTTTTGTTTGCATGAGGTAAGGTGGTATTGCATTTTGGTTTTGATTTGAATGTCCCTGATCATTAGTGATGGTGGGCATTTTTATTTATGTTTGTTAGCCATTTGTATATCTTCTTTTGAAAACTGTCTATTCATGTCCTTAGCCCATTTTTGATGGGGTTGCTTGTTTTTTTCTTACTGATTTGTTTTAGATTTCTTACTGATTTGTTGTAGATTCTGGATATTAGTCCTCTTTCAGATGTACAGATTGTGAAGATTTTCTCCCACTCTGTGGTTGTCTATTTACTCTGCTGACTGTTCCCTTTGCCATGCAAAAGCTCTTTAGTTTAATTAGGTCCCAGCTATTTATCTCTGTTTATCTGTTTTTATTGCATTTGCTTTTGGGTTCTTTGTCATGACATCCTTGCTTATGCCAGTGTCTAGAAGGGTTTATCCAGTGTTATCTTCTAGAATTTTTATAGTTTCAGGAATTAGGTTTAAGTCCTTCATCTATCTTGAGTAGCCTTTTGTATAAAGTGAGAGATGAGAATCCAGTTTTATTCTCCTACGTGTGGCTCACAAATTATCGCAATATCATGTGTTGAAAAGGGTGTCCTTTCCCCACTTTATGTTTTCATTTACTTTGTCGAAGATCAGTTGGCTGTAAGTATTTGGGTTAGTTTCTAGGTTCTCTCTTCTGTTCCATTGGTCTATGTGCCTAGCTTTAAACCACTACCATTCTGTTTTGGTAACTATGTCCTTATTGTACAGTTTGAAATCAAGAGGTGTGTTGCTTCCAGGTTCATTCTTTTTGCTTAGTCTTAGTTTGACTATGCGGCTCTCATTTGGTTCCACATGAATTTTAGAATTGTTTTTGTAGATTGCGTTGAATTTGTAGATTGCCTTTAACAGAAAGGTAATTTTCACAATATTGATTCTGCCAATCCATAGTCATGGGGGTGAGTTTCCATTTGTCTGTGTCATCTATGATTTCTTTTCTTTGTTGTGTGTGTGTTTTTTTGTTTTTGTTTTTGTTTGTTCTGAGGGAGTTTCACTCTTGTCGCCAAGATGGGAGTGCAATGGCATGATCTTGGCTCACCACAACCTCTGCCTTCTGCGTTCAAGCGATTCTCCTGCCTCACTCTCCTGAGTAGCTGATTACAGGTGTGCGGCACCATACTTGGCTACATCTATGATTTCTTTCAGCAGTGTTTTGCAATTTTCATTGTAGAGGTCTTTCAATTCCTTTGCTAGATATATTCCTAAGTTTTTGTTTGTTTGTTTTTGTTTTTGTTTGTTTTTTTGCAGCTATTGTGAAAGGGGTAGAGTTCTTGATGTGATTCTCTGCTTGGTAGCTGTTGGTGTAGAGAAGAGCTACTGATTTGTGTATATTAATCTTGTATCTGGAAACTTTCCTGAATTCTTTTATCAGTTCTAGGAGCTTTCTAGGGGAGTCCATAGGGTTTTCAAGGTGAAAGATCATATCATCAGCAACTAGTGACAGTTTGACTTCCTCTTTACCGATTTAGATTTCCTCTCCTTCTTTTTTCTGATTGCTCTGGCTAGGACTTCCCATACTATTTTGAAGAGGAGTGGTGAGAGTGGGCATCCTCATCTTGTTCCAGTTCTCAGAGGGAATGCTTTCACCTTTTCCCCATTCAGTATTATGTTGGCTGTGGGTTAGTCATAGATGGCTTTTATTACATTAATATATGTCCCTTGTATGCCTATTTTGTTGATGCATCTGTTGATATGTTCATGTGAGTTTTGTCTTTAATTCTGTTCATGTGGTGTATCACGTTTACTGACATGCATATGTTAAACCATTCCTGTTTCCCTGGTATGAAACCCATTTGATTATGGTGGATTATCTTTTTGACACATTGTTGGATTCGGTTAGCCAGTATTTTGTTAAGGATTTTGGCATCTGTGTTCCTCAAGGATATTGGTCTGTAGTTTTCTTTTTTGGTTATGTCCTTTCATGGTTTTAGTATTGGGGTGATGCCGTGTTCATAGAATGAATTAGGGAGTGTTCCTTCTTTCTCTATCTTGTAGAATAGTGTGAAAGGATTGGTATCAATTCTTCTTTGAATGTCTGGTAGAATTCTGCTGTGAATCTGTCTGGTCCTTGGATTTTTTTTTTTTTTTTTGGTAATTTTTAAATTACCATTTCAATCTTGCTACTTGCTATTGGTCTGTTTAGGCATATAATTCTTCCTGATTTAAGCTAGGACATTTGTATTTTTCCAGGAATTTATCCATCTCTTCTAGATTTTCTAGTTTATGTGCCTTAAGGTGTTCATAGTACCCATGAATGATCTTTATTATTTCAGTGGTGTCACTTGTAATATCCCCTGTTTCATTTCTTAGTGAGGTTATTTGGATTTTTTTCTCTTCTTGTCTTGGTTAATCTTGCTAACGGTCTCTCAATTTTATTTGTCCTTTCAAAGAACCAATGTGACAAGAATTAAAATAAATTAAAGAATGTATAAGCAAAAACTCACTTGTATGTAAGAAGACTCAATTCCCCCTGAGAAACAGAAAGAGGTGGAGTACTTTAAGAATTAACTGCCTGTTTTTCTGTCTGGCTAGTGAGCCTTATTTCTCCCTTTCCCAGTCATTGTGAAGACCTGTTTCTCTAGCTGTGCAGCTGCAAGGTCACTAGACAGATAAACTCAAGTTGTAAAACATGTTTTTTCTTGAAAAGGAACAAATGGTGTAACACAAGTCTCAACTGAATAACTGTCTTTGTTTCTCACTTCTGTAATATGTTCCCCCACACAGATCTCCCCCAGCCTTATGAAATGCTTAAAAGGTAACTTGACTCCTTGTTTGGGGGCTCAGTCATTTTTGAATGTTAATCTGACTGGGCCAGTGCACCTAAATAATAATAATAATAATAATAATAATAATAATAATAAATAATAATAATAAATCCTTCTCAACCCCTTAGTCTCTCTGATTCCTAAATTATCCTGAAACATTTCTGGTGGCCCATACAGGGATTGGAGATGACAGATTTACTGTCTCCTTTGCCTGTGGGACTAGAGCCCCAGGGCTGGGGGAGACCCAGCATGCAAGGTGCACCATGGAGGTGCTTCACCCAGACAGAGACCAGCTCTCCCTGCATCCTGGCAGCCTACCCAGTAGTGCAAAGAAACTGCAGAAAAAGCTGCAGGACAATACTAGCACTTCAGGAACTGTGGTAAGGAGAAACTGCCCAAGGCAGGAAAGCCCCTCCCATAGGGAGGAAATGGAGCTTGATCACCTCCCAGTGACTGACCACTAATCCAACCCAGAGTGGCTGGGTGTGGTAGGAGTGGCCTGCCAATTTGGATGAACCTCATATTCCCCTAACAGAGTAAAAGTGGTTCACTGGTGGAGAAAAAGGGCTGATAGAGAGGCAAGTGCAGCAAGGAAGAGTTTGCTGGCAGGGTGGCAAGAGTGGCTTGCAACCCCAACTGGGAGTGGGTGTGTGTGGACCTAACCGGGACACAAGAGAGGCTCATTTTGTCCCATGAGGAGTCCTAGGGTAGGAGTGGTGTGTGTATGTGTGTGAATGTGGAAGCCTAATTAGTTTCACCTGGGACATGAGAGAGGCTCATTTCATCCAATGAGGAGTCCTTGGGTGGGGGAGGTGTGTAAAAGTGGGTGAAAGAAATGGTCTTGGAAGAGGCCAATGTGGGGAGTGACGTGGGGGAGGCACAGAGCCCTTAGTGTGGGCTGTGTTCTCTGAGGCAATTGTGGGGAAAATCAGAACCAGAACATTCTGTATGACTGATAGGACCAGCTCCATGGCTGCAGCAGGCTGTAAGAGGTGAAGGCATGTTCCTGGCTAAGCAGTGTCCAAAACTCCTGTAATAGGACCCGGTATGGTGAACCTGAGAGTAAAAGTAAAAGTGAAAGTGCACCACAAGGGAGAAAATGAAAGGAAAAGTGTATAAATGAACTCCATTGGAGTGCACAATAAAGAATTTTCAAAAGGATTTAGAGGTGATTATAGCATAAAACTGGATGCTCAAAATTTAAGAACATACTGTGAGATAGCCTGGCCTGCTTTCAATGAGGGCTGGCCCTCTGAAGGTACAATAGACAGGGTATGAATTGACTGCATGTTTAAGGTGGTCACTGGAGTTGAAGGACAACCAGGATACCCAGACCAGTTTCTGTATATACTCTTGGCTCAATGTGGCACAAACTCACCCCAAGTGGCTGCAGCCTTGCCTAGAGGGATATTGCAAGGCATTAGTGGCTCGAGCAGCCCAACCAAAGGAAGCAGAGGAAACTAAAGCCCCTAGCATCTCCCTGGAAAGGGAATCCTTGAAGCCTTAGCCAAAACCAGTTCTTCAGGTTCCACCTGATGAAAGGGAATGTCTGCCCCATATGTGCCAGTCTACTCATCTTTGGTCAGAATAAAGCAGGAGGCAGAGTCAGGATCATCCGGAGAGTCAGGCTCAGAGAAAAGTGAGGCTCAGTGTCCCCACACCCAGAGGAACAGAAACCCCTGTTAGAGAAAAACAACCAAAAAATGGACTGGGTGAGGCAGCTGGGCATCTCCACTCAGGCCGACCCTGGGATTTGCAGATGCCACTTTGAGAAACCAGGACACAAGTTTATGATGACCAGAGGCAGATACAAGGTGGCCCTAGGCTTTATGTTTATCAGCCTTTCTCCACTACTGATCTCTTAAATTGGAAACAGCCCACCCCCTCCTATACAGAAAAGTCTCAGGCTCTTATTGATTTGGTAAATTCTGTTATTAACACGCATAACCTGACCTGGCCAGATTGTGAATAACTTTTGCTAACTTCATTTAATACAGAGGAGCATAAAAGAGTTAATCCGGCAGCTCTGATCTGTTTAGAAGGGGAGCCCCAGAGACCACCCCTAACCCTCACCAGTTCACCGTGGAGTGATACCCAAATGAGAACCCTAACTGGGAACCAAATGAGGCAAGGAACATGGAATGGCTGCCGCTATATAGAAAGGCACTCCTAAATGGGATAAAGCAGGAGAAAGGAAGGAAATAAATACAAGTAAAATATCAGAAGTGAGCCAAAATTCTGAGAAAAGCCCAAGTGCATTCCATAAAAGGCTTTGGGAGGCATATAGACTGTACACTCCAGTTATTCTGGAGGCTCCTAAAAACCAAATTATGATAAATATGACCTTTATCGGGCAAGCTCAGGGAGTCATAAATCAAAAGTTTCAGAAGCTGGAAAGCTTTGCAGGAAAAAATATTAGTAAACTCCTGAAAACAGCAAACAAAATATATGTAAACCAGAAAGAAGAGGCAGAAAGAAAGAAAAAATAAATAAAAATAAAAACCAAAAGACAGCTCAATTTATAGCTACTGCACTAACAGAAATTAACCCTGGATTTGCTAGAGGGTATAGCTGAGGCAGAGGCCAAGGAAGAGGGCAGACAAGACCGGGAGAGGAAAGCCAGTCCCGGTTGGACAGGAACCAATGTGCAAGATACAGGCAAATGGGCCACTGGAAAAATGAGTGCCCCGATTAAAAAAAAAAAAATGAAGATGACGGTCAATTGTCTAACACCCGAGTGCAACTTTCGGTTGCTAGTCGTGGTGCTTCAAAGGCAGATCTTGATCTGATCAGCTTAGTGGGGGCCAAAAATTTAGAAGACTAAGACAGACCAGGCTTCATCCTTTTAGGCCCCAGGGAGCCTATATTCTCCATGGAAGTACAGGGCCGATTAATGAATTTTTTGGTCAATACTGGTGCTGATTTCTCTGTGGTAACTCATCCAATTAACTGCCCCACAAAAAACTGTCCTACTGTCATACGGGCTACTGGGGCCAAAGACAGGAGACCTCTCTACAAATTCAAGAGATGTGTTATTGGGGGACAAGAATTCAGCATGACTTTCTATACATGCCAAAATGTCCAGTGCCCTTATTGGAAAGAGACTTCCTCCAGAAACTGCAGGCACAGGTTTCCTTTACACCTAAAGGGGATATGACCCTGGAGATAGGGAAGCCAAAGGCAATGGTATTGACTCTAACTGTCCCAAAAACTGAGGAATGGCGGCTCTATAAACTGTGTACCAGGAGGCTGCCAGAGCCTGACCTACACAATACGTGGGGAATGCTTTTCGAGGTACCAGGTGTATGCGCTGAGGACAACCCCCCTGGACTTGTTGCAAACAGACCCCCAGTGATAATAAAGCTTAAATCTCATGCTGCCCCGGTACTAGTCCGTCAACACCCCCCACCCAGAGAGGCAATTGATGACATAACGAAACATTTAAATCGGCCCTATAAACATGGGATTATAATAAAATGAAAGTCTTCCTGGAATACTCCTCTGTTGTCTGTGCGCAAGCCAAATGGTGAATACAGGCCACTGCAGGACCTCCAGGAGGTAAACAAGGCCACTGTCACTATCCATGCCATAGTACCCAACCCATACACAATGCTGGGACAGATTCCTGCTGACGCCGCCTGGTTCACGTGTCTGGACTTAAGGCATGCTTTCTTTTGCTTGAGACTTGCTCCCCAAAATCAGCCTATATTTGCCTTCTAGTGGAGACAATCGCAGTATACCTGGACAAGGCTGCCGCAAGGGTTTAAGAATTCTCCCACTATTTTCGACGAGGCTTTGGCTTCCGACCTTGAGGCTTTTGCGCCACCTAGTGACAATTGTGTGCTATTACAACACATTGATGATTTGCTCTTCGCTGCCCCCACGAGGGAGAAATACCTCTAAGGAACAGAGAGCCTTCTTCACCTGCTTTGTGAAGCTGGTTACTAAGTGTCCAAGGACAAGGCAAAAGTCTGATTTTGGAGGTTGAATATCTAGAATTCATGGTATCCCAAGGCCAGCGCAGACTTAAAAGTGCATGCAAGGAGGCTGTGCGTGCATTGCCCACCCCAGTTACAAGGCAGCAGCTCAGGAAATTTCTAGGTGTAGCGGGATTCTGCCGAACCTGGATTCCAAACTTCTCCCTTACAGCAAGGCCCTTATATGAGACTACCAAAGAAAAAGAAAAAGAGGGCCCCTCCTATGGAAAAAGAAACAAGAAAGGGCCTTGAAAGGTATAAAGGAAGCTCTCATCCAAACTCCGGTGCTAGGGTTGCCAGATGTAAAAAAGCCCTTCCTTTTGTATGTGGATAAACAAAAGGGAATGACAGTCGGACTCTTAGCTCAATTGTTGGGTTCTTGGCATCAGCTGGTAGCATACTTACCCAAAAGACTGGACTTGGTGGCCTTAGGTTGGCCCCACTGCTTCAGGGCGTTGGCAGCTACTGCAATCCTTATAGAAGATGCCAACAAGCTAGCCCTAGGTCAAAAGTTAATAGTTCAGGACTCACATGCTGTAATCACCTTAATGGAGCAAAGAGGACATCATTGACTGTCCAATTCTAAAATGCTAAAGTATCAAGGGCTTCTGTATGAAAATACCCAGATAACACTAGAGACTGTAAATACCTTAAATCCAGCTACCCTGCTGCCTGTGGAGAAACGGGATTGAAAGGACAGTGGGTTGCCTCACTGCTGGCAGGAACTTCCCCACTGTTGCATAAATACGGTGGACAAAGTCTTCTAGAGCCAGGAAGATCTCAGATATATCCCCTTGGAGAGCTCAGATGTTAAATACTTCACTGATGGTAGCAGTTTCATAAGAGATGGGGTACAATATGCAGGGTATACAGTACTGATCCAACACTCGGTGGTCCAGGCTCAGGCCTTACCTTCTGGGACTTCTGCTCAGAAGGCTAAATTAATAGCATTAACCAGAGCACCATTATTGGCCAAGAAAAAAAGTAAACATATATACTGAAAAAAAAAGAAACATATATACTGATTCAAGATATACTTTTACAATCCTGCACACCCATGGGGCAGTATACAAAGATAGAGGAGTTTTGACTACTAAAGGCCAAAGAAAAAAATTTACAATTATTAAAAGCCATATAGGCTCCAGAGAAAGTGGCTGTCATTCATTGCAAAGGACACCAAATTGGGAAAAGCTGAGACACAGGGCAATAGAAAGGCAGACCGAGAGGCTAGGCAGGCAGCAATGATCAAGGCTTTACCTGAAGAAAAAACTTTAGCAATTCCTCTCCTTATAGAGCCCCCTTGGCTGGAGCTACCCAATTACTCTTCAGTAAAAAACTTGGTTTTGTCAGAAAAACAATATATATATATATATATATTAAAGGTGGATGGTGGCTGTTGTCTGACAGCAGGCTAGCCATCCTGGAAGTTGAGTAGTCCACACACGGCCAAAGCTAAGAGGGCCATCTCTGAATAAGTAAATATGAACACAATTTATAACCCTCATTATAATTATGTTAATACTGATTTTTCTGTTGCTTTGTTATTACTGCAAATGCTGCAAATGTCTATGCCCAGAGGAAGGTTTCCCATGCCCACGTGTAGTGTAAGCATGTTTCTAATACATACACTGATGTTGCTATCATTTCTGCCTATGCTAGAAGGGGAAAAATCTTTAGAGGGATGCCCACACTGTGTACACACTACCTCGGTAAAAAATACCATAGTTAAAACTCTACTGTACCATACCTACTATGAATGTACAGAAACCAAGTTAGGGACATGCACATACAACCAGACCACCTGTTCAGTCTATGACTGAGGAAATAATCAGCTGTATGTATCTTATGACCCTGAGCCCTTACCCTGTGAATTCTGGTTTGAGGTACATATTAAATCAGAAAAGAAAAAAAAACTTATAGCTCAAACAAAAGAAACCTCACCCTCCTATAAGGGGCCTATTTCCTTGTACTTTAATTCCTGCCATGCTGCATATGTTCCTAATCCTAAAAAAAACAGAAGCTGTCTGCAATGGTTTAACACAAAAGAGGCTTAGCAGAAGCAGACCTAAACATCTGTATGAAAAAACACAAATCGGATGCCCAGACTGTAATATTCAGTGTTCTATGCTAACACAGCTCCAACACTTATATTCAGGAAGGACTCTTCTGCTAAGTAGTATGCCAACCAAACCAAATTCTAAGACAAGGACATGTACTCCTTTAAATTTTACTTTCCTAAAGCCAGAGCTATCTTTTTGGTCTACAGGACAGATGACACTATTATGGGTTAATAGACAAGGAGCAGACCTTGGAGTTCTACTACTAATTGCCAAAAAGAATAGAAGGACTCAAATGCATCCAACCCTGAAATTCCGGGTTTATAAGTCATTCTGTAAGCATTTTGATCAGTCAGTGACTGAGTTTCCTTCATCAACCAAAAACTTATTTACTCAACTAAGTAAAAACATAGCTGGCAGCTTAGGAATTTCCTCATGCTACGCATGTCAAAAAACTGATATGGGGGACCAGTTGCTATGGGAGGCTAAGAAATTGATGCCACAAGTAACTTCACTTCACCTAACCATGCCAGTGAACCCACAGCCTTAGCCAGTGTTTGGTTGTTAAAAACCTCCATAATTGGAAAGTACTGTATCGCCTAATGGGGAAAGGCTTTTCACAGAGGCAGCAGGAAAAACAACCTGCCTAGGACAACAGTATTATGATAAGACTAAAAACAGAACTCTAGGGAGAAATGCCCAGAACGACTCCTACTTACCAGATCCAAATGCTTTCTCTTGATTCTCTACCCTAAGCCACTCTTGGCATCAGCTAAAGACTCCAAATGCTTGGAAAGCACCCTCTGGCCTATATTGGGTCTGTGGAGCATGGGCATATCGGCAACTGCTGGCTAAATGGACAGGGGCATGTGTGTTAGAAACAATCAAGCCATCCCTCTTTTTAATTCCTCTAAAGCAAGGGGAACTCTTAGGGTATCCAGTTTATAGTAAAAGTTAAAGAAACTAAAAAAATACATAATCACAAAACTAAACACAAATGTGAAAAAGTGTAAACACAGAAGACTACAAAGATAATAAATGGCCTCCTGAAAAAATCATTAAATATTATGGGCCAGCTACTTGGGTGCAAGATGGGTCATGGGGGTATCGTACCAAAATCTATATGCTCAACCACATCATAAGGTTACAGGCAGTCCTAGAAATTATAACCAATGAAACGTCAAGGGCACTAAATTTATTGACAATACAAGCAACACAAAAAAATGCTATATATCAAAATAAATTAGCTTATCTCTTAGCCTCAAAGAAAGTATGTAAACATTTAATTTAACCAACTGTTGCCTAGAAATTGATAATAATGGCCAAGCTGTCATAAAATCCACAGCTAAAATGCACAAGTTGGCCCATGTTCCAGTTCGGACTTTGTCCAGATGGTTCCCGGATTCCTTGTTTGGAAAATGGTTCTCAACCTTTGGGGAATTCAAAACCCTCATTGGTGGGTTTTTGTTTATTCTTGGCATCTGCCTCATCCTCCCTTGCCTTTTAACTCTGTATATTAGGAACATTCAGTCAACTGTAGAGGCAGTAGTAACCCAACACAGTACCACACAGTTGATGGCATTAACCAAATATCAGCTGCTGCCAGTAAAACTATCTTCAGTCTGCACTTTTCTCCAGTGCATTCTGAAACACTGGAATTTCTTTACCTTCGAGGCTCTGAGAAAAAAATATGGCTTATATTATACTGCACAAAGGCATGGAAATTACACTAGCTCTAAGACAAAAAGATGTGGCCTTCTGAGATAAAAGTTTATTTTAATAGTATATAATTATCAGGTCTCTTTTTCAGATGAAAGAGCCATTAGTATGAGTTTCTGATGGACAAGCTTTCTTTACCTTAGGCGATAACCCAGACCTTTGTAAGCATTGTAAAATATTTTCTGGCCTTTTGGCAGTCTTGTCAAGCAAGGTTACAGAAGATAATTTCCCAAAATCAGAGAGACAAACCCCTAGGTAGCCCTTAAATGCAACTTTTAAACACCCTACCTGCCCCTCTTTTAAGGGCTTTCCAATATTCCTATCATGAGTTTCTCTCCCTGTGCCACCCAATAAACCCCCACCTTCACTGTAGGCCCTGCAGAAAATGCCAGATGGTACTACTAAACTTCAGGTTTCCTTTTTATTGCAGGATTAAAAATAAATAAATATACATCTAGTCAAGTTATCTGATTACTCTGATAGATATATAGAGACATTCTGAAATCTAACAGAGGTGTTTCATTTTATGCAGAAAGATGCCACATTACTCCTAAACCCAATTCTATATTTGGCAGAAAATTTGGCAGCTTTTCAGGCAACAGAAAGATTTGAAGATGAACAGGGTATTTACTACAGCCAGTCTAAAAGTATACAGGGAAAAATCTAGAACAATGGAGGGTGAAAGACAAAAGTAAGGTAAACAGCAGAATCTTTATTCCCAACAGGAAGAAAGACATTCCTCTTTGAAAACTTAGTTGGAATACATACACGCAATTTAAATGATTAAGTAGTGTGAGAACAAGTGTAAAGTTTCAGCAAATGTTTAGTATATAAAGAAGAGACAATTTTGCCAGCAAATTGCTACATGATTTCAGAGCTACTAATGCACAGATTAAATCAATGTGTGCATTACAACAAGGTCTGCAATTCCTGGCAGCCATTCCAAGGGACTGGTCTCTCATAGGAGTAGATCTTTAAAATTCTTTTCTTACTATACCCTTACATGTGAAGGATAAGCCTTCATTTGCCTTCTCTGTGCCTTCTATCAAACAAAAACAGCTTGTTTCTCATTACCAGTGGAAAGTTTTACACAAAAACATGCTCATCAATCCTATGTTATATCAACATTTTGTAGGACATTATGCCATGAGAATCCGACCTCATGGCATAAACTTCACTGACACTGGTGAAGAAACTTTAGCATCTCTTCACTACATCTCACTGGGATTCAATCCCAATGTGCAGCAGACCTTGCTTGGAACAGGCTTTAGACCACCTTTCCTCAATGACATTATCAAGGAAGACAGTTCCAGTTCAGGAGTTGATAGGGAAGGCAGCACTCCCCTTTATGGATGGCAGCTTTTGTGTCGGAACACTATTTAATTATAGTAATTCTGCTCAACACAGTTTTAATGTTACTTTTGTAGAAAATATTACCACTCAATTTGCAATTTGTGTTTTTAAACCTTACATTTTTTTAGCAGCAAAAAAAAAATTAAGGTAAACGATGCCCATTTGACTTGTGATTCCTTTCAACCGTATAATTCCCTTAATTGTAGCACAATAAAAACATGCAGCATATCCACCCTAATAATTCTAGGTTGCAACCCCCAATTACGGATTCTTGTAAATCTGTCTGAGTCTTCCGTGGCCACCTCTGGTTTACATTTTGTAAATCTTTTTCTTACTCAGCTTACTCATAGTGCTTGTAGAACCTTAGGCATGATAATTTTTGTGAAAGTCTCCTTAGGTACATTAATCACTTCTGTTGTGGTGTCCTTAGTAGCAATGCACAGCTCCATTCAAACAGCTAAATATGAAGAAAATAGGATGTGTGCAGCCAACCAGGCATGGATGCTTAAAAATAAATGAAACACGGAGATACAAATGGAGGTAGCAATGTTAAAGACTATAGTTCTGTGGCTAGGAAAACAAGTACAAAGTTTGTAGTTGCAGCAGCAATTGCATTCTCATTTTAACTATACTTGTATTTGTTTAACCAATTTGGAATAAAACTAACGTGAATATCAATGAAACCTTGTAAAGTCCCATTTGCAGGGGGCTTTCACATCAAATGTTACTTTTGATATGAATGATTTACAAAGTAAAATCCTTAATTTGAATAAACATTCAAGTATTTCAGCCCTCTTTAAAAACTTGGGTGGTATTCCAGCAGGGTTTAGAGAGCCTTAAGCTTTGGATCTCCTCCAAACAGCACCTCAATGTCTTTTCTGTGATTATCAGAGTGATATTATTGTGTCTCCATTTTATGTCTATTGTCTGTAAAATCAGCTGGACCACCAAATAGCAATTGAGAGCTGCACAGTCTGCAATTACCTTTACTCAACTAATTCAAAAACAAAAAGGAGGAGACGTTGGAGGTCAAAAGAATGAGGGTTGTGACCAATTCAGTAATGACTGGAGAGTCTATGAGCAGACAGCAAACTCTTCTCATGAAAGCAGGATGTTGGCAAACTGATACACCACCTCTGGTGCCAGAAGGAATGCTGAGGGCAGTCATGCCCCAAGCACAGCTTTCCTTGTGGTTTTATATACAGGAACAACTGAAGCCTGTAGTATAAAGCAAGCAAGTACGTGAGATTGCGATAAATCGAGCAGCTGACCAATAATTACCTTTCCTCCCTATTGATTCTGCCTAGTCAATACGAAGTCCTGTAGAAGCTCAGGACCTTTGCTCCCTGGAAGGAATAAGCCCCCTGACTCTTCTTTTAAAACAGAACTTTTTTGTCTTTGTCTTCATTTCTGCATTCACTCCCCTTCATTTCATCCTATAGTAACTGACTGCCACATTGTCGCTATTAAAATCCAAAAAAAAAAAAAAAAAAAAAATAGATGGGCTTGTTGGAAGGCATATGTAATTCAATTACTCAGGAGGCTGAGACAGAAGAATCCCTTACACCCGGGAGACAGATGTTGCATTGGGCCAAAATCATGCCTTTCCACCCCAGCCTGGGTGACAGAGTGAGGCTCCATCTCAAAAAAAGCAAAAAACAAAAAAGTAAAAAAGGAACAAAACAAAACAAAAAATATGATTCAATTAGAAGAACCAAAAAATAAGATGCGGGCTGAGAAAAGTCTAGGAAACATATCTGAAAAGTGACTTTCATGCGAAATATACAAAGAAATAAGTTGACCCAATTAATAGGTAAAGACCTGAATAGATACCTCACCAAACAAGATATGGAGATGGAAAACAGGCAAACGAAATACTGATCGCTAAGCCCCTGTTTCATCTGCTGAAGGCTGAAGCTCCAAGCCATTTTCTGAGGAACAACAGTGGCTGCCAGAGTGGCAGTGGCTCCAAAGACTATTCCAACCTACCCCAGCTCTACCCTTCCTCCAGGGTGCAAGCGTTCCCCAGACATTAGGCATGATCTCCAGGAAACAGCCAGAAGCTGGCTGTTTTCTTTCTCAGGTTTTCTTAATTTTATCTATGCCAACAAGTATCCTTTGGTTGGAAGTTTTATTTTTATTGTAACAATCTTGAGGCCTTGGCAAGTATTAGAAAAGACAGTTTTCAACCTACACTTGTCCCATAAAGAGATAAAATAATGGGCTTGGCCAGAGATGGTGGCTTGCACCTGTAATCTGAGCACTTTAGGAGGCTAAGCCAAGTGGATGTCCTTAGGTCAGGTATTTGAGATCATCCTGATCGACATGATGAAACAAGCTCTCTACTAAAAATATAAAAAATTAGCCAGGAGTGGTGGTGGACTCCTGTAATCCCTGATCTCCAGGAGGCTGAGACAGGAGAATTGCATGAACCCGGAAAGCTGACATTACCAGAGCCTAGATCACGCCATTGCACTCCAGCCATGGGAACAGAGTGAGACTCCATCTCAAACAAACAAACAAACAAAAACAAACAAACAAAACTATTCAATTGCTTTATTAGGCAGTTATTTTAGAATGATTGGTAGAATTCATTATTATTTTAGTATGCTGAAGATAGAAAACACAGTGACAGCAATAAGTAAAAACCAAATAACAAGTCATTATAAATTCCTGGAATTAATTTCATCTATCATTCTTTCTGGCTTTTGTTATTTAAAATGTGTACTGCTGAAATTATCAGATGTTTTATTTGTGACGTCTAAATGCAAAAAGAGACAAAAGTTAGTAAACCATTATTAAATGAATCTCAGTCTTCAAATTTCATTCTGATACAGTGGAATGTTTTGTGAAAGATGAAAAACTAACAGACCAAACACATGTGATTTCAAATTTTGGCTTACTTTTGTAGAAGCAGATTTAAGAACCAAAACCTTCATAGTTCTAATCTTTGTCAATGATTCAACACTGCAAGATAGGTACTGAAGTTGAAATCAGAGCTTTTTGTCAATTCCAACAGAAACTAGCTTGTGCTCTAGAAATTCCTGTTGCTCCCCTGACATCTGTAAAGAAATAATTTGATTGAAAGAGATCTCAACAAAGTGAAGCATCACACTAATACACCACGTTGTCTTAGTAGCTGCAGTTCACTATTTTATTGTAGTAACCATAAAATTAGAAAAAATAGCAGGATAAATGACTATGTGGACCAGCATAATGTTCTGAGTTTTTACCAAGTAGAGCTTATAATGTGTTTTTAAAAATTGATTTTCTGTGGCACAATACATGCATGTTTTTTGGCAGCAATCATAGATTAATGAACAAGCAATAACAGCAAAATAATGCTTAACAACAATTGTCATCTGGGGAAGGCAAATTAACATAAGAATGAGAGCACTAAACAGCTATACTATGTCTAAATATCTTTTTAAATATAATCAAAACTGCAACAGAAAATCTCATTCATTGCTGATGGAATGCATAATTGTACAACAACCTTAAAATATGGCTGTTTTCTTCTGCCACAGTTTGGCAGTTTTTTCCAAAGGAAAACATGATCTCATCATATAGGCTAACAATTGCACACTTAGGTATTTAGACAACAGATTTGGAAACTCGCATCTAACCAAAAACCACATGCATTTATGTATAACTGCTCTCTTGACAATGGCCAAATACTTTAAGGAAACAGGATACCCTTCAATATTAACCAAGCCAGATAAATTCATAAAATGTGATACTATTCATTAAAAGAAAAAGAGTGATTTATGAAGTCATGCAAAGCCATGGAAGCATCAGGTATACATAAAGCTAAGTGATAAAAGCCACTCTGAGGAGATGACATATTGTGTGATTTCATTTCTGTTGCATTACAGAGAAGAAATGTCTACAGAAACGGTAAATAGATTTGTAATTTACAGTGGTTTGTAGCAGGCAGGTAGTGAGTTGAATAGGAGAATGCAATGATGGAAAGAAACACAAATGGGCTGGGTGAGAAGGGACTCATTCTGCTTGATGAGATCATGCTGGTCGTGCGGAAGAGCTAGGAATGTGTATAACAGCATGAATAACTAAATAGGCTTCTACTCATGATAAGAGAGGAGTGTCTTCTTTCATCACACATGTAACTATTTTAGGACAACTTCTGAGGAAGCTTTTGTTGAATGTGATAAAACATACATAAACAAATTTACCATTTCAAACATCTTTGAATGTATAGTTCAGTAGCATTAACTATGCTCACACTGTGCAACCGTTACCACAATTTCTCATTCTCACTGGCAATGTATAAGGGTTCCAATTTCTCCACATACTCTCAAACTTTTCCTTAACAAAAATAGATATTCCAATGGGGATAAAGTGGTAATCCCATGGTGGTTTAGGTGTTTATTGGCTGTGGATTTGTAAATGATTTCTTGGCTTTATCACTGAATGAACATAAAACAAAAGAAAAGATAGATCAATCGAATTTCATCAAAACTAAACACTTTGGTGCATCAAAGGACACTGTCTAGTTAAAAGGAAACCAACAGCATGGGACAAAATATTTGCAAGTCTTATGTATGTTATATATTCCAGTCACCCACTTGGATCTCTTCCAACTGCACTTTCCATTTTTTCTTACGCTAAAACTTTTTAAATAAACATCCACGTTTGCTGTGAAACTTTTCTCAGTCTCTTTTGCTACTTTATTCCCCTCAGCCAAATTCTTTCTTCTGAGGAGGCAAGAGTTGATGTTACTGCAGACCATGATAGATTTGACAGCAGTAACAGATACTTTCACTGGTAACAGGTCGAGGAGCTGGTGGATAGTGTGGCTGGAGTACATGCCTAGTATGTGGTGGGCCTGGCCCCAGGCAGTTCTGGACTGTGGAGGGACCAGAACCCCATTCTGAGAGCACTCTGTGGAATGCTGAGGAAGAAGTTTTGTCTTTTTAGTGAGGTGAAGTTCCTTCACATAATATAAAATTAACTGTTTCTTAATGAATTCTTTAGTGATCCTTAGGACATGCACATTTGTATGCAACAACCACCTCTAAGTTCCAAACTGTTTTCATCATCCAGAAAAGAAAAAACCCTACCTATTAAGGAGCTACTACCCAATCTGTCCTCTTTCTGACACCTAGCAACCAGTAATCTGCTTTTTGTCTCTATGGATTTACCTATTCTAAATTTTATATAAATAAAATCATACAGTATGTGAATTTTGTCTTCAACTTCTTAAATCAAAATGGTTTTGAAATTTCTCCACATTGTAGCATTAGTGTTGTAATCCTTTTTACAGCTGAACATTATGCCATTGTATGGATATACTACATTTTGCTTCTTACTTTTTGTTGGTGAATATTTATTTGGTTTCTTTCCACATTTTAGTTATTGTGAATGCTGCTATGAACATATGTATACAGCTTTTGTTTGAATACCTGTTTTACATTTTGTGTGTATAGCTTGGAGTGGATTTTCTGCGTTCTTTGGTAATTTTATATTTAGCACTTGCAGAACCACCAAACTACTTCCCACAGCAGTGGAAGCATTTTACTTTCAAATTTTCCCACTTCCTTTCAACAACTGTTAGCTTTTGTTTGTTTGTTTGTTTTTTGGAATTATAATGGATGTGAAGTGATATCTTACTGTGGTTTTGACTTGCATTTCCATGAGGTTAAAAGGGGCAGGAGGCATAAGAGTTGGCGGAGCAAGAGGAAGGGTCAGGACAGCCAAGTGGAGAGGGTAGGCAAGTGCCAGGGACCACAGTGGTTGTGGCAGCCTCTGCCCAGTCTCAACTACAGCAGTGAATAGAAAAGTGAGCCCATGTTTGTAGAGTGGATTTTTTCACAATCTAGCTGTTTCAACAAGGAGAGCATGTGATTCGGGGGACTTCTCTCCCTCTTCTCATGCATCCCCTATATTCAGTCCTCACTGGGCACCTGCCTGGAGCCAACCTGGTCTCAGCTCCCAGACAAAGGAGAGCTTCATGCCCTGGGAACCTGATCCCTGTGGCCCCTAATGGACACAGGCCTGGAGGGAGGAGCACAGCTCATATGTGCTACAACAAGGACTGTAAAGTATGGAAGTGGCCACAACATTTAGCCCAGTCATACCAGGCCACATGAACCAGGCTCACCAGTCACGGGCCTCAGCCTCCCTCTTGAGACAGGAACTGCCACAACCATCAATCTCAACAGCCTTTCCAGGATTTAATAGGCCAAACACCTTGGAATTCTGCTGATTTTAAATTCTGCTGTCATTCCACATCTCACGCAACTGTAGCGCTAGAGACTGGAGTCAGAATCTGCAGGTTGCTTTCTCCTGCTGGTGCAGGAGAATGTGCCAAGTCAGTCTCCACTTATGGCTGGTACACAGAGCTCCACTTGTGGCTGCTTGGCCACCAGCATTTAATTATTTCCACTGTTACCTCTAAGGTTTACCAAACTGTATCTGTGGTGTAAGCTGTCACTACCTTCCCTTCCTTTGGGCCTTCCAGAGACTACCTCAAAACACCTATCACACTCAAAAACAAACTACTGTGGATTTGGTCAACTCTGGGTTGACATTTAGAAAAGCTGTGGCCTCAGAAAGCAGCTTCCTTTCTGCTCCAAATCTACTAGGCTCTACAAGGAGCATTAAGATGGCCCTGCGCTCAGACACAGAAAAGTTCTGGGTGCAAGTCTTAGTCCTCCCTTCTGCAAACCAGATTGATGACCTAATACAGTACCCAGCTGCCCAGTGCCTCCCTAAACCTAAACTTAATCATAACATTAACCTTAACCCTGCTTCTACCCCTAATCCTAATCCAGGATCCCTAACACTAACAGCAACCTCAAGCCTCAAACTTGACCCCAACATCAACCCTATGCCTAACCACTCACCAAAACCGAAGCCCCAAAACAAATCCCAACTCTAAATCCTAACTCTAACAGCTAAACCTGAATTTGACCCTGACCCTGATAATAACCCTAACCCAAGGGTAATCCAAACATTACATAAACATGAACTTAAACCCTAAGACTAAAACCCTAACCCTAAAGCCCTAACCCTAAGACAAAAACACTAATCCTAAACAAAAAACCCTATCTCTATCCATTAAAAGCTAATGTTAACCCTAAAATATTACCCCTAACACTAACCACAACACCTAACACCTAGTCCTAAATTCTAGCTCCTAAACCTGCTTTCTGAACAGGAACATAACACTCATATTAAGTCTAATACTAAACCCTAAGTCCAATCCTAGAACTCTTATTACAACCCTAACCCTACACCTACCCAAAACCTAAACCTAGCTGTTACATAAAACCCAAACCCTAATCCTAACATTAATCTTTAGCCCAACCCTAACCCTACACCTAACCATAACCCCTAACCCTAAGCCTAAATAGTAACATTAACTCTAACCCTAATGTGTTACCCAATTTGTACCCTGATGCAAACCCTAACCCTAATTCTAACCAATAATCATAACCCTAACTGTAATCATAATTCTAAACATAACCTTAACCCCTTAATCTAAATTTAAACACTAACGATAACTATAACCCTAAAGCATAACCTACTCCTACCCTAATGTTAACAGTAACATTAAACAATAATTCTAAACATAATCCTAATTCTAACACCATCTCCTTTCTATAACACCAACAGAACCATATCAACAAGCCCAATGAAAACACGAACAGTAACACTAAACACCAACCCTAACACTAACCCCTGACACAAATTCTATATCCTAAAGCTAACCCTAACCCTAAATTTTAACCCATATCCTCTAGCCCTAACCCTAAAACTTACTCTATCTGGTAACCTAAAGGTAATCCTTACCCTAAATACTAACCCTAACTTAACTCTAAAACTAACCTTGAAACCTTAACCCAAAGCCAATCTCTTATTTTTATAAGTAATCTTAATGCTAACAATGAAACACTGAAGAAGTGAACCTAACCATAAGCTCAACACATAACCCTAACAATAACACCAATCCTAACTGTAAAATCGTAAATCCTGAACTTTAACACTAAAAGTAACCTAACTCTAAACCCATCCCTAAAAATAAGCCTAAACCATGTCTCTAAAACTAAAACCTAACCATAATCCTAATCATTTCATAAATTGTAATCATAACCCATAATCCTAACCATTAACCAAAACCCTAACCCTAAATGCTAAACTAAACCTTAGTCGCTAACTGTAACACTAACACAAACGCTAATCCCTAACACTAATCCTAAACCCTAACACTAACAGAAAACTCAATCCCTAATACCTACCCCAAATCCTAACCCTAACTTCAACACTAACACCAACACCAAATGTATGCCCAACCCTTACCACTATTCCTAAAGCTTTTACCGTTAACCCTACACCTTCATGAACACAACCCCAAATATAAACATAAACCTTACCTTACTCTAAACAGAGATTCCTAAGCCCAAATCCTAACCCTAACTGTAAAACTCACCCTAAAAAATACTCTAAACATTAGCCAAACCATAAACCCTAACTCTAACACTAACACCCAATCCCAAGCCCTACTCTAACCCTAACACTAACCCTAATCCTAATCTTTAGCCAAATGCTTTAGCCAAACACTTTAAAGATCATCCTAACCCTAACTAAACCACAACCAGGTACCCAACGTTAAACTGTAAACCAGCACTAAACCCTAACCCTAAAATTTAACACTAAACCAAACACTTTAATCATAACACTAACACTAAACATAACGCTCACCCTACTTTTAACCCTCATTCTGAATCCTAAACCTAACCTTAATCCAAACCGTAATGCGAACCCTTACACTACCACCTAAACCTAACCCTAATTCTAACTATAAAATCTGAAATCCCAAAAACACTTAAGATAACTTTAAATGCATCCCATAACTCTGAAACTCAGACTAAACACTAACCCCAATACCCTTATCCTAACAGTAAAACGAACATAATTCTAACATAATCTTAACCTTGGCACTAAACCCAAAAATAACTCTTACCCTAAACACTGAACCTAATCATAACCTTAACCATAGATCATAAACCCTAACCATTAACACTAACCCTAGCCCTAAAACAAAACCTGTAACCATAATTAAACCTAAACCCTAAACCTAAACCTAATCTTAGCCCCTAACTCTAGAAAAACCATAATACCAACACTAACCATAAATGCTCACCCCTAACCCTAACAATAAACAAAACGCTGACACTAAACTCTAACCCTAGTCCTAAACTGTAAACCCAAACCTAAGTGTAAACCTAATCATGACCACTAACCTCAACCTCAAAACAGACCCAGCACTCTCATGCTGAACCTAAATACAAAGTCCTAATCGTATGTCCAACACTAACACTAACATCTAGCCAAAAATGATGAACATTAACCTTAACAATAACCCTGAACCCTAACCCTGAACCCTGAACCCTAACTCTGAATATGACCATAAGCCCCATCCTAATGCTAAATATTAACCCAAACACTGAAACCTAACACTAACACTCTAACCCTTACCCTCACACTAACCCTTAACACCAACCCTAACCCTGGCCATGATCCTAATTCCTAACCTCTAACTGTAAGCCTGGCTTTTTATGCTAAACCTAAGCATAACCCAACCCCAAACCTAACCTCTAACCCTGATTATGAACCTTAACCCTGAAGTCAACCCTAACCCTAGCCCATAACCCTAATCTTAACTCTAACTGCAACCGTAATCCTACCACAGCACTAAATCTTATCTCAAGTCCAGCGTTAACCCTCAGTCTAATACTGAAGTTGTTCTGCAATTGTAAACCATATCCTAATCCTCCGTTTCTATCCTATCCTTAAGGTTACCCCATTATGCTTAAAAAACTTTAAATACATCCTCTATGACTCTAACCTCTAACCCCTTATACCCATAAGAATACAAGCAGTCATACCTCTTTCTAAGCCCAAGTGAGTATTGAATTAAACATATGATATCACTAGCATAAAAAACTAAATATTACTGAATCTGATAATTATAGACATCATAAAGTTTAACCAAATAATAGTACATGGAATTTTTTACACAGCGAAGACATTATAGACCACAATATTTAAGAAATTTTCTCAGAAAATCAAAGAATTTTTACCATTCCAATGCCATCCCTTTTCAATATATTATGTAAATCAAATGATGGAACCATGTTTGTCTCGACTTTTACAGAAAGTAAAGACAGCATATTTAACAATTAAAAATCCAATAAACTGTGGTTCAAATTTTTTTCACGTGCTAAAACGTCTTTATGCAAAACCCATAACAATCATCTAAATTGTTGAGAACCAAGGCTTTAAGATGAGGAACACTGCACTGATGCTTAACTATATTAAACCCCTTACTAGAAGTCCCAGTAGGTCAACTATATAGATATACTTATATATGTATATTTACACACACACAACCATTCATATGCAAAAGAGAAAAGTAAAACTACTCACAGATCTCATACACAGAAAACCATGAGGAACCATCTAGAAATTATGAAATCTAGTAAACAAATTAAGCAAAATAACAGGAGAAAATTTCAACAAATGAAATCTTTTTTTTTTCCTTTTTATGGCGTTATGCTGTTGTTGCCCAGGGTGGAATGCAATGGCATGATCTTGGCTCACCACAACCTCCATTTCCTGGGTTTGAGTGGCTATCCTGCCTCAGCCTCCTGAGTAGCTGCAATTCAGACATGCCGCACCATGCATGGCTAATTTTGTATTTCTAGTAGAGACTGGATTTCTCCATGTTGGTCAGACTGGTCTCAAAGTCCTGACCTCAGGTGGTGTGCCCGCCTTGGCCTCCTAAAGTGCTGAGATTACAGGTGTGACCCACTGCACCCGGCCACAAAATCTATTTCTATTCACTAGCAATAAACCATGTAAAAATGAAATTAAGACAACAATTTTATTTCTCAAAAAAACAAGAGGCTGGAATCTTTCCCCCTGCCCTGGAAGCCACAGATGCAGGCAGCTGGGGGAGGGACAGCCTTGGAGTTGAGGCTGTGCTGCTACATTGGGACCTGGCTGCAGTGGCTATGGGGCTAACAAGAAACTCTTCAAGTTTCTGAGAAATCAAAGTAGAATTACTTTAAAACGTAATGGATGAAGAAGAGAAAACTTCCAGTGCTTTTGAAAGCCCTAACCCCATGATGTCATATAAATATCTTTTGAGTCATAATTTTTTTATAAAAGAACATGAACAGACATCAGCAATAATGAAACCCTTGTTGAGTGGCCCAGGTCAATTTGCTGAGAAGAAAACCATTGAGGTCAGTTTGAGAGACATCCCTTCATAAGTACTGTCAAGAGCATGCACATATTTTACCTACACATTTTACTACACCTACAGCTCCACAGGGATTTTTAAATTCCCATTTCATCTGAAACTGCACTAGAATTTCTGACAGCTGTAAACTTTCTAGATTGTATGTAAATACAATTGATGTTTTATAAATACAATATATTGATATAATAAAATACATTTTAATCAACTGGAAACTCTTTTCAGTGTTTAAGACCAGCAGTTGAGTTTGTACTTTTTCACAGGTAGTACATTCACTGTATGAAATGTAACTATAAAATTAATTGCTAAGAAGGTTGTCTTCTGTTTTTTTCATAACAGAGTTGAAATTTGTTTGCAATGTCAACAAATTGAGGACATTTTCACAAATGCAGAAATAAACAAATATGGCAATTCATAGGTGGTTTTGCTTTATCCTATGGATACAATTTTTAAAATGAAAAACGATCTAGAAAATGCTGAAAACTAGAAATAATAAACATGTACTACAATTAAACAATTTTGCCAAGTGTTTTTATGTATTTAGTTGCTTGTTAATAAAACTATTTTTATGTTGTGGCTGCCCATAGCATTGATGGAGTTATACAAAAAATTGCATTATAGTTATTTTCATACCTTAGCCGAAACATTGATTTACTTTTAATGACCCTAATGCAAAAAGTGTTTTATTAATGCCTATAATCTCAGCACATTGGGAAGTCAAGCAGGCACATCACTTCAGCACAGAGGTTTGAGATGAACCCAGGCAACATGGCAAACCATCATCTCTGCACTCACACACCAATAAAATTGTCCAGGTATTGTGGCTGAGGCAAAGGTAGAAAGATAAAAGGAGCTCAGGATTGAGAGGCTGCAGACTTCAGTTAGCCATGATGGCACCATTGCAGTCCACCCTCGAGAAAAAGTGAGACCCTGTGAAAGAAAGAAAGAAAGAAAGAGAGAGAGAGAGAGAGAGGGAGAGAGAGAGAGAGAGAGAGAGAGAGAGAGAGAGAAAGAAAGGGAGAAAGAGAGAAGAAAGAAAGAAAAAAGAATATGAGTTGAAAATTTTTAAGTGCTTTTATAAACTTCAATGTTGTATAAATATGTCTTGTCTTGTCATTTTTGTATTGTTACAATTTAAGAAGTTTATTTAAAGACAATTTTGGAATGTTACCAAGTCCAAATTTTAATAAGTAATTGAACTTTACCCAGATCGTCAACAAGTCAATTATACAACTTAGAGTTCTTGTGCGTTATGTCTTCTGGGCAATTCAAAGTACTGTGTTTTCGTTGATTATGAAGCAATTCATCCTTTTCAACTTTCAAAACAGAAAGCAAAAAAACAACAGGCTGAGTGTGGTGGCTTATACCTCTAATTCCAGTATTTTGGGAGGCCAAGGTGGGAGAATTGTCAAGTCAAGGTATTTGAAGCTGCAGTGAGCTATGATTGCACAAGCATATTCCCACCTGGGCAAAAGAATAAGGCCCTATCGCAAAAAGCAACAACAAAAAATCGATGACTATAATGTGTTCAAGACTATATTTAACCAAGGTGCAAGAATTAGACATGAAAAATTATGAAATACTGCTGAAATAAATTCCAGAAACATTAAATAAATATAAAGACACTCAATGTTTCTGGACTAGAAGATGATTTTTATGTGACAATACTGCACAAAGCAATCTACAAATTCATTATAATTCCTATGAAAATACCAAAGTCCTTTTGGTAGAAATGAGCAAGCCAGTTCTAACACTCACATAAACTTCAAGGAATCCTGAATAGCCAAAATATTCTTAAGAACAGAAAGCAACTTGGAGGCTCGTATTTCTCAATTTCAAATATTACGGCTAAGCAGCAGTCATCATAACAGCATAATACTGGCATAAGGACATACTCAGAGTTCAATGGAACTGAATGTTAAATCCAACAATACCTCTATGGTCAATGGATTTTTGACATGTAGGCAAGATCAGTAAATACAACAAATGCTGTTATTCAACTGACTACCACACTCAGACAAAGAAACTGTACTCTTTTCTCACAACAGAAAATTAACTCATAATGGTTCAAAGCCTACATAGTAGAGGGAAAAACATAAACTCTAGAAGAAAACATAAGAATAAATCTTCATAACCTTGGATTTAGCAGTGGTTTCTTAGATCTGATATCAAAAGTGCAGAAAACTAAAGAAAACATTTTCTCAAAATTAAACATTTTTGTGCATCAAAAGTCACTATCAAGAAAATGAAAAGACGTGTTACAGAAAGGAAGGTTTCCATGTTACGTATGTAAAAACAGTCTGTTATCCACAATATATGAAGAACTTGCATAACTCAGCAACAACAACAATAAAAAAAATCCAGTTACAAAATGGAGAAATACAATTCACCAGAAAGACATGTATATCAAGCACATAAAAATATGAACAGTAAAATATATAAGTTTTATTCCATGAAGTGTTTCATACTTTCGCTTTTCTCATAGTCATGAGGTTCTTTGTGGTAAAATTAGTCCTGTCCAGGTCCACCTGAAGAACAGCTAAGGTAACAATACTGCTGGGGAGCATTTTTTCCTTAGAAGAGAAAATAAAATATCTGGCAGGAAATAATGTTTTGAAATTAAAACTTTCATGCTGGACTAAAGTTTCCAATAAAGGTGACAGTTTGTCCCTCAGCCTTCATGGGCCCAAAATTTATCATGCAGCAGGAAGTAAGAAGGGAAGTTATTAAGTTAACGGGGTACATGGATACACAAATGCCCCATTTCCATACCAAAACTGTGACATAATTACATACCCTCACAGTATTTCAATATTTAAATATTAATAATTCATCTATGTAAATAACTAAGCTTACTTTATTTACTTCACACTGTACAGTTAAGGAGGTTTACAAATATTTATATAAATTGTCATGATGTGTGCTAGGACTTTTTTTTCTGTTAAATGTACTGACAGACTACATAAAATGTAAGTATTTAAACCTAACATAACTTGGAGCTAATAACACACAGTTAAGGAAGATAACACGGTAATAGTCTGTCCAATAAATTCTAATGTAATTTCAATATTTACTTGTGTTATTTGTCTTCAGCACTAAGATTTTTTCTTTACTAATTATCCCAAACATGGACTTTCATTTCATTAACTATTATTTCCTTGATTTATAAGTTGAGAGTGATCTCATCCATTAACAAATAATGAACTTCTTTTTATCTTTAGAAACAGTGCATTATTAGCTTTTCTACAGTTAGATATCAGAACCTCTGACTTTAAAGTCTTAGCTGGACAAAGCCTTGGACAATTAGATAATGGTGGGCACTGGGTGAATAGATTGAGAGATTGCACATAAAATTCCTGAGACACCCAAAATCCTGTGTTCCCACAGTTGAAAGCAGACGAGACTCCAGGCAGTTGAGCAGGCTGAATGGGTAAGAGAAACAGTTAGGAGAACTTGGGGTCTGCAGCCATGGTGCATTCTATGGTTCTTCTTCTAAGGTCAGTGGGAAACCATGGGCAAAATTAAATCAGGAGGGTGACAGGATGAAATTTGTAATTGTAAATGAATATTTTGTCATTACCATTACCATTACTAACCCTGTATTTCCTGATTTAATAGTTATGTGATGGTATCCTTGGAGAGTGTCCTCACTTTTCATAAAACCCCTGGGATATTTTGCATAAAGGTTCAAATCTGGCACAGCAGAAACCACTGGAGATTCTGAGAGAAAAGATTATACTAACAGCTATTGGAAGTTTCCTAGAAGTATAAAATTATTGAGAAGTAAACTACTTTTAATAAAAACAACCATGTCCATACCTTGTCACTACTGCAGAGACAACAACATTAAACTTCATTATAGAGGCCAAATCCTCCCCAAATCCAGCTTAGTGGAAGCCGTGAAACCAAGTGCCCCCATAAGAGTAGGAATGTTATGTCAGTATTACTGGTGTTACATCTTTATGATGAGTGTTATATCAGTAACTGTGGGTGTTACATCAGTATTCTGGTTGTTCTATTTGTATTACAAATGTTGTATTATTATTATGGGTGTTAATATTACAGGTGTCACTTCAGTGTTTCAGGTATATTTGTACCTCAGTATGATATATTGGAATTCTGAATGGTGTATTGGTATTATTAGTGTTACAGTTGTATTACAGGTGTCAGGACAGCATTACAAGCGTTATATAAGCATTATGGATGTTTCATTTGTACTGTGGATTGCATATTGGTGTTATGAGAGTTACAATTGTATTATGGGTCTTAGATCAGTATTACAGATGTTATATTTGTATTTCGGATGCTATACTGGTATTATGAGTGTTTTATTGCTGTTATGAATGTCACAGTGTCATTATGGGTGTTGTTAATATTATAGGTGTCACTTCAGTATTTCAGTTGTTATATTTGTACCGCAGGATGATATATTGGAATTCTGAATGGTGTA
Source organism: Homo sapiens (assembly GCF_000001405.40). Classification (NCBI taxonomy): domain Eukaryota; kingdom Metazoa; phylum Chordata; class Mammalia; order Primates; family Hominidae; genus Homo; species Homo sapiens. The sequence continues at coordinate 18,445,432 of NC_000024.10, forward strand.
TTGGTATTATTAGTGTTACAGTTGTATTACAGGTGTCAGGAAAGCATTACAAGGGTTATATAAGTGTTATGGATGTTTCATTTGTATTGTGGATTGCATATTGGTGTTATGAGAGTTACAATTGTATTATGGCTCTTAGATCAGTATTAGGGATGTCATATTTGTATTTCGGATGCTATACTGGTATTATGAGTGTTTTATTGCTGTTATGAATGTTACAGTGTTATCACGGGTGTTAGATCAGTATTTCAGGTGTTACATTAGTATTACAAATGTCACATCTGTATTATGGGTGATATAATTATTTACAGATGTTATATTTCTATTACAGATGTTATATGACAGATGATACATTTGTGTCAGGAGGCCACTGTATGGACCTGGCATTGTGGCCACACCTTGGGTGTGGGGAAGGACGTTGGGTTGCATTAAAGCCATTTGATTTTTATTGTTTAATTTTCCACACGAAGCCCTTCCACTGGTCCCTGATTTCAGCAGTCAGCCTCCAGCTGTCCCTCAGCAAGGCGGTGTTGCTCTGGTCTGTACTGAGGAGAAGGCAGCTGTAGCCCTCGGGCAACACGAGCTGAACCCGATGGTGCTCCCAGGGTCAGAAAAGGCGGACTCATGCTCCCCCTGCTGGCAGCCAGAAGAACTGCAAGACCCCCATGGTCAAGGTGAGGCAGCCGTGCGCCCCCTTCTGGCTGAACTGCGGCACCAAATAAAAGCAGAGTTCAGATTGTTCAGTGCCATCATTTTGGAAATTCAAACGGAAATGTTGCCTATTATCCTGTTTCGTAAATTATTATTTATTTTAGGTTCAGGGGTACATGTGAAACTTTGTTATGTAGGTAAACTCGTGTCATGGGGCATTGTTGTACAGATTATTTCATCACCCAGGTATTAAGTCTAGTAATTAATAGCTATTTTTCCTGCTGCTCTCTCTTTTCCCACCTTCCACCCTCAAGTAGGTCTCATGTCTATGGTTCCCTTCTTTGTGTTCATGAGTTGTCATCAGTTAGCTCCCACTTCTAGTGAAAACATGTGGTATTTGGTTTACTTTTCCTACATTAGTTTGCTAAAGATAATATCCTCCAGCTCCATCCATGTTCCCTCAAAAGGCATAATTGTATTTTTTTTAATCTCTGCATAGTATTCCCTGTGGGCATGTACCACATTTTCTTTAATTCAATCTGTCATTAATGGGTAGTTAGGTTAATTCCATGTCTTCTGTTGTGAATAGTCCGCAGTGAACATTTGCATTCGTGTGTCTGTGTGGTAGAGTGATTTATATTCCTCTGGGTATGTATCCAGTAATGGGATGGCTGGGTTGAACAGTAGTTCTGCTTTCCAGTCTTTGAGGAATTGCCCTACTGCTTTGCACAACAGTTGAACTAATTTACATTCCTACCAACAGTGCATAATTATTCCTTGGTCTCTATAACCTCACCTGCATATATTATTATTTTACTTTATGATAATAACCATTCTGACAGATAGGAGATGATATCTCATTGCTCTTTTGATTCGTGTTTCTTTAATAATCAATAATATTGAGCTTTTTAAAATAAGTTTTTTGGCTGCCTGTATGTCTTTTGAAAAGCGTCTGTTCACACTTCTCAAAAGAAGACATTTATGCAGCCAACAGACATATGAAAAAATGCTCATCATCACTGGTCATTAGAGAAAAGCGCCCATCAACCCATCATCTACATTAGATATTTTTCCTAATGTTATCTCTACACTATCCCACCACCCACCACCATGTTATGTTTTCCTCTCTGTGTCCATGGGTTCCCATTGTTCAACTCTCATGTAAAAATGAGAACCTGTGGTGTTTGGTTTTCTATTTTTCTGATAGTTTGCTGAGAATGATGGTTTCCAGCTTCATTCATGTCGCTGCAAAAGACATGAACTCATCCATTTTTGTGGCTGCATACTGTTCCATGGTGTATATGTGCCAGCTTTTCTTTATCCAGTCTATCATTGATGCACATTTGGGTTGGTTCTAAGTCTTCACTACTGTGAATAGTGCTGTGATAAACATACATATGCATGTGTCTTTATAGTAGAATGATTTATAGTCCTTCGGTTATATGCCCAGTAATCAGATTGCTGGGTCAAATGGTAATTCTAGTTCTAGATCCTTGAAGAATCACCACACTGTCTTCCACAAGGGTTAAATAATTAACACGCCCACCAACACTGTAAAAGCCTTCGTATTTCTCCACATCCTCTCCAGCATCTGCTGTTTTCTGACTTTTTAATGATCGCCATTCTAACTGGAGTGAGATGGTATCTCACTGTGGTTTTGATTTGTATTTCTCAAATAATGAGTGATGATAAGCATTTTTTCATATGTTTGTTGGCTGCATCAAAGTCTTCTTTTGAGAAGTGTCTGTTCATATCCTTTGCCCACTGTTTGATGAGGTTGTTTGGTTTCTTCTTGTAAACTTGTTTAAGTTCCCTGTAGATTCAGGATGTTAGTCTTGTTTCAGATAGATAGATTGCAAGATTTTTCACCCATTCTGTAGGTTGTCTGTTCACACTGAGGATAATTTATTTTGCTGTGCTGAAGCTCTTTAGTTTAATTAGATCCCATTTGTCAATTTTGGCTTTTATACCATTGCTTTTGGTGTTTTGGTTTTGCACATGCTTATGTCCTGAATGGTATTGCCTGCGTTTGCTTCTAGGAATTTTATGGTTTTAATTCTTACGTGTAAGTCGTTAATCCGCCTTCAGTTGACTTTTGCATAAGGTGAAAGGATGGGGTCCAGTTTCTGTTATCTGCATATGGCTAGCCAGTTTTCCCAATACCATTTATTAAAGGGAAAATCTTTTCCCCATTGCCTGCTTGTTTCAAGATTGTCAAATATCACATGGTAGTAGATGTCACATGGTAGTAGATGTGTGGTATTATTTCTGAGGCCACTGTTCTGTTCTATTGGTCTATATATCTGTTTCGGTACAAGTACCATGCTGTTTTGCTTACTGTGGCCTTGTAATGTAGTTTGAAGTCAGGTAGCGTGATGCCTCCAGATTCATTCTTTTTGCTTAAGATTGTCTTGTCTATGCAGGCTCTTTTTTGGTTTCATTTGAACTTCAAAGTAGCTTTCTTTTTCCAATTATGTGAAGAAAATTAATGATAGCTTGATGATGATAGCATTGAATCTATAAATTACTTTGGGCAGTATGGCCATTTTTCCAATATTGATTCTTCTATCCATGAGCATGGAAGCTTTTTATTTTTCATCTCTTTTTATCTCTCTTATTTCCTTCAGCTGTGGTTTGAAGTTCTCCTTGAATAGGTTCTTCACATCCCTTGTTAGTTGTATTCCGAGGTATTTTATTCTCTTAGTAGCAATTGTGAATGGGAGTTTACTCATGATTTGTCTTTCTGTTCTCTCTTATTGTGTGTAGGAAAGCTTGTGATTTTTGCACATTGATTTTGAATCCTGAGGCTTAGCTGAAGTTGCTTACCAGCTTAAGGAGATTTTATGCTGAGATGATGGGTTTTCTAAGTGTACAATCATGTCATCTGCAAACAGAGACAATTTGACTTCCTCGCTTGTGATTTGAATGTCCCTTATTTCTTTTTCTTCCCTGATTACCCTGGCCAGAAGCTTCAAATACTAGGTTGAATAAGAGTGGAGAGAGAGTGCATCCTTGTCTTGTACCAGTTTTCAAAGGGAATTCTTCCAGTTTTTGCCCATCAGTATATTGGCAGTGGGTTTGGCATAAGTAGCTCTTATTGTTTTGAGATATATTCTGTACATTTCTACTTTATTGAGAGTTTTTATCATAAAGCGGTGTTGAATTTTGATGAATGCCTTTTCTGCATCTATTGACATAATCATGTGGTTTTTGTCACTGGTTCTGTTTATTTGGTGCATTAGGTTTATTGATTTGCATATGTTGAACCATCTTTGCATTTCAGGGATAAAGCTGACATGATCGTGGTGGATAAGCTTTATGATGTGCTGCTGGATTGAGTTTGCCAGTATTTTATTGAGGATTTTCACATCAATGTTCATCAGGGATACTGGCCTGAAATTTTCTTTTTTTGGTGTGTCTCTGCCAGGTTTTATTATCAGGATGATGCTGGCCTCATAACATGATTTATGAAGGATTTCCTCTTTTTGCATTTTTTGTAATAATATCAGAAGGAAGGGTATGAGTGCCTCTTGTTATGTCTGATAAAATTTGGCTATGAATCTGTCTGGTCCTGAATTTTCTTTCTTGGTAGGCTATCAGTTACTGCCTCAATTTCAGAATTGTTAATAGACTATTCATGGATTTAACTTCTTCCTGGCTTAAACTTGGGAGGGTGTATGTGTCCAGGAATTTATCCATTTCTTTTAGATTTTCTAGTGTATTTGCATAGAGGTGTTCAGAGTATTATCTGATGATCAGCAATGATATTCCCTATGTCATTTTTTATTGCATCTATGTGATTTTTCTCTCTTTTCTTCTTTGTTAGTCTGGCTAGTGGTCTATCTATATTGTTGATCTTTTCAAAAAACCAGCTTACGGATTTATTGATTTTTGAAAGGTTTTTGTGTCTCTGTCTTCTTCAGTTCTGCTCTGATCATAGTTATTTTATGTCTTCTGCTAGGTTTTGTATTCGTTTGCTCTCACTAAACTAGTTCTTTTAATTTTGATGTTAGGGTGTCAATTTTAGATCTTTCCTGCTTTCTCTTTTGGGCATTTAGTGCTATCAGTTTTTCTCTAAACACCATTTTAAATGTGTCTCAGAGTTTGTGACACATTGTGTCTTCATTCTTATTGGTTTCAAAGAACATCTTTATTTCTACCTTATTTCAGTATTTACCCAGCAATGATTTACAGCCTGCTCCTAAATGTTCAGTTTCTATGTAGTTGTGCAGGTTTGTGTGAGTTTCTGAATCCTGGGTTCTCATTTCATTGCACTGTGGTCTGGGAGGCTCTTTGCTATAATTTCCATTCTTTTGCATTTGCTGAGGAGTGTTTTCCTTCCAATTATGTGGTCAGTTTTTGAATACATGTTATGTGGAACTCAGAAGAATGTATATTCTGTTGATTTGGGGGTGGATAGTTCTGTAGATGTCTATTAGGTTTACTTAGTCCACAGCTGAGTTCAAGTCCTGACTATCCTTGTTAATTTTCTGTCTCATTGATTGCTGGCTATTCTTTCTCTGAAGCTATATCCTCAAGGGGCATCTGTCAGATGCTAGCCAGTGCTCTCCAATACAAGGTGTCTGTCGGCCCCTGCCAGGAGGTGTCTCCCAGTCAGGATACACAGAGGTCAGGGATCCACTTGAGAAGGCACTCTGACCATTAGCAGAGCCAGTGCACTGTAATGGGAGGTGTGCTGCTCCTTCAGAGCCATCAGGCGGGGATGTTGAAGTTTGCTGAAGCTGCATCCATGGCTTCCTTTTCCCCCAGGTGCTCTGTCCCAGGGAGATGGGGGTTTTATTTGTAAGCCCCTGACTGGGGCTGCTATCATTTGTTTCGAAAATACCCTACCCGGAGAGAAGAAATCTGGCAGTCTGGCCACATCAGCCTTGCTGAGCTGCAGTTCAAACTTCTCTGAGGCTTTGTTTACACCATGAGGTAAAGCAGCCTACTCAAGCCTCAGCAACGGAAGATGCCCATCCCCCCACCAAGCTCCAGTGTCCCAGGTAGATCTCAGACTGCTGCTGTGCTGGCAGCGAGAATTTCAATCTGGTGAACCATAGTTGGATTGCCACCATCGGGGATGGCACCTGCTAAGCCAGATCACTTGGCTCCTTGGCCTCCGCACTCCTTTTCAGGGGAGTGAACAGTCCTGTCTCCTTAGCATTCCAGGCACCACTGGGGTAATAAAAACAACAACAACAACAACAACAAAACACTCCTACAATTAGTTCATTGTTTTTTCTAACAACCCCATTTTTGTGCTTGAAACCCACGGCCCTCATGGTGCAGTTACCAAACGCAATCTCCTGGTCTGCAGGTTTTCAAGACCATGGGAGAAGCACATTTTAGGCACAGGGTGCATGGTTCCTCAGGCTAACTCCCTCACAGCTTCTCCTGTGTAAATGAGAAAATTTCCCGACCCATTAGGCTTCCCGGGAGAGGTGATGACCTACCCTGCTTCAGCTCACACTCCATGGGCTGCAGCCACCATTCAACCAGTCCCTATCAGATGAACAGTGTACCTCAGGTGGAAATGCAGGAATCACTCACTTTCTTCATCAATCTCCCTGGGAGCTGCAGTCTGGAGCTCTTTTTCTTCAGACGTCTTGCCAGCAATTCCCCCTTTCCTGTTTTTTTCTTTTTTTTTTTTTAATGGTGAAGGAGCCATTAACTGGAAATGTAAAACTATGCAAATTCTAGAAGAAAGTACAGAAAGAAATTTATGTGACCTCAGGTTTGGTCATAAGTTTTAACAAATGACACCAAAGCTGATCAGTAATGGTAAAAATAATTAATAATATTAGTTTTCTTATATTAATAGTTTGTACTCTGAGTAAAATCTTATTCAGGAAATAGAAAGATAAGCAAAAGACTGAAAAGAAATATCTGCAAAATACAGATCTAAGCAAGAACTTGCACTGAAAATACACCGATCTTGAAACTCAAAATTAAGATATACTACCCAATTAACAATGAGTAAAGAGCTGAACACACCAATGAAAATACACCGACAGAAAGCAAACAAAAAGTTGCTCAAACTCATATATCTTTAAGGGACTGAAAATTACAACAATGAGATAGCATGGCCCATTTATATTTGTTGGAACGGCTAAACCATTTTTAAAACATGACAAATGATTTGCTGGAGGGAAAACAGGAATTCATTCATTGCTCATGGAATGCACAATGGTGGAGAAAAAAAGAACTCACATTCTCAAATTAATCTGAAAACCTCTTTCTCACCTCTACCATGCACAGAAGGAGCTATCTGGTCTACCTTTTGATGACAGACACGAGATTCAATGTAATCTGTGCATTCGCCAGCAGCAGTTGGGATCCAGGCAGAAATTAGATGGGCCCCACAATCAAAGTCATCTAAGAACTTTTTAATAAAGAGTGACTTATTCAAGGTACTCACAATAGATGGCAGAGTTCCCGGGGATAGTAGCAGGATGACACTCTTAGCACTCCTTGGGAGTGAGATTTAAAGGAGGGAGAAATTCTCAGCAATGGAGAGAGGCGGATGGTGCAGAGAACTTGAAAGATGTCATCACAGGAACTATGACGTCACTTGGCCTTGAGACACAGCAGCAAGTCCAGTGCCACTGTATGCGTAGGCTGGTGTCCCCACTGGCCAAACCCAATCAGCAGGTAGAGGGCAAAAAATGTCTTGATACCACCTAGAGGCAGGTTAGCAGAGTTTAATCCAGAAATTTTAATTTTATAAATCTTCCCAATTTAAGCCTCCCCTTACAAGGACAAAGCATAGTTTTATAATACTGACCTAGTATGAATCACTAAAACATGCAAGCCGTGCACAGTGGATTGCGCCTGTAATCTCAGCAACTCATGAGGTGAGGCTGGTGGATCATTTTGGTCAAAAGATTGAGACCAGCCTGGCCAATGTGGTGAAACCCTGTCTCTATTAAATATTCAAAAATTTGCCGGGTGTGGGTGGTGCATTCCTGCAGTCTGAGCTACTTGGGAGGCAAAGGCAGGAGAATTGCTTGAACCTAGGGGGTGGACATATGGTTTAGGAGATGCATGTTTTCATTTTATTCTCTTCCAATTTTTCTTCTTTTAGTAGTAAATAGTCATCCATCTCTTAAACATTTTCATTCAGCATATGTTTGTTTTGTTATTGCCAAAGACTGTGCTTTGACAGACATTAAGTCAACCTGAAACTTAAAAAGGAAATTTTACAATTGAATGATGACTTCATAGTGAGCAAAAATAAAAGCTTGCAGGCTCCTTTAGGCATAGTGTCACAATTTAACTAAGGTCAGTAAACAGATGTCTGAATCTCTGCAAAAAAAGGCCAAACTACAGTAACAGAAATTGTCTTCTGCCCTACAACTGGGGCAGAGGAAGTTTTATGGACCACATCCCATGAAGCAAGTCCTTCTAAGATTATCACCCCATTTTTCAGAAGCAGCTAAGAACCTAACAACAATCACTCATAATAGAAATATAGCTTTGTTTTAAATATGAAAAGTTAAGGTAAAAATGTGCAGGCATGGTGTGTCCCGCCTGTAACTCCAGCACTTTGGGAAGCCAAGATGAGAGGATTGCTTGAACTCAGAAGTTACAGACGACCATGTACAACATGGAAAACTCCATCTCTACTAAAAATACAGCAGGGCACTGTGGCTCAAACATGTAATCCCAGCACACTGTAAGACCATGAAGGGTAGATCACTTGAGGTCAAACATTTGAGAGCAGCCTAGCCAACATGGTGAAACCCCATCTCTACTAAAACAACAAATATTAGCCGGGCATGGCAGTGGGTGTCTGTAATACCAGCTACCCAGGAGGTTGAAGCAGGACAATCATTTGAACCCCAAGGCAGTGGTTGCAGTGAGCCCAGTTCACATCATTACACTCAAGCCTGGGTAACAGACTGAGACTCCATCTTAAAAAATATAAAAGAAAGAAAGTAAAAAAAGAAATACATAATTTGCTTGGTGTGGTGGGGCATGGCTATAATCCCAGCTTTTCGGGAGGTGGAGACACAAGAATTGATTGTATCTGGGAGGTAATGATTGTAGTGAGCCGAGATCACACTAGTGCAGTCTAGGCTGAATGACAGCATGAGACTCAGTCTCAAAAAACAAACAAACAAACAAAAATAACATTTTGTGTAGTGCTTTTCTTTTCTTAGTATACTATATCTCATATTTGCATATGAAGGCCTACAAAGTTCTCACGTAAGTTAAACTTGCAAAATAAACTTTAGATTTAAAATGTTTTAAGTGCCTAAAGTTCCAGCTTCATCTTCAGACAGCAAGCACAAGAATAAACAGAAAACTAAGGAAGCAATGGCGTGTGATAAATGCAATACATTTTGTTTTAATCTGTGAGATAACGCTGTAACGACAGAAATTTTTAGCTGCTGCTGATGGAAAGAGAGACAAGGCTGATGTAGTAACAGAGCAGTAATAATATTGGCCACCTGCTATGAATTAGGCATATAAGTTAGCTCACTGAATTCCCTCTACAACCCTGTAGTGTGGAAAATATCCTACAGTTTACAGCTGAGGAATACGCAAAGGACCGCCCAAAGGCACACAAGAAATTAGACACACAGATAAGATGCAAGAAGCACTCTAAGAATCAAAGCACTATCTACATTTTCCTATATGGCGTTGACTGAAGTTAAGAACTATTGAATTAACTTTAGTCATCCCCTTCTTCGCCATAGAAATGGCAGTTTAAACATCAAGAGGAAGACTTTGGATAAATTACGTATAACTAAAATTTTATATATTGCTTAAAATCTATTTCAAAAAATATGCTGAACAATGACGTCAAGTTCTTACATAAAATTTACTGATTCATTGAGTTCCTCCTTTTTGAATTAGTAACTGTGTTCTCCTCTTGCAAGTAAACAGGTTTTCCTGAAAGAAGGAGCCCTTTAAACACCATAATGTTTTCCTGGTAAATACAAAAGCTATTTAATATTTATGGCCAGTATGTCAGACCTAATGACCATTATTTTGTAATAGAAATAGCCTGTGTAGGGGACAAAACTTTCACAGGCAAGTAAGAAATAAGCCCTGTTAGCTAACAGGTGATGTGAAGCTATAACTGTCATCTATGTGGTGAAATTCCACCATCTACACCTGCTAACCAGAGAGGTTTTAAGTTCCTTGAAGAAGAAGATCTGTCTGTTACTATATTGTAAAAGACAATATTGTTATTGTATTGTAGGTATTACTTTCTCATTTTCATTTTATTTAACTTGAATCTATGTAGATATAATATCAAGGCAAAATTTGTTACATAGATGATGGTAGTAATTTATAAAAGAAGGGTTAGTCTCCACAAGATAGTAGTAAAAGGGGAAACCACACACTGGGTGTCTGGACAACATCAAATAACTACTTTGGTATACTCCCAATAGTCTAACTGAAAATTCCAACAAAACGTCACCTCTCCTTACAGGCAATTTCCTAGGAATATATTGAAATATGAAATATATGAAGATTGAGAAAGTACTCACCTTCCAGTCTCAAGGGCAATATATACAAGATTCCAGGAGGTTATATATACAGTAAAAATATTATAAATAAAGAAATACATTAGAAGCCAACAAAATAAGAAGCTATGTCACAGGAGACAGAGAAGTTAAAATTTTCCTAAGTGAAAAAGAAGGTATCTCAAGGGTAAAAGTAATAGGTATCAGAGGCAATAAGTTGCTGTCGACTTCTTGATAATTATAGATTTATCAACATATATTCAAATAAAGTTTAATAAAATATACAGAAAAAAAACTGGCCTTTCTGATTATATAAAATATTAAGGATAATGGTTTCTCAAAAGTCAGTGAAAACCATTTTGTTAATTTTTACATAATTAAAATTACAAAAAAAAGTGAACTATAGACAAGACAATGAAGTGTGACGTATTTTTTTTTAAGAATATGAAACAGACCCAAATTGGGAAGCTGATAACCTGTATCACAACTGAAAACTATGGCTTCTTACCGCATCCAAACATCACTTTTATTCTTCCTTTCATCTTCAGTCGATTAATTCTAATGATGTAGTCATCTGTTAGTTCAAGTTGATACCTGAGAATCAGAACGACTAAATATAAGTTTCTGAGTTGTCTTTCCAGAAAGATGAATATCAATGTACGAGCTTATCTATGGTACAAGTGTACCTGAGGGCACTGAACACGACATTGTGTGAACATCAAAGTCCCTCAGTACTAAAGCCAGGCATATGAACGTCAAACATAAAATGTCCAGTAAAACTCTGCCTTGATGTTGTAAAGCACAATCATACAAAATGGAGGGTTGTGCTGCCATAAGGTTACTGAAAGCATCACTTCCCAGTTGGTCTCAACTGACCCAAAAAGCGAGGAAGAAAATTAAAGTTACACAGCACACAACAGACTCAATCCCAAATGATAATTAGACAGCCACTTTCAACCCACCTGTACTATCTGCCCACCTGTACTATCTGCCCAGCCCAAACAAACATAAAGAATTCTGTGCCGAGGGACCAATCACAGTCCAGGGAACCAGGTGCTAAGAGCATTATATCTGAAGTAGCAATACCCGAAGGCACATTTTCAGTTTTACTTTTCTTTTCCAGCTTTTATAAGCTGTCTTTTGTTTCCAAAAGGATAAAGAAACACTCCTGTGGTGAACAGTCCCCAAACTCCAACACTTGCCAAAGTCATACGGGAATTCCCAAAGCCAGAAAGACACCATGCAGGCCGTGGAAGCTGTCACAATGATACCAAATAGTTCACCAGCTCCATAACTATATAAAATTAACAAACATACTTTAATACATGTATTCCTAAAAATTCAGTAACTACAGAAACTTCATGTTAGCTATTTTAATATAGAAACTGACAAAAAATTGGGTAAAATACATCATTTTCATATGTAAAAAATAAAGTTTCTCATGGCTAAGAGTAATATGTACCAGAGGCAATAAGCTGTGGCCAACTTCTTGACAACTACAGATTTATCAAAATATATTGAGAATATATTGGGAATTCAGAATCTATGAAAGAAGTGTTCTATTTTTAAAAAACATAATTTTTTTAATAGAATAACCTCAAGAAACCTTTGCAAGCTCTGTGTAATGGAATATCCATGATAAATTATGAGGAAGGCAATAAAAAGAGGCCAATAAAATGCCCAGAACACCTGAGTTGAGTCATTTCCTCCTAACACATTAACAGCAAATATTAACTGAGCATTTTTTATGTGTAAGATGCTTTTGAATGCACTGAAAATTTACCACATGGACATAGTGTCTTAGCACTGAGGTGTTACTCACTGATACACAAGGTCAAAGTAAAGCCAAAGTAACCATACTTGTGCATGTTTTCCTTTCCCTATATCAATTACTTAGTTAATTTTAGCTCTTTTCTTTTGATTCTGGCTTTGCAGAATCATCAAGGAATACAAGGCACATGTTCACTGACAAACAATCAGACCACTAAGTATAATTTATACATTGTTAGATATCCCCATCATTGTGGCAGTATGAGTGGGGTAGAGGAAAAGCGATTATAATTCAAACTTTACAGCTTATCAACTATGCAACCTGAGCAAGTCACGATGTACCATGAAATTTAAAGCAAATCACAGCCCTCAATAAATGTTCAAGAAGCCATGAGTAAGAAGAACAGAGGAAGTGCTTTTCTATACCTTATCTTTTAAAAACAACCCTAACTCAAATGCAGGAAAGTATTGGCTATTGATAAACATATGTATTTTTTCAAACATTAAAGTTTGCATAAGATGTTCATCAGAGAATACTTCCATAGTTTTTGTTATGTTTCTACCAAAGTAATTTAAACGTATTACTTCTTCAAACGTGCCAAGCAATTACTTTAGAAGTTTGTTCTTCAGCTTTCAGTCATCGTTCTCCTCAAGACACTTTGTATTGTGCTCCCATCTCCTAAGTCCTCAGTCATGCTTTTATGTTTTTCTTCCTGGAGTTTCTGGGTTTTGAAATTAGTAAAAAAACATAAAGTAAATAAACTATAAAAGCTGAGTTAACAAATTTAGGAAGAATATCACGTGACATGTTTTTAGTTCAACCAACTAAAACTGCTACATGACAATTACTACTGAGAAGTAGAAGAAAAGAGCCAGAAATCCTCAGTGTATTTTATGAACTGACCTAGTTACAATGTGTTGAAACTAGCAGAAGCAGGGGCCTGTGACACATGACTGAGAAGAGTGGGAGGGTCTCTTACTGAGGGGAGTGGAAGAGTGTCAATGAAGAAGTGGTTTCTCATAGAAGACAATTAACACTTAACAATAGTTAAAGGTGATAAATGGTCCGAATCAATTCTGGGATGAAAGAATGATATTAGCTACAAAGTAATAAAAGCACACTTATGGCTGGGAGCTGTGGCTCATGCCTGTAATCCCAGCACTTTGGGAGGCCAAGGCAGGTGGATCACCTAATAATAGGAGTGTAAGAACAGCCTGGACAACATGGTGAAACCCCATTTTTACTAAAAGTACAACATTAGCCAGGCATGTTGTCACACACCTGTAATCCCAGCTACTCAAGAGGCTGAGGAAGGAGAATCGCTTGAACTCGGGAGGCAGAATTCACAGTGAGGTGAGATTGCACCATTGCACTCAGCAACAATACCAAATCTCCATCTCAAAAAAAAAGTGTACTTATGTATTTGAATCTTTTATAATGCTGTTTGTAAGTCTGGAATTTAATTAATAATCTCATGGATATTTAAGGTACAATTCTTTTTTCTTGCTTAATATTCTATCAGCTTTAGCCAAGTTTGGTGTATCCAGTTTTCAACTATAATCCTAGCTTTGCAGAATGCTGAGGCAAGAGAATCACTTGAGTCCAAGAGTATCAGACCAGCCTGGACAACATAGCAAGACCTTGTCTCTTAAAACCAAAACAGCACCACCACCACCAACTTACCAAAAAAAAAAAAAACAAAACAAAAAAAACTATTGATTGAATACTCATCTAGTTCCCAAAGAGAGGGCAAAAGATATGGGTCATTCAGGGCTTTCAAGTGCTTAAGAATACTCATCAAGTTCCCAAAGAGAGGGCAAAAGATATGGGTCATTCAGGGCTTTCAAGCGCTTAAGAATAAAATGATCTTCATAGTGAGACTTCAAATCACCAATTGTACCAATTCCCTAGCCAGGGAGGTGGATTCACAGGTGATGAGATCCAGCCATCCTAAGAAGTACTGCACAACACTGACTAGTCTAAGAACGGTTAAAGACTCCAGGTATTAGCTCCCTCTGCTGGTTATCTGGAAAGCCATGAAGAGGTAAACTACATTGAATTTAGTACATATGCTGAAAGAATGGAAAAGAAGTAGAGAAATTGAGGGTGAAAAAAGTGACACACTCTCTCCGCTTAAATGTTGTTTCTCTTTTTTTTTTTCTCTCTCTCTGGATTAATTTACCTTTTCATTATTGCCAAAATGAGAGTAAGGTACACAGCTAGCTGAAATAAAAAAAATCAAACCTATAGAAGTGAGAAAACAACATTAAATAAAATGGAGACAAATTCTTTAATGAGCAAAAATTCCTAAAGTATCTATGGGTGTCAATTAACGGCACATTCCCCATGGAAAAGACTTCTTGTGCAAACTATAGACAGGTGACCTTGCTGTCAATCCCAGGTAACATATGGATGAAACATCTGTGAGCACGTAGAAAAACTGAATAGCACTGAGAAACACTTTCATCCAGTACAAGTCAAGTCAAACCACAATACTTCCTTTTTTTGAGCACAGAACTGGTAAAAGCCACAGGCCTAGATATTTGAAATCCAGTTCCAATACATAAACACACAAAACTATCAAACCAGGAGGACTGAAGTTAACTTTAAAAACATATGACCTGTTCAAGTATTAACAGCTTCTCCAAATTTTCTGTTTGATGTTACTGTAGCCTGGTGATAGCATCTCATTCTGCCTTTCATCTTAATGTTCAATATTTCAAAAGCACAGCCCTAGTGTTTGTTTCTCTTAATGTGTAACTTCTAATGCTGTGTGATATCACCTTTATAAAAAACAACTCCACCTGGCAATAAACATTAGAACATTTAGATATATATTTAGTAATTCTTTTTAATCTCATCATTCTGAATGTCTAAAATAATCATGCATACAGGCAATCCAAAATCTTCAACTGTCTGCTTCAGCTCTGCTTTTCCTTCTCTTAGCAAATCTATATCTTTTAGTAAAAGAAGGCTTTGAGCATGAATTTTCTTGTTTCAATCTGTAAAAAGCATTAATTTTGGCTGGCTCTGGTGGCTCACGCTTGTAATCTCAGCATTTTGGGAGGCTGAGGCAGGTAGGTCATGACATCAGGAGTTTAAGATTAGCCTGGCCAAGATGGTAAAACTCCATCTCTACTAAAAATACAAAACTTAGCTGGGTGTTGTGGCAGATGCCTATAATCCCAGCTACTCAAGAGGTTGAGGAAGGGAATTGCTTGAACTTGACAGGCAGAATTTGCAGTGAGCCAAGATTATGCCACTGCATTCCACTGGGTGGCAGAGCAAGATCTGTCTCAAAAAAAAAAAAAAAAAGGCATTAAGTTTTAGGCAGCAAGTTAATGAAAACATAACAAATTTAAATAAATATAGTGCTTCCTAAATTCCAAAAACCAATATACAGAAATTGAGAATAACAAGTTTACCTTCAAATTATTCCAACTCAGCTGGGCACGGTGATTCACTCCTGTAATCCTAGCCCTTTGGGAGGCTAAAACAGGCCGATCACCTGAGGTCAAAACTTGAGACTAGCCTGGCCAATATCGTGAAACCACATTTCTACAAAAATTACAAAAATTAACTGGATACAGTGGTGGGCACCTCTAATCCTAGCTACTTGGGAGGCTGAAACAGGACAATCACTTGAAACTGGGAGGCAGATGTTGCAGTGGCCACGGTAGTGCCATTGCACTCCAGCCTGGGCAAAAGATTAAAACTGCATCTCAAAAAAAAAAGAAAAAAAATCCACTTCAATGTATTCCTCAACTATCTATTCCAGCTTCATAAATATTTAGTCTCTCAATTTCTGTTAAACTACATTTCCATATATTTTAACACCCCTTGTGTAATTTATGCTATTTAATTAACATATTTCAGTCCCTTGTGTAATTTTTTGGGGAGACTGGGTTCTGCTCTGTTGCCCAGGTTTGGATCCAGTGTTGTGATTTCGGATAACTGCAAACTCTGCCTCCCAGACTCAAGGGATCCTCCCATCTCAGCTTTCTAGGTAGCTGAGACTAAAAACACACACCACCAAGTTCAGCTAATTTTTTTGTAGTGATGGTGTTTTGCCATACTGCCCAGGCTGGTGGTGTACCGCTGGGCTCAAATGAGATCACCATCTCAGCCCCTCAAAGTGCTAAAACTACAGGTATGAGCCACCATACCTGGTCCCCTTAACTAAAATCTGGTAAGTTCTTCAGGGAAAAAAATAAATAAAATGTACATTTAGAAATAAAACTCCAAAATAATAAAATCCCCATCATTTTTTGTGATGGTGCTTTCTGAATGTTTTAGTTCATGAGTCATTGTGACTCAGAGTTAGCAAGCTCATATGAACCAGTAAATGAATAAGCCAACCTTCCACTTATGTCTTCACAGAGCAGAAATTTATTAACTATGTATCATATATCAAGCAGCATACTGGGAATGGATATAAAAATGTAGACAGATACAGTCCTCCTCTCTGAAGACCTCACAGTATAGTCAGGGAGAAACAATCAAACTAAGATAGGATAATTTTATAACTGAGGTAATAATGACTGCATGTAGGAATGAGCCATAAATGAGCTGCTCAGTGGGAGTCAGAGAAGGCATCACAACAGTGACATCCAAGCTGGGCCTTGAATGACACTATGGTTTTATCAAGGAGAGGAGGAGATTGACATTCCAGGTGAGGAAACACAGTCATGTTGGGTTTTATGAGAATGAGAATCTTCCTCAAAGGCTTCAGATACTCTAATTTGAATAAACAGAATTCTAGTCAGTCACCTATCTTGAAGATGAAGTTATTAGTCTAAATACAATGTAATCACCTCAAATATCTATGCATCCAATATTCAATTTTATAGCTGAAGAAAGCCTTATTCCCAGAAATGCTATAGAAAATTTTAGAGTGGGTGCCCTTAGCATTAAACAACTATGTCTCATTGAGAAGCTTCAAGCAAGTGTGGGCACTAGGGGGAATCTTTTCTACTTTTAACATCTAGCAGCAGCTGTTTTAGATGTATGTTTGAAATACTGCTGTAAATACCGTCACGTCTAAGACACACACTTGGAAAAGGAATAAGATATCTTAAAGGAGCAGCCAACATAAACTCCCTGCCACTCCTCATCATCTTAATCTCCTTTGCAGTTACTTTCCCAGTGATGAGATCAAATGGCCACATGGATGACCCTTGGGGCCCTGGTGACTCCCTCACCCCAGGGATCTTTACTCTTGCGCATTTTCATGTCTCCATCCAATGTCAGCCCACTGCCTTTGATTTCCAGTCTCCACCTGATACCTCACTCTGCAAATCTGCACTCCTGGATGATCTTTATTCTTCCACCTGCCAATCTCTCCAGATCTAGTTCTTGATCACTGAGACTGCCGCCCAAACCTCCCTTTTCCCCTAGGTTACCAGCCACTTGCCATCTTCTCTGCTTACCTTCACTACACAGGAGAACCACAGAATCTCCAATTAAATAGGCTGCATTTCTCAAGGAAAATGAAGTATGCTCTGCAAAGCTCCACTTCCCGCGTATCTCCATCTTTCCACCCTCACTGAAAGGGGCAGCAGAGAGAGACCCTTAAAATTCCTTCCCAGAGGTAGAACAGAAAACTCACCTACAAACATGTGGTTTTGTCTCTCTCAATTCCTGGTTACCCTAACCACAGCTGGGCCATCAGTACAGGTAATCGGTGCACTCTCCTTTAAAAAGCTGTTCTTACCTTATCCATAAGAGCTACTCTGCACCTCCAAGTTGCTCCTGAAACCCTTGATCTGTCTCCTTAATTTGCCTGAGAAGATGAAGCATCTTTATAGCTGAAGCAACCACTATTTCCAGAAATGCTATAGAAAATTTTAGAGTGAGCGGAATTATGTTTCTCATAATTCCAACTTGACTGGTCACCTCTTCAATTCTTGTCTCTCCACCAGCCTCAAAGGACACAAATTGGTGTAGCCTTCTCAAGGCCCATCATTCTTTTTTTTTGCACTCTTCGCCAATGTCCCTACTGCTCTTCAGGGGCCTTGTTCCATCATTTGAAACATCTCATTCCTGGATCTTGAGTCAATCCAGTAATAGCTGTAGAAAATAGCCATTCAGTAAATTTTTTTCTAAATACAACTTCTTGGTGCTTTTGATTTCTCTCAAGGATACTCTTTTCTCAAGGAATGAAGGCTTCAGATTCTGCTTGACAAGCTTTCTCAAAACTTCAGAACATAGCTAATTCTGTCTCATACTCTTATCACTTCCATGAAAAATTCAACTGCAAATTTATTACAAAAAAATAAAAGCTCCAATCGTTATACTATAAGAACAGTAACAGATTCTCTCTCTACAGCTAGGCTCTACATTAATGTTCTGTCCAAATACGTTATATTTATTTAATCTATAGTTTTATATCATTTACTGTATTTGTAGAATTCAATCCAAAGGCATAAACAAATCTCATCAGAAAAAATTGATTTGCACAACACTGAAGTACTCCATTTTTTAATAAAAGTTCCAAGTATTTTTTAATATACCTAAGATTAAGTCTTTAGATGACAAAAACATGACTCTTGTTAACTGCAACATGATACAGATTACCTTTTGACACATTTCTGCCAGAAGTTGCTTTTCTATTTCTCTCTTATATTCATTTAGCTTTGTTTCTAAAGACTCAAACTTTGTATTCTAAGGGTAAGCAACTGTCAGTTGATCATCAATAAGCTGAAGGTTGTCAGCTATTAAAAAGTAACACATAAAATTAGGACACAGAAGCATGATCAGGTGTGTAAGAGGTCAGATTTCTGGTTCAAAAGTAAAGAGTATAGTTAGGGGAAAGCATACGTGTCATCAATTTACTTTGAAATATAAAAAAAAAGTAAGATAGATGAATAGATGGACAGATAAAAATGATGAAGTATATATAATACAAATGTAATAGTGAAATTTAGGTGGTAGGTATGTAAGTGTTGACTAGAATTGTTTCAACTTTTCTATGTGTTGAAAATACTCAGGCATTTACCAACATCCACCACACGCAGATTATTTATTTATTTATTTATTCATTCATTTATTTTGTGGAGACAGGGTCTTCCTATGTTGCCTGCCTCAGCTGATCTCAAACTCATGGCTTCAAGTGATCCTCCTGCCTGGGCTGGGATCACAAGAATGAGCAGCTTTGTCTGGTAATAGCTTTTAAGAATAAATCTTCAAGAAGTCCTTCCCAAGCATGATACAAAACCTGGAAACAATAAGGAGAAATATTCATCAATCTCACTACATAAAATTTAAAAATTTACATGTGGCATAAAATAGAAAAACATACACTCAAAAATTAGTTGCAGTAATATGGAGGCATAAGCAGGACTAAAGTTACAACATTGTAATATCGTTAAAGAGCTCTTACAAATCAGTTAAAAGAAAAGAAAACAAAACTGAAAAATGTGAAAAAAATGGACAGATTGTAGAAAAAATAAAATGTCAAACAAAGATAACCAAGATTATCAGATGTTGAATAAACATGAACAAAATCATAAATGCAAATTAATAAAGCGAAGAAACCATTATTTTCCCTATAACACCATTAAGATTAAACTTTTGATAATGCTAATGTTGGGAATGGAGTGGAAGTATAGCTGTGCTCATTCACTTGGGAGAGGAATGTGTCAGTGCTTACATATATTCAAAATGCAGTAATCTATTCATTCCAATTCCATGAATTCACACAGCTGTACTTTTACAAGCACACAGAGCGTGCACACTGCATACTGGTTGCCTCTATTGGAAAAAAGCATACAATAAGACAACTCAATCTCCATTAATAGGGGGTTAAATATTTACTTTAAAAATAATGAGTCTCAATATACTGCTACAGATAGATATATTGGTTGATAGAAAAAGCAAATTGCCAAAAGGATCTATAATATAATTTTATTTGATTGTGTGTTTTAATTAGAAATACATAGAGTTTTAAACTCCATCAATTCTGCAAAAATAACCAAGAAACAAAATTATTAAAATTGTAGTTATCAGTTGAGAGTCAGATTAGAAAACATGGGCACAAATTGCTAGTTTGCTTTCACTTTATATCCTTCCAAATAATCTGAAACTTTGCTTTAAACGAGAAGCGTAAATTATTTTTGAAATTTTTAGTTTCTTGAAACTAAAAACATTAGTCGCTCAGCACCTCATCCCCATCCCCATCCTCTTCAGTGAGTGGATTACAGTTAGATTGTTTTGACACAGTCTGCATTCTATCCAGGGATCAGCAGACCAACATTTGCAAACACTAATGTTTATTCTTGGTGATGTAAAACTTTATGGGTTTGACAGTAGGTCTTTTCATTCTCTTAACAGTGTCTTCCACAGAGATGTTTTAATTTCAATTAAGTCTAACTCAATTTTTTTCTTTTATGTATCTTGCTTTTGGTGTTATATCACATCATGAAACTTAGGATCACATAGACTTTCTCTTGTTTTTATTTGGAAATTTTATAGTTTTGCAATTTACATTTAGATTTATGGTTCATTTCCATGCACATGAATATTCAATTATTTCAGAGCCACATATTCAAAAGACTATCTTTCCTCTATTGAATTGCCTTTGAACCATTGTTAAAAAAAATTAATTGACAATATTTGTGTGAATCTATTTCTGGATTCTCTATATCTGTTCCCATTGATGTATGTGTCTATTCTTTTGCCAATTATAGATAAGGATTTTAACTTTCAGAAAGCAAAGTGTCAGTGTCCAAATTTTCTTTCTTCATCCAAAATTTGTGCATATCATTGTCTGTGTATCTTTGGCTGTCAAACGAAATATTAAGAGGGGGAAGAACGGGTGACTAGAGTCTAGGAGGAAAGTACTGTTAGTATCTACAGCTTAGCATCTCCTGAGTGTAGATATACTAAAATAGGATAAGATCACAGGTCTCTGACTCAGGGGGCAGAAGACAGTTCAGTACAATATATCTTCCTATAAGTTTTCTGTTGTTTAATTAGAAGCCATTGCTTTTTAAAATGATTTTAATTTACCAGAAGTTATTTTATTGTTAGCTAAGGGTTCTATCCAAATTTTGCCACTAGGATGACTAGCACTACTCATCATTTTTCTGACTTCCAGAAATTTTACTGGGATGCTAGGTAAAGCTGGTAAGGGTTGTCACCCAGATATCTTTCTGAATGAGATGGATGTAAAGAGACTCTGTAAAGATAGAAAGACTATTTCTAAAGATAATGTAATATAGTAAATGTATAGATTCTTTCCTGTTAGGGGGCTCAGTCAGTCTGGGGGGAAAAATATTAAAGATAATTATAGTAATAGCCACAAACCATCTTGGAAGGCCAGAGACTTTGCATAACCTCAGTAATAGATACGGTTGAAGGTGACTTTCTTTACCTTTAGTTAAATAAATTAAAGTACTGACAAAGGAATGTGGGGAGGTTATGCAGCTAGCTTGTTTACTCATGTGGTCTGAAGACTAACCTTTGAGGTACCCTGGGTGCTTAAGTGCTTAGGGAAGTCCGCAATGTCAGTGTTGCCCCAGTGATGTTGACTCAAGTCTTTGTCAATTAATCTTTACTGATAAGTGTGAGTTTCACTTGCTGGTCAGGGCCACTGTTGCCACTGTTTACAAAACTCTACTGGAGTCTGTAAGTGGCTCAGACACTCAGCTTCAGCTGGACTGGCAAAGCAGAATATTTATGTTTCAGTGTACTTTATTCATCCGTTGCGGGTTCAGGGGTCTGCAAGGGACAGACCCCCAAAGTTGGTGCCACAGCATGAGAAGTGTGAGAAGTGTTACCACAGTTTCTCCTTCCTTCCTTCCTTCCTTCCTTCCTTCCTTCCTTCCTTCCTTCCTTCCTTCCTTCCTTCCTTCCTCCCTCCCTCCCTCCCTCTCTCTCTCTCTCTCTTTATTTCCTTGGTGGGGAGTAAAATGGCACCTAGCTAGGTCACCCAGGCTGGAGTGCAGTCACATGATCTCAGCTCACTGCAAATATCCCCTCCCAGGTTCAAGTGATTATCTTGCCTCAGCCTCTAGCATAGCTGGGATAAAAGGCACTTGCCACCACACCTCGCAAATTTTTGAATTTGTAGTAGAGATGGGGTTTCACTGTGTTGGCCATGCTGATTTCTAACTCCAGGCCTTCAGTGTTCCTCCTGCTTCAGCCTCCCAAAGTCCTGCATGAGGCACTTTTCCTGCCCCATAGATTGTTCTGTAATATCTCCTTTTCTTTTGAAGTAAAAATTAAGCAATAGCTACTAACTATATACCTTTGAATTATGCTGTTCATTGTGATAGTCAATAAGCACATGGAGCTAATTAAATATAAATTAAAAATTGAATTATTCAGTTACACTAGCTACTGTTCAATTGCTCAATAGTCGCATGAGACTAGCAGCTACCACATTAAACAGTATAGATAAAGACATTTCCGCCATCACAAAGAGTTACAGTGGATGGTGCTTATATATAACAGAAGTTATATTACACATTACTGAACACATATTTTCTTCTTTAATGACATATTAATACAGTTAATACTCTATCAATTGTACTTGAGAGGCATACCTAGTATACAAAGACACTTGGCCTAAAAGTCAGATTTTTGAAGTTTTTTTTGGTTTGTTTTTTGTTTTTTTTTAAGAAGTGTTCCCAATAGTGGATATTTTTACAAACAGTATCTTTCAGTGTGTCTGTAGGGCCCTTGATACCGTCTGAAGTTTTCTTATTTGACTATCTGAAAGTTATTACAAAAATGAAAACATGGGAATAATGACCTGCAGAACAGGTGAACTATTGTTTAAAAAGTAAGATATGGTCAGCAAGGAAAAACATGTAATTTAAATCTAATTAAATTTCTTACTCTTCTCCCTCAAAATTAGCTTTATTACTTTATAAGGAAAAGTACATAGAAAAACCTTGCTATAGTTTACAAATATGTAGGCTCCTATATTTTTGGTTTTCTTTATCAGATCCTGAGACCTGTTAAAAGGAAATAGTTTACCTTTATAAAGCTATTCAGTTATAATTAACAAACCGAAGTAGATTATATAAACTAAGTAATCTTACCAGTGATTTCTAGAAACTGGGAGTAGGGTGAATTTTATAGAGTGCAATCAATCCTGCATATTAAATACCTTAAGAAAATAAAATGTTACTAATTAGACACAGTTTTATAGCAATGTTTAAATGATACGTTATAATATATTTATGAATAAGAGATTAAGAAAATTCCTTCAGAAAAGATAAGATTACAACTATGCTAACAAAGCAAAATACAAGCTCTTTCTTACACTATTAGATAAATTACAAAAAGTTTGAGTTAAAATAATAAAATTTCTTTCTTGATCATGTAATTAATCTCTAAGTGTTTTACATCAAATGTTATTCAATTACAACTTTTTAAAAGTAGTATTTAAAAATGTAAATAAACTAAATTTTCACTGTCCTTACAATCATGACTAAAGTGCACTTAAAATTCTGTTAAACAGATATTTTGGGCAAGCATTTATACATATTTCTGCTACAGTATATATCAATAATTATGTCTACTCTAAGAACATGAATATGTTTTCAACTGGATTTCCTTTAAAGAAAATATTTTACATTGTTATTTTATGTTAGCAGAAACCATTTAGTTGTTTGAGTGGGATTAATTCCTGTTATAAGAATTTTACAATTGCTAAGTACACGATAAGTAGAAGTATATAATTATTAGAAAGTTAGAGAAAGATATATCAAAAAAGAATTCCAGACAAGGCACAGTGTCTCACAGTTGTAATTACAGCACTTGGGCAGCCTAAGAGGGGAGATGACATGAGCTCCGGATTGAAAACAACACTGCCCACCAAGAGTAACCCAGACTCTATCAAAAAAAAAAAAAATTAGCAGAATGTGGTGGTGTGTGCCAGTAATCCCAGCTGCTTGAAAGGTTGCAGTAGCATAATTGCTTGAACCCAGGAGGGGCAGATGTTTCAGTAAGCTGAGATTATGCCAATGCCCTCCAGACTTGGTGACAGAGAGAGACCCTACTTCTAAAAAATAAGTATGTAAATAAATACATTCATAAGGCTGATAAGTAAAATTTGGTTGTGTATGAAGAAACTCAGCACATTTAAAATTTGAATTCAAAAACTGTACTAAGGCTACGCATTGTGGCTCACATCTGTATTCCCAGCATTTTGGAGGCCAAGGCAAATGGATCACTTGAGATATGGAGTTGGAGACAAACCTGGCCAACACAGTGAAACCCCGCCTCTACTAGAAATACAAAAATTAGCCAGGTTCTTGGGCAAGCACCTGTCATGCCAGATACTTCGGAGGCTGAGGTGGGAGAATCGCTTGAACCCAGGAGGTGAAGTTGGCAGCCTTGGATCAGGCCACTGCACTCCAGCATGAGCAACAGGGTAATACTCCATGTCAAATAAAATAATTATCATACTAAGCTTCTCGTGTCCTTAAAACTTTGGAATATGAAACTCTTAGATAACTATACACAACCTAAAGAAAGTAAAAACATATACACACCACCAAGAGTGAAATTTAATGTAAACGATAGACTTTGGCAATAAAGACTTTTTGGGGAAGGTTTATCAATTGTAGCAAATGTACCACCTTGATGAAAGATGTTGACAGTGGGAAAGACTGTGCATGTGTAGGAGCAGTGGGTGTATAGGAATTCTTTGTACTTCTCCATCAACCTAGCTGTGAACTAAAACCTGCTCTAAAAAACAGTCTACACACACACACACACACACACACACACACACACACACACACATTCACAGGGAAAGTTTGCTGCATCTTCCTTTAAAATAATAAACTGGGACAAATGTTTAACCATAATGGTGAAGAAATATCGTTAAAATAATTAGAAATGTATTAAAAAATAAAATGACAGTCACTTTATTATTTGGAAAATTTACAGATTTTTAAGGATTACATCACTTAAGTTACTTGATTCAACTCTTCACAGTCTGGTTCCTCATCTGTAACACACGAAACATCTGTCGTGTGTCTATCACAGTGTCAAATTCAGAGCAGACATTCAACAGATGGGCAGAGTCTTATTAAAAAACATGGAAAATAGATAAATCAATTTGAGCTCTTAAACATTTAGAGATTGTAGATCATAATTTTACAAAAGACTAAATGTGATACCAATAAATTAATTTCAAATTTAGTAATCACTTGTTATATAACAAATGCATTATGTGCAGGTACAATGGAAATTCAAAGAGGAATGAGAAGTGGACCTAGTTTAAAAGCAATTATCTATAATGCAGCATGTTACACTCAGCTGAAAAAAAAAAACTGTTAATAAAAAGTTCAAAAACAGAAAAGGAAATATGTTACCTTTTCTTTTGCTAAACCAATTTCTGGAAAGAAAACAGAAAGTGAAGACGCATAGCCATATCTTTGTTAGTGATCAGCCACTAAAGAGTTAGGGGTTCCTAGTAAGAGGGAGTTCCCTTGCAGTGAAATGGACAGAGGGTGCAACTCTCCATTCAATACAGGGTGCATCGACTCATGAATTGGGTGGTTTTGAATTTGTGTCTTGCAAGGGAGGAAGGAAGAAAGAAAGGAAAACAATTAAGGAAGGAAGGAAGGAATAAAGGGAGGGAGGGAGAAGGGGAGGAAAGGAGAAAGCAAGAAAGAAAGGAAGGAAGAAAGGAAAGAAGGAAGGAAGGAAGGAAGTCAAAAAAGGTAAAATAATTTCAGTAGGATTGTCTCAGTAGAGATACACAAAGATGTGTTACATTCATTGGAAAACTTCCTTTTCTTTCCATAATGTTTCTAGATCCATGGCCAGAAATTAGGAATCTTCCCCTACGCAAGCCGTACCCCATGAGACAAGAAGGTCAGTGTGTTCTACAAAAATGTTTCTTTCCTCAGCTTCCAAGTGAAACGGGTGGTTAGCCAGACCCATTTGCAGACTCTTCCTTCACTTCCCTAGAAGTCCATTTCAGCAGCTTATGCTTGGGATATGAAGTATAGGAAAAAATTCTGCTAGTTCATCCCACCTCTATGGACTGTTGCAAAATATAACCAAAATATTTAACAACAAGGGACTGCTATGTGTGTTACAAAAATATCCAAAGATAAGACTGTTGCCACTAAAAATGAGGATTTCAAGAAACTTTTAAGGAAACAGAGAAATGCTCACACCATATAACTTATATTTAAAAAGGATATATGCACAGTATATATCTACATATTTTAAATGTAAAATATGCTTATGGAATGCATATTGCAATGAAAACACGTTGAGCTAATCCTGTTCCTAGCTGTTAATCCAAATATAAAGTATACTAACAAATATTTGCTGCCCAAATGAAATATTCAGGCATATCAATATAGTTTAAAGATGAAAGTGTTCATTCTCCAGTTGAACTATTAGAACACTAGTTTTATCTATATGTTGCCAATGTCCCACATCCAAACGCATTACAAACCCACTTGTTAGTTTAGGAACCTGTAAACCAGATTTATAAAAGAGGCCTATTCTTACTAAAATGTGTTCATTATATAAATGCTTTCTGCTCCTGTCTTACTGGCAGCTCAATTAATTATTCGAACATTCTCCTTTAAGTCGACTCAAATGTAACATTTTCTCAATGGTTTCAAAGAGACCGTAATGTTTCAGGGTAGAGTTTTGAAACCCAATCATTGGATGAATTTAAATGTGAACTACCTATTACAGGTTAGACTTCTAAAAGTTATGGAACAGATAAATCTAAATCCGATACTTTGAGTGTGCCCAGTACACCCACATTCATCAACATTTCATCTAGCTTTTTGGGCAGCTCATCTTGACTCAACAGACATGGGGAGCTAGTTGGATTAGAAGACAAAATGGTTACAGGTTACTTGGGGGGTAGAGGGAAGGTGAACGACTGAAAAACAACGCGAGATTACAGCTGTCGCATTGCATCCTGCCCCTCTTGGGGACCTACTTAGTACAGTCTTCCTGGTCTGAAGATACATGGCACATGCATTTGGTGGCCTAGCACCGGCCAGAATCTCCACCCCTATCTCGAGGGAGCATATCCAGGGTATCCAAAAATCTGCCCCCGGGGCTCTCGGCTGAAGCAGCCGGGTGCCGGTCTTCACAGCGGGACTGAGATTGTCTTTCCCTCCTTGGCCTGTCGCTTCAGGTAGAGGATGGAGTGAGTCGAAACAGGCATTTTGAATCCCTGTGGGAGTTCACTGGCCCTGCCTGACGGTACAGGCTGGTGCTATATCTCCACCCCTCCCTCGGGTAGCCCTATCAGATCTGCCACGCCCTGGCCGGCTCATCCACTCACTGAGAACTTCCAGCTGCAAGTTTCTGCCCTCCTGGGGTCTTTGCTTTGGTGGTTAACAGCCAAATATTCAGCTGACCCAGGGTTTCTTAATGGAGCCACTGTTGCCTTTTGGAGCCGGCAGATTCTTTGTTTTGGGAGGCTGTCCTGTGCTTTGTAGATTCAGCTGTATCCTTGGTCTCTATTTTTTCAATAGTACCTTCTCTTCCAAGCGAGACAACCAAAAGTGTCCCCAGACATTGCCAGATGAACTCTTGGAAGCAAGATGGCTTAGGGTAGAGATCCACAAAGCTAAATGTTTTTGAGTAGCCACCATTGTGTATTGTGAGGAAAGGCGAGCCTGACCTCATAATGTTTACATGTAAATAAAAAGAAAAGCAACCGAACCTCTCAGAAGCAATAATGAACACGTTACAGCCAGATAATTGAGCAAGAGCTAAGAAATATATATATATATATATGAATATATATCTTACGTAAGATATATATATATATGAATATATATCTTACGTAAGATATATATATATAAATTGAGTAATGAGTTTAAAGGAGAGGTGGTTGAATATGGAAGGGATTCAGATCATCTCTTGGAAAAAGTGTAAACTCTTCAGGGTCTTGATGCGTAGGATTTGGGTGGTGGGTCAAAAGAATAGCATGGCAGGGATGGGGAAAAATGAATAAAGTAATAAAAACCAACCAACCAAACAAACAAACAAAAATCTAGGCCCTTCTGGGGGCAGTGAGGAATCTACCCTGAGTCCAGAGTTGTATGCTGGGAATATAAGCCTGAAAAAGTATCTAAGTCCTGTGAGGACCAAATTTGATCAGTTTCAGCTTTGTACACAGCATTGAAGAAGTGTACAGTGAATTTTGATCACTGGCTGTGAGAAACTTAAAGTCTTTGAGAGGCAGTATGAGTGACAGGACTTCTTAGGAAGTGGAGAACCTATAGGTTTTTGGTGGAAATAATTGAGGAGGAGAGACTTAGTTGGATTTTAAAAAATAGGTAGGAGTTGCAGGCAGAATCAGGGAGAACATTCCAGGCAGGACGAGAGAAATAATAGTAGCTCTGAAGTGGATACAGTCAAAGTGGATTTGGGGAAGAAGAAACAATAAACAACTAAACTCTAGTGGAGGTGGAACAATAGGGCTGAGAAAAGACATGACCAATGTGAGAGTCTGCTTTGAATACCAGTACATGATCCTGTAGTTGAGATGCATCCAGGCTTTTGAATGGGATAATGAAATGATGAAAGCAGTGTTCTAAAAGTAGGTTGATAGCTTGTAAATGTTGTTAGGTAGTATCACCAGTCCACTGTAGAAAAAGTAATAATAATCGGCTGGGCATGGTGGCTCACACCTGTAATCCCAGCACTTTGGGAGGTGGAGGCTCAAGGATGACTTGAGGTCAGGAGTTCCAGGCAAGCCTAGCTAACATGGTGAAACCCGGTTTCCACTAAAAATACAAAAAAATTAGCGAGGTGTGGTGGCATAACATCTGTAATCCAAGCTCTCTGGGAGTCGGAAGCAGAAGAATCACTTGATCCGAGGAAGTGCAGGTTGCAGTTAGTTGAGATCACACCATTGCACTCTAGCTTGGGCAACAACAGCAAACAAGCAAATAAAAAGATTGTGTCTGAAGATCCCCTCACTCCCGACCGCACTCCCACTTTTGATCACACAGTTGAATATATGAATACAATTAGATAAAATGCTCTTCAAAAACTAGCATAACTTCTCCCAAAGGTGGGATAATTGCTTATAATATTAACAGAAAATTGTCACATTAGACACCTATCAACAGTGTTCAAACTGCCCCTCCTTATTGCAACAGACATGTACCATGCTAGATCAGGGACCCCAGGTCTATGGGATGACTGAAAACACTGCTGTTGGCAGGAAAGAACAGTTTTTCCAGAAGCTCTTCTGTAGAGTCTCTACAGAGGCCAGCTACAAAAAGGGATGTGTTTGGAACGACAGTCCATGAGTTTTGTCGTGCATTGTCCTGCAAATTAAACTAAGAGCAGGGACTTCCAAGTTCATTAAGCATGCTCTTACTCTGCCACTGGTGGTCTTCTAGCCACCCATTAGATTGTAGTTTTCAGTGACTTCAACTGAGCAACCCTGGGCTTGACCTATGTAACGGTTTGGAATAAGTCTGTCAAGTTCAGCCTCAGGTAGGTACTGTATTTCTTGAAATCCATATGAGACAAGGATAAATGATCACAGCATTCTTTCCTACATTCTTTTCTACACAGCATTCTTCCCCTTTTCTTTCCACACTTAGTCTCAGAAAATTTCTCAACCCCAGTTCATGGCAGTCAATACCAGTTGATTAGATTTCACTCATGAGAAGAAACTCATTTGCCATTCCAAGCCAAATTCCTTTTCCATTAGGCAGCTTATTGTATTTAAAGATAGTACTATGCCATACCCCGCTCCCCTTCCACCCCAAAAAGGTCTTCTCAGCACCATTTAAACATCCTCAGTTCCTTCAATTGCTTTTGTCTTCTTTCCAGAGCTTTCCCCAGCATAAATCTTGCCCTCCCCTCACCTATAACACACACAGGTCAGAGTTATGGATTAATTTACGATAGATTTCCAGAAATGAGTTTCTTCCACAAAGATGATATGATTCCCAGAACTCACTTTCTTCCCCTAAGAGAGCATGAACATTCTCCCCGATCTTGCTCTTAATACCACCTAGAATTGCCTTAGCTTTTTGACCAAACTCTCAGACTTTTATATCTTATAGAGCTTGCAGTAAGTTAACACTTTTCTTGATGTAGGTGAACTGTTCTTAATCTAGGTTTCCCTTGTCCTATTGTTGTACAGTTGATTTCTAATCCAAAGCACAGGGCTTTCTTTACTATTTGCTTAACTTCTATCTTGTTAATTGCATTCCACTCTCTTAGCCACAGAGATCATTTTGAATCCTAATTTCTGCCTTCTAGTGAATTCTAATAAATAAACCCTTGGTGTTATTTTTAAATGTGATAAATTGTCTTCATTCAAGTTATTGATTTAAATGCTTAGCTAGACTAAGTTACGGTCAACCCCAAAGCCTGAGATAGATATATATATATATATATATATATATATATATATATATATATATATATATAGTGTGTGTGTGTGTGTGTGTGTGTGTGTGTGTCATACTTCCACTCACTGGAGGCCTTTTAGCCTTTTGATTCTATACTCACTGATGTCTGGTCCCATGCGTATGTTGATTACTAGTTAGTGTATGTAGACTCCTTAAAGTTAAGGTATTGGGAGATCTCCTCATATCACCAAGTTGATTTCTTTAGACTTCTCCCTGTCAAAGACCAGGTTGCCCACCTATCAGAGACAGCTGCTGTTTCCGTCGCAAATAAGGGTCCTGGCTCCCTCTCATCAGCCAGCAAGCCCAGTTTCTTGTTATGCAGGATTTCTTCATAGGTAACTTAAAAAACTTCAGTAACTTCTCACAAAGTTGCTGTCGACCACCTGAACATAAACTTCATCATGGAGCCTCTGAAACCCCTGAGACATCAGCATGAGAAGTTTCAGAAGGCTCTTTGCTCTGTTGAGTCTACTTAACACTGAAATCTTGCCATGTCTGTCATTCTTGCATTTCAGCACTGTCTATGCTGCAGGCTATGCCACTACCCTCCAGTACCATTCAGCCAGCATTGAACACTTGCTGTGTACCAATTTCTGTATTAGTGGTGGGGATACACAGTGGAGAGGAACCACCCCTTTCTCACACTCTCATTTCCATATTGCTGCAGATATCTTCACCTTGATGCCTCATTGCCTCTGTGCAACAACTTATCTACAGTGCTTTGAAACGCATTCCCCCGGCAGATGAACTCCCTTTGTCCCCAGTCTCTTAAGATAATGTGCCTTCTACTCATTTGCTGACACTTCCTTGAGTTTCCTTCCTTTTCTCTCATATCTACAGGTTTTTCTGGCTTTGGCCTATTTTAGTTTCCTACTGCCACTGTAACAAATTATTACAAATTTAGTGGCTTAGACAAGTGTATCATCTTACACTTCTGTGGCACAGGAGTGCAACACAGGTACTTGTTGGGCTACAATCTAAGTGTGCTCAGGACTGTGTCCCTCTTGGATGCTCTAGAGGAGAATTTGTTTCCTTGTACTTTCTAGCTTCTAGGGGCCTCCTGCATTCCTTAGCTATAGCCCCATCCTCTGTTTTCAAAGCCATCAATATCACATTGCTTTTCCATTCTTCTGTGACTTCCTCCTGACTTTCCTCTTTTGCTTCCATCTTCTACCTTTAAGGCCATTTTAATGGCATTGATCAAGGTGGATCATCCTGGGCAATCTTCCTATCTTAAGGTCAACTGATGAGCAACCGTAATTTGTCTTTGTCATGAGCCCTAACATACTCACAAGTTTTACAGATTGGGATCAGGGCATCTTAGAAGAGAGGCCACATTCTGTTTGTTCCCCTCAGCTAGACATTTGGAAACTATCCTAGGTTCTCTTCTTGTCCTCAATTTCCCAGTGTAATCTGTCATCTAATTCTGAGTAGCTACCTCCTCAGGGTCCCTGGGACAAGTGTTCCTTGGAGATTCTTCAAAGGCCCCTATTTTGGAATTCTAACATTTTGTGGGTGAAGGGAAGGTGGAGGATGTCACAGAAATTTTATAAAACAAGTTGAAATTGGGCTGGGCATGGTAGCTCATGACTCTAATCTCAGCACTTTGAGAGTCTGAGGTCTGCAGATCACTTGAGGCCAGGAGTCAAAGACCAGCTTTGGCAATATGGCGAAACTCTGTCTCTCCTAATATTACAAAACTTACCCCGGCATGATGGTACATGCCTTTAATGCCAGCTACTCAGGAGGCTGAAGCAGGAGAATCCCTTGAACCTGGGAGGAGGAGGTTGCAGTGAGCCGAGATCGCTCCCCTGCACTCCAGCTTGGGCGATAGAGCAAGACTCCATCTCAAACAAACTAACAAACAAAGTAGGTTTAGTCTTTTCAAATAGTCCCATATTTCTTGGAGACATTGTTTGTTCCTTTTTATTCCTTTTTCTCTATCCTTTTCTTCATGCTTCGTTGCATTAAATTGATCTTCAGTCTTTGATATCCTTTCTTCCACTTCATCGATTTGGCTATTGATACTTGTGTATGCTTCATGCAGTCTTTGTGCTGTGTTTTTCATCTCCATCATGTTATTTATGTTTTTCCTTTAACTCTTTATTCCAGTTAGCAATTCCCCTGACCTTTTTTTGAGGTTTTTAGCTTCCTGGCATTGGGTTAGAACTTTCTTTCTTGCTCGGAAGAGTTTGTTATTACCCACTTTCTGAAACCTACTTCCATCAATTCCTCAAACTCATTCTCTATTCAGTTCTGTTTTCTTGCTGGCGAGGAGTTGTGATCCTTTGGAAGAGAAGAGGTGTTCTCGTTTTTGGAATTTTCAGCCTTTTTGCGATTTCTTTTTTCATCTTTGTTCATTTATGTGCCTTCATTCTTTGATGTTGGTGACCTTTGAATATATATATATTCAATATATATATATAACATTATATATATATAAATTTATATATATAAAATAAAACTTGAATATGTAGTATATATGTGTATTCCTATATAGAGAGGAAATCCTTTTAGTAGATGTTGATA
Organism: Homo sapiens; assembly: GCF_000001405.40. NCBI lineage: Eukaryota > Metazoa > Chordata > Mammalia > Primates > Hominidae > Homo > Homo sapiens. Next base: position 18,478,254 of record NC_000024.10, read on the forward strand.
CTATGCCTTTCTGTTGTTAGTTTTCCTTCTAACAATCAGGCCCTTCTGCTGCAGGTGTGCTGGACTTTGCTGGCAGTCCACTTCTGACCATTTTTGCCTGTGTATCACTATCAGAGGATGCAGAAAAGCAAAGATTGCTGCCTGTTCCTTCCTCTGAAAGCTTCATCCCAGAGGGGCACCTGCCAGGTGCCAGCCAGAGCACTCCTCTATGATGTGCTTGTCAATCCCTGCTGGGAGGTGTCTCCTCATCAAGAGTCATGAGCTTCATGGACCCACTTGAGGAGGCAGTCTTTTGGAGATCTGCAGCTCTCTTCAGAGCCAGCAGGAAGGAAGGTTTAAGTCTGCTGAAGCTGTACCTACAGCCACCCTTTCCCCCAGGGGCTCTGTTTCAGGGAGTTGGAAATTTTGTCTATAAGCCCCTAACTGGGGCTGCTGCCATTCTTTCAGAGATGCTCTGACCAAAGAGGAGGAATCTAGGTAGGCAGTCTGGCTACAGCAGCTTTGCTGAGCTGCGGTGACTTCCCAGTGGCTTTGTTTATACTGTAAAGGGAAAAACCACCTACTCAAGCCTCAGTAATGGTGGACATCCCTGTCCCCACCAATCTCAAGCATTCCAGGTTGGCTTCAGACTACTGTGCTGGCAGCAAGAATTTCGAGGCAGTGGATTTTAGCTTGCTAGACTCCATAGGGGTGACATCCACTGAGCTAGACCACTTGGCTCCATGGCTTCACCCAATTCAAGGGAGTGAATGGTTCTTTCTTTCTGACATTTCAGGTGCCACTGGGGTATGAAAAAAAAAAAAAACTCTTCAAGCTAGCTCAGTGTCTCCCGAAACCTATTTTTACATTTTTAATCAAAATGTACATTTTTATGTCTTCTTACAATTTTTAACTTTTTACTGTTTTTATACACCTTGCATGAAAATTTATGTTTAGCACTTTCAGTTACATGTTATAATACTTTTATAATACATGTTATAATATACTTTTGGCAATTTTTACGTTAATGTAAAACCTGTTAAGTTTGTTTGTTTGTCTGTTTTTCTTGTAAATGTCAGTAATACTAAACCTTTCCTATGTGTACAACTGAATGATAAATTTGTACATTCACATACTTAACTATTAATGTTTGTTGGAAGCTGCATTTGCTATAAAGGTATTTTACGATAGCTCTGTTTTGTACTAGATGTCCCCAGACAATAGACAGAGACCCGGAATCCTCCTTCTGAAAGAGGACACTTATGCTGGGAAAGCACTTCATGTCCCCACGATTTCCTTGAGCTTATCCCATTGGTCCTTTGAGGAAGTGGACAGCAGTCTGGACTTTCTATGGTACCACGAGAAAGGCAGGAAAAGGCAGATCTTACCAGATGGCTGAATTAGTGTTGTCTTTTGGATATTCCAGTTGGAATTGGCAAAGGGACTGCCAGACTAGCGATATATGAGGAACAGAGAGTAAGAGAATGAGAGAGAGAGAGAGAGAGAGAGAGAGAGAGAAAGAGAGAGGAAAGAGGGAGCCAGTGTTAGGGGTGGATTCCTGAGACTTGAGGGATTTAGAGCCCTGGCCTGAGCCTTGCAGTTTCCTTCAGGTCAGTTGTCCTTCTCACACAAATCGCTTGAAGAGTAAAATGAGCAAAAAGATGGGGCAGGTGGCCAGAGACTCTCAGGATCCAGGAGTTTGCTTAGGATAAGCTGCCATTGCCCACAGCTTCCTGGGATGTAAGGGAGCCTCTGCCACCAATACCGGTCCTGGGTATCAGCAACCAATGTAAGGATTAAAGAAAGAGGAGAGAAACCTGAAGGGTAGCTTGACAGTCAACAGGGACAGGTTTATTTTTAATCAGTGTGAGAGGGGCGGCTGGCCAGGTTAAGTCAGAGCCACACTCTGTTAACAGACTAAGAGTATTCCGTGATTCAGTCTCACAGTGCTTATCAGAGGGTTGGACTGCCTCTGTGTCTCTTTGTTGTGGTTATCTGACAGAGAGTGTTGTGTGTCTGTTTTCATACAGCTTTCTAGAGTTGCAGGCATGTCCCCCATGTCTGCTTCTAGCTTCCGTATCTTAGTGCACCTGAAGGGAAAGGAATGTGCTTATTATTTGTAGTAAGAAGAGAAGTGATTTCCTTGAAATGCATGAGGCTAAAAAGAGAGCTGGAAGTTAATGTGGCAGTATTTGTTCAAGATGAAGGTGCTCCTGCTCTATCACTTTCTAGTCAGGTAATTGCACAGCTGTTAGTTTTGTTTTGTTTTGTTTTTTGGAGTAATTATATACTTAGATGTAAATTCTGTTGTCTGCAAATTCAAATCAGAAAATTTATATGATTCTATTTGATGTCTTTGCCATACACAAATGCATGCTTACATATATTATAACACCTGTGAGTTTTAAAAATTATTTTATGGTAATAAATAGTGATTTCTCAGCCCTCTGAAAAACAAGATTAAATTATTTTGTGTATTGAATATTCACAATTATTTAGGAAATCACTGAAGTTTATATTTTCTTAAATTTACTTTTCTACTGGTTAAATTGAAAGGTATTTTAGTAAGAAAACTGTAATAGAAAATTAAAATTACTGATAATATAAATCACTAAATGGTTTAAATTATTCTATTGAAGTTGTGGAAGTGTTGTTGTTGTTTTAATTATAGCAGCATAAAAATATACAATAAAATTTACCACAGCTCTTTATTTTCTCTCTCAAAGAGGAATTGTATTTAATCATTTTCTTTGTTAGATGTTTGCTCTTTATAAGAACGAGACTCTTTTTATTCAAATAGAAGCTGTTTTGTAATCTTGATTCTATTACACCAATGAATACTTCTTTTTCACAGAAATGCAACAACTTGAGCAAGAGTGATCAGTTACTAAGAGGAGTACCTAACGTCCTTAGAAGAAAAGATTCAGATCATAGGGATTTTATTTACAGAAATGTATTTACCTGTTTGTAATGTATGCCAGTTTAGGTAAGACATTTTCATGTTATATCAATGATGTTTTTATTTTTAAATATAAAATGAGAATCATTTTTTAATCAAGTTATTACATGTAATGTGTCCTAAAGTACAGGCAATATTCCATATACATATATACATATAGATACATATATATATATATATAAAAATGCATAGCAAATCTGTGTAACTTTAATGTATTTCATGTATTCTTAGGTTATTTATGCATTTGTTTTATTTTTCTGGTAATCTTTAAGATTAGATATTGTGCCCGATTGATGTTATCTTTCTCTCTCTTTTATTTATTTATTTATTTTGGAGATGGAGTCTAGCTCTGTGTCCAGGCTGGAGTGCAGGGACAAGATCTCGGCTCACTGCAACCTCCACCTCCTGTGTTCAAGTGATTCCACAGGCTTAGCCTCCCTAGAAGCTGGGACTACAGGTGTGCCACCACGCCTGGTTAAATATATATGTATATATATATATCTGTATTTTGTAGAGACGGGGTTTCACCATGTTGGCCAAGATGGTCTCAAACTCCTGATCTTGTAATCTGCACATGTCGGCCTCCCAAAGTGCTGTGATTACAGACTTGAGTCACTGTGCCCAGCCGATGTTATCTCTTAATGTTGCTTTTTGAAAAGTACTAACTTCCAGGTCATATCCCACACTATCTAAATCAGAATTTCTAGAACTTGGGAAAGGTATCCACATCCTTAGGGGATACCAATTAGTTGTTTTGCTTTTCAGGTTTAAAAATGACATCTATGAGAAACTTAGCGCATATGTATGCTTTTGTTAAAATAAAGAAAAAGAAATTTGGTGATAATGTAAATAAATAATTCACTTAAAATTTTTGTTGCTATTAGCATAAATTAAGAAATGCAGGTTTAAGTAAATGTCTCTTAGGGTAGTCTGATTTTCCTCACATCAGCCTATTGCACAGTAGTCCTAAAGGCATGGATAGATTGTCAGAAACGTACAACAAAAATATTTGTACTGTATTCAATGTTAGTGCAACATTTCAAAATTACTAATTTATGGATCTATTTAAAATTTAATTACTAGATAATATCTCAGTGATATTGATAAATATTAGGTCATATTTATATGAATGACTCAGACAATTAGCAGATCATTTTAAGTAATTTGTTTAAATTACAAATATTTTCCTATCAAAACTAATTTCTATGGTCACACATTCCTGTAATGAAAGTGTTATTTGTATTATTAATATTTACCTTCAAGAGGAAATACATTTTACCCTTTACTCTTCCTGCTCTAACGATCTCTGTGCTTTCTTTTCCTCAGCCTTGCCTGACTACCTCTGAGATGCTGGGATACTTTTAGTAGAGTAGGAGCATATATTATACAAACATAAACACAATAATTATTTTGAATGTAAAAGTATCATACTCAAGAACTCACAAAAATTTTGTCTTGCACAATTTAACTTGAGATTTTAGTTGCTTTTACAAAACCCATGATTGGTTTATAATATAACCTAAGTTTAATTTTAATTGAGGAAGTTCATTATACATTTATACATCTTAAGGCATTTAGGCAGTGTGTTTTAGGTATTAGGAATTTTTAAAATTTGAGAAAACTGAGTCAACACAGTTGCATCGCATCGTGTACCATTCCCTGTAAGGCCCCCAAAGTACCCAAGAATGAAACATACTAATGTTTCTATGACGAGAAATGAATATTCCCTTTATGGGTGAAGACTTAAATAGCTTCCCTCAATTAAGTCTTTATTACATCAGAAATTGAGTTACATAACAACCTTATTTTTAAAAGCCTTGCTTACTTGAGCTTTTCGAATTTCAGATAAAGTATTTTGAATCCCTCCTAATTATGATTTTGAAAATACAGTACTGAATAAACAGTCCAGGTGGGATAATATTAAAGGATTGTAATAAACAAACAAACAAACAAAATACAGAGGGCTCTGCTGCCTGTTGTAGGGAGTATGTGTCTTAAATTTGGAGAGTAAAAAGCACTTGCAGTAGAAAAGGGTTGCTTTGTTAATTTTTTTTTCTAAGTAGTTAGTGGGTACAGACTTAGTATTGACATAACTTGGCTTTTCTAGCATTTATGTGAGATATTCACTGTGACTTGATAAACCATTAGAGAATCACAAAAGGCATACATTTGTAACAACTCACAGGCTATAGCATAGAAAGTTTCACAATAGACCACAGTAAGGAAGTATTCAAAATTATCTGTATAAAAACTTTGTGGGTGCTCTATATTACAAAAACGGCAATGCAGAACATATGTGTGGACAGATTTATGAGCTCTTTATGAGTTAGTATAGTCAGGTGTCGGTAATTGGATATTTGAGGAAGTGGAGCAGGAAAGAGACAACACCTACGCCCCGGATGTGATTTGATAAGCTGAAGGAATAGTAATGCAATTTACTGACAGAAAAAGGAGAACCTCTTCGAGCGGATTGCATTTTAGAAACATATGGGAAACCAAATAAAAAATTGTAATGGGGAGTTGGATACATATGTCCAGAATTTGGAATCATCTAAAAGGATACATGTGTTACTATAGATGTAATAATGAAAAAAGTCATTGGAAGGAATGTCTTAGAATGGAAACTTTTTTTAAAAAAGTTAATGTTAACATGGTAGATAACATTAAGTTATCTAAAAGCAATCCGTAGCCTCTAAGTAGTTTAAATTAGTATGTAAGAAGAATAATTTCTTTCTTTTTCTTTTTCTTTTTCTTTTTTTCTTTTTCTTTTTTTTTTTTTTTTTTTTTTTTTTTTTGGGAGAGAGTCTCGTTCTGTCACCCGGGCTGGAGTGCAGGAGGACAATCTCGGCTCGCTGAAACCTCTGCCGCCTGGGTTCAAGCAATTCTCTGGGTCAGCGTCCTGCGTAGCTGGGATTACAAGCGCCTGCCACCACAGTTGGCTAATGTTTAAAAGAGATGGGGTTTCACCGTCTTGACCAGCCTGGTTTTGAGAAAAATCATAATTTTAAAAAACTGTGCTTATGCTAAAAACAGATCCTTAGCATTCTTCCAGTATTCTTAGTTGTGTCATTTGCTTTAAAATAAGCCTAAGAATTGCACCAGAATTAGCTGCACAACTCCGCCAGGAAATGCAAAGTTTTATTGTTATAGGATTCTAGAAACAATCATATTATATATCTGGAAACTCTATACACACATGCCCACACACACAAAAACACACACAATTTTCACTGAATAGACATCATAATAAGCACACTGAAAACCTAATAAAGTTATTATAAAGCTGTAGAACACAATGATTAAAAGCAAATGATAATCTTAAATTTTAAAGAACTGAAAATATTAGAATTTAAGAATTAAAATGTTCTAATTGTTCTTTGGTCCACTATCATAGATTTCAAGCAGATTAATTAATGTAGTAGAATGACATTAATAGTTCCTATCAATGGGATTTAATTTATACCATTTTGAAAATAGTTTGTTGTCATATATTGTTTACTGTGTGACTTCTTGTATTTGCTCTAAAGTAAGGCTAAATCACATCTTAGCCTCATCTCATCCAAGGAAGTGATTACAGTAAAGGTATCCATGTTGGGTTAATGTGTAAAATAGTGGTTGTGGATTAATGTGGGTTTGATGTAGGAATTTATTATTCTCCTTATTAAGATTAGCTTGAAATGTACTGTGTGACGAATATTTAGTCTATTCAATAAGTGGTATTCAACAGATATATATCAACAAGTGCTATGTACCAACCACTGTTCAAGGTGGCAGATAAAAATATAGGCAAAGATAATATTAATCCAAATTGCACATGAAAACATTTGATACTATTGATAATGTGGCAGATGAAATGATTTTCACTTTATTATAATTTTTAAGAGAATGAGATAATTAAATGTGTACTGTAAGTGTTACAAGAAGCCTATCCATGTTATTCTTTACTGAAATAATTAGATTACAAAAATCACCTTTTTCAAAAGAAATTTATATTATAAATGCTCCCATGGCAAAAACAAAAAGCCTGGTCTTTGACTTGGAATATATTCTTATTATATAAAGTAAGATACATGGCAGAGAGAAGAAAAAACAATTTTATTCATCTGTCCTGGTAATGACAAAAAAGACAGAAGTCATATTTTTTTTGCAATTTTAGATTGGACTCCTAAGAATAGCAGACAGTTGGCAGTGTAAATATGTTGTAAATTAGCTAGCCCTGAAACAAAATGACTGATCATTAGCAAATCGGGCAACTTTTATTATTGCCATTGTAAGTTGCTTTACCTATCATGAGTGTGCTCTTATACTATTAGAATTGAAATCTATTCTGTACTGCCAATTTATATCCCTGTTTTATAATCTTGGGATTCTTGCTTTACATTCTAAAATGTTGTCTCTGAACAATTAGTGAATATCAAGTAAGTTTTTTATTTTTTTTAAAGGTAGTCTTAAAAGTCTAATGATCTTTAGTGAAAATAATGAGGAGATTTGGATATGGTGGTTCATTTCTGTAATCCCAAGTAGTTGGAAGGATGAGGCAGGAGTATATTACTTGAACCCTGGAGTGTGAGGACTGATTGAGCTATGTGCTATCATCATGCCACTGCAGTCCAGCCTGGGCCACAGAGCATAATCTGAATAAAAAATAGAACTATAAAAAGTAATATAGCATTGCTGTTTTTAATTCACTTGTAGTAATGCATAGATAGCATATTTAGCCAAAACGTTTTAAACTGGTAATATGCCAAGAGGTCAGATGTTTGAGTCAGATTGCTAGCTAGCTCCTCAACTGGCTAAATCTGTAGTATTTTGCAAAGTATTTCTCCTAAATGTAATTAGTTTTTTTATTTGTTAAATGGATTTACTAATGCTACCTGCTTAGGAAACTAACTCTGATATTAATTAGTTTACCTCAAAAACTTGTTCTGAATGACATATATTAGGCAATAAAATATTAGCTACTACTTGATATTACAAATTCTTTTCATCTGTTTACTTTTAAAGCTCATAGTGAGCACAATAAAATTCCAGAAGACCGATGATGGCTGTTAGATATAACAGAACGCTCTGAGAGTCACTATCAGAAATGAGCATATCAGTGCATAAAATGTATGGTAGCTTTATTTAGCAGCTGTTTCATTGTTTACCATAGCATTTTTTCTTACAATTTTGTAGAAGCCTGTGTCAGAATCAAGAAGTTTTTTTTAGAAGATGATAATCATGGATGATTGAAATCATACTGAAAATTATTCTAAATTCTATTATATTTATAGTTGTATTTTCTTTCAAAGGATAATGGAAGTCTTAAAAAGAAAATGGATACTTCTCTGCCAGGGGAGATACTGTGATCATGAAGGTGGCTTTCCCAGGGCAAGGCTGATCTATTGCATTCTGGATGTGCTGACTCCTACGATTTCCCCAAGTGTGGGAAACTCAACTGCATAATTTGTGGAAGTAATGACTGTGTTTGCACTTTCACGTGGAAAAAGAAAAGGAAAGGAAAGGAAAGGAAAGGAAAGGAAAGGAAAGGAAAGGAAAGGAAAGGAAAGAAAGAAAATTGACTCGTTTAGTGGATATAGAAACTTGAAAGAAGACCATATACTGGAAACAATTCCATGTGTCTAAAAAATGGTCTCCTCCAGTACACAAAAATAAAACATCAAATGTTTATTTCTTAGAAAGATCAAATAGTGCTAGGATGACACTTACAAAAGCTTTCAAACTTTGGATGAGTGGGCAGGGGGAAGCCCCCAAAGGGCAGCAGATAAATCTGGGAAAAAGAGAAATAATTTTTAAATGTGTAAGCCAATGTTTATGTATTAATATTGCCCTTAAAAATATTTATTTTATTAAATGGTTAGCATTGGTTTGTTTGGTCTTAGAAAGTATTTCCTTTTGGAAATGACTTGTGTGAAATGGTCTAGAAATTATGTAGCTAAAATAATTCATATTTTTCCCTGTATTACAAATCATTTGCAGGCATTGCAAACATATTAAAGATGCCAGCTTTTTTGCACTTCTTAACGTTTATTCTAAATGAAGAAAATTAAATATAAGGTACAAAGTTACTTTTATAATCAAATAAATCAGTCTTTTTAAATATTTAGAATTTGAAGCCAGATGACAAAGATGCCTTAGATGAGCATAAGTCCTCTCCAACAGAATATGCTCCATTATATCCTCATCCAACAGGCTTTATGTATCAATAGGTAAATAAATAAAGTTTTTATTTTTCTTTTTTGAACTCATTTTCATCTTTACTTACGTGGTTTTCAATTATTATTTTCTTACATATTTTGTAACGTATCAGCTGTGACTGTAAATTAAGAAAAACATTATCTAGGGCAGCTTTGGCAAGATGATCAGAAGAAGAATGCTTCAAGTGGGGTCATGTTTTATTTTACCCTTTTGATATTTTGTTTGTAATTAGGTACTACCTTGTCCTAGTTCATAAAAATGTGTCATATTTCAATAAGATCATAAAGTAATTTATTTAATCTCTCTCAAAATCCAGTGACAGTAAAAATTAACAATTTTACGAGTTTTCATACAAAATTTACCAAAAAACAAATACTGACCAAAAATATAAATAAAAACCATTTCTGAGCACTTCTAAGTTAAAACAAATATTTTTATTAAAATATTATGGGAAGACTAGACACGACGTGAGTAATGCACTTTTCTCTTTCTTTCTGTCTTTCTTTGTTTCTTCCTTTCTTTCTCTCTTTCTTTCTTTCTTTTCCTTTCTTTCTTTCCTTCTTTTCCTTCCTTTCTTCTTTCTTTCTTTTCTTTTTCTTTTCTTTTCCTCATTCTCTCTCTCTTCTTTCTTTCTTTTCTTTCTTTCTTTCTTTCTTTCTTACTTTCTTTCTTCCTTTCTTCCTTTCCTTCTTTTTTTCTGATGCAGTTTCACTCTTGTTGCATGGGCTGTACTGCAATGTTTGCGATCTTGGCTCACTACAACTTCCACCCCATGAGTTCAAGCGGTTCTCCTGCCTCAGCCTCCCAAGTAGCTAGGATTACAGGCATGCACAACCACGTGTGGCTAATTTTGTATTTTTGGTAGAGACAGGGTTTCCCCTTGTCAGCCAGGGTGGTCTGGATCTCCTGACCTCGTGATCCACCTGCCTTGGACTCTCAAAGTGCTGGTATTACAGGTGGTGAGCCATGGCACCTGGCTAAGTTAATCATTTGAAAGGTTTTCTTGTGCTGTAACATTTAGCATGACTTCTCACCAAGTTCATGTAGCCAAGGGATGGAATCACCCAGAGTAACAGCTTTATTGCTCAGAAACCTTATTTTTTAAAACCAGAAAAATGTAAAAAACAAGCAGATTATAATTCTACACGTTCTTCACCTTTAATATAGTTTAATTTCTTGTTGAGATAAGGAATATTGCCATATGTTTAATAGAAATTCTAAAATATTAAAACCAACATGAACACTTTTCATATGTCACAATGTGTGGAGCATGGTAGACTGTATTTTTTTTTTTTTTTTTGGACTGGGGCACTTTTGTGATAGAATTTACTAAGTGATGCTTGTGATGCTTTTAAAACATGGCTTCATCTAATTCCAGTGAAGTGCATATTATCAGAATCCACAGTATTTTGAATTACCAGTGTGCCAAGATTTCTGACTGCTTTGCTACCCAGTCACAATTTTCCTTGAAAGCAGTAAGGCTCGTAGTTTATTTCTATGTTATTTTAAAGTGTTTGTTGTTAGAGGTAGGGTTTACTGAAGATATAAGCTCCTTCCGATTTTAAATAATTCATACAATTTTTTTCATTCAATATAATATCTCTATGCCCATTGTTGGAAACAATAGGATATGAAGTGTGTTGCACAGTGTGAGGAACAGCAATTCGTTTGTTTGAACTGGTTAGAATATACTATGTTTTTATCTTTTTATAGTATGTAAACATTAGCATTGAACATTATGAATGCCAAATGCAGTCTACATTAGTCAAGACCTATAAATACACTATCAGGGCTACTGATATTGGTACATTGTAATCCAACTATGTCATGGGCCTTCCTATTTGGCCTATTGTTATTTGCAGTCTACATTTCTCTCCAGGCCTAGACTTAGATTTGGGAATTTCTGTTCCTTAAAGAGTACAAAAGAAATAAGTGTAGATTAATTCTATTCCTGCTTTACTGCTGCACCTCTATAAGGTTGCCATCTCAAGTGAATACATCATGATGTCCTGGTTCTAATCACCTTCCAATCATCCTGGAGAGGATTCTTCAAATGGGAACCAACATGTCCTTTTTTAATGTACCCCTTAAATTTGTACTATTAAGAAGATGCCAGGATGTGACTCAGCCCATTGAAAGTCCATGTGTCACATACAGGCTTCTGTTTGAAAGTCCAGTTTTCTATTGTTCACATGGCCAGGACGTTGATTACTATTTACTACTCATGAATTCAAACAATTGCCTTTATAAATCATGGTTTAATGTTTTTAATCCTTTATTTAAAAAGAAAAAAAACAGCATGCAGTTCAATCATTGAGGTAATTTGCTCATTCCATCTTCAATTGGTCTTTTTATTTCTGGTCTCTGTGAAAGCCTGCCAACAGGACATTGTTCATCCACCTTGAAACGGCCATTCATCAACCAAGCAGGTTGTTGTTGTCAATAGGGAGCTCTTCAAAGGGCATTGCCCATGTGACAGTGGGATCCAGTAATTCCTGAGGTGGTTCCAGACTACATGCTAGAAAATTCCCTACTACCTGCTCTTGAACAGGATGAGCAACTCCTTGCACTTCCCTGGTAACGTTTTTCTCCTATAAAGCCATTTTTTATGTTATCTTGGAAGTGTTCTGAGCACTTCCTCATTAGACTGTTTCCTTACTTTGCCCAACACGTTATAGGTGTTGCAAGTTTTATAATTATTTTATGGTCTTCAGTCAAAGAAGCAGGCAAGGCAAGCTAGTAATTATCTTTCCAATGGCACGTATTATTTCATGGCATCCAGGAGTGCCCTGGACCACAATTTCCAGCTAATGCTGAAGAGGGGCATGTGTGGGTTTTCTCTCATCACCTTAGTCTGCCCAAGAACATGTGCCAGTACTTCTAAAATCAGAATTTGGATCACAAAGCCCCAACGTGTGGAGAGAAAGAGCTTTTTACAATTCAGAAGTGGACAGCTTTAGTGAAATTTCTTATTTAAATAGACCATTATTTATTGTTTCTTTAAATTGATGCATTATAATTTTACCTATTTACAAAGTAGAACTATTATTTTGATACATGCACACAATGAGCAATGAGCAAATTTTTAAATGGCTTATTGGTAATTGGTATATTAGTCATTTCAGACATATATGACATATTTGTTTCAAGAACTTTCCAAATCTAAACTTCTAGTTATTTTGAAATCTGTAATAAGTTATTCATACCTATAGTCTCCCTTCTATACAATCAAACTTTAGGACCTATTCCTTCTAACTTTATTTTTTACACATTAACTAGCTCACTTATTTGTTTGCTCAATGTCTTTCACAGCCTGTAATAATATGTCATGCTATTCTCTACCTCCATGAGATGAAATTTGTTATTTCTGAGATATGAATAAAAACATGCAATCCTTGTCCTTTATATTTTTTGGCTAGTTTCACTTAATACTTGTCCTTTAAATGAAGGCTTTTTTCTGACTAATGTTTAGTTAATGTATTGAGGTTTTTATACAACTGAAATAAGCACTCACCTAAAATTTCTCTTAACTGTTGCCAAAACTCTCTGGGTACATAGGATTGCAGTTTGAAAACGGCTAAATGAACAAAGATGTCTTGAAGGTGTCCTAGGACATTAATATTGTACGATTTTCTATCTCCTGTCTTACTTAACTCTGGTTTGTCTTCAAATTAATAAAAATATTCTAGTAAATTATCTTGGGGATCAACATTAAAGACCAAAAAAAAAAAAAAAAAATCAGTAATGCACTAGTTTAACTTTATAAATATAAGGAAAAAAGTTGAAACAAATACCAAAAGTTACTGAATAAAATGAAATACATTTTTATACTCTTAATTTTAAAAGCACTTTATTTACTTTTTATTTTTTACTATTATTGCTTATTTGAAACATGAACTGTTATAACTGGGTTCACGGAGAAGTTATCATAAAAGAGTAGCAAAGAAATAACATACACTGCAGGTAATATAAAATAGTAAAATTTTGTCAAGTATGCAGGAGTGAAGACAAATGAGTCCTCTTCTACTTTGGGGGAATACGTTACATAGGGTTTGTAAGATGGATTCAGTATCTTTTTTGAGAATAATGCATTTTCCAAATTACATAAGATTATTTACTTGAGGAGATCAGTATTATTAAGACTCAATAAATATGCCTATTAACCGTAGTTGTGGAAGGAATGAGAGCATAGACAGAAGCTCTAAAATCAAAACATGATTGTAGCCATAGAGCAAAATACAGTTGGTTTACAAGTGTCTGAGAGGTTTCTGTATGCTTTTCATTGTGTCTTAGGTTTGTGATGAAGAAATAAACAATGCCCAGTTCCTGCCCTGGAGAAGCTCATTGCATAGAAAAAGGAAAAAGGCAGATATACATGCCACAGTACAGTGCTGAGACAACATAAATCACAAGCAACCAAGTACAAAGGTAAGATATGTAATTTGAAATTTTATATTCTGTTTCTATTGCTTCTTGCTGTTGTGAGTAGCCATCTCTATATGTGTTAAATTCAACACCCTAGGGGTAACACGGACTATGGTACCAGAACTTACATTCCAATTTTTCTTCCAATAGTGGCTGTTAACCAAGTATTGGTGAATATCCTATATGAAGATTCTGCTAAAAGTAAAGCTACCCTGACTGCGATGCATGGATGATACAATTTACTGCGTCTAGGAAAGAGAAAGAAAGTGTGTGGGCCGGGCGCGGTGGCTCCCGCCTGTAATCCCAGCACTTTGGGAGGCCGAGGCGGGCGGATCACGAGGTCAGGAGATCGAGACCATCCCGGCTAAAACGGTGAAACCCCGTCTCTACTAAAAATACAAAAAATTAGCCGGGCGTAGTGGCGGGCGCCTGTAGTCCCAGCTACTTGGGAGGCTGAGGCAGGAGAATGGCGTGAACCCGGGAGGCGGAGCTTGCAGTGAGCCGAGATCCCGCCACTGCACTCCAGCCTGGGCGACAGAGCGAGACTCCGTCTCAAAAAAAAAAAGAAAGTGTGTGTTTTGTAATTTCCATAAATGATAAGTGTTGATACACTAGTAGCTGAAAGACAAACTATTTCTGCCCACTGAAAGGAAAAAATGAAGAATTATAGGAAAACCATTTACTACAGTTAAACTAGACTGATTTTTAAATTTACCTTCTGTCGATATCTATACAAAAAGTAAAATAATAATAATAAAGGGCTTGAGCATAAACATTACCAAAATTTATGTATTCCATGTTCACTTATTTGGAGGTATATCCTAAATAGGTGATCTGCTGACCTAACTTCTTTACGCTTTATTATAAAATGAATACTTTTCATAGGCAGTGTGATCATAATTCTTAACTAATATTTTTTACAAATTCACATAGCATAATATGAAGAACAAATTTGTTTCTTTAGCAGAAAAAGCTTTCATTTGGGAAAAATATAGAGAGAATTTTAAAAATAAGCACAGCTTCTGAAATGCAAATAATATAAATATGTCAGTTATAGTATCTCAGAGATTTTAGCTATATTATGAAAACATACTTCCTACATGATTATTTTAAAGCACAATAATTTCAGAGACAAAAGAGTAGCTGCTATCAGAATCTTCAAACACAGTAACAGAAATTAATAATTAGAATTTACCTCACCGTTCTGCTTCTCATCTTCAAAAAATCATTGTCTATATTTTTACCTATGCATTCAATTGCGAGAACACTGCTTCCAGTGGAATATATATATATATATATATATATATATATATATATATATATGTGTGTGTGTGTGTGTGTGTGTGTGTGTGTGTGTGTGTGTGTGTGTATAGCTGCTGGATCACAAAATTCATGTGATAGGTGGCACCAGCAGTTTGAGTCCCACAAATATTTCTGGTGGGTGAGATCTAACAGAGTGCAGATATTCCCCCTGAAAAAGTGCTTCACAACCTGAGATAACAAGAAAAAATAGTGCTTGTACTATGAAAATAATAACTCTGCCTACTCTTCTTTCCGTCAAGTGACAAATTAATATTAACAACAACTCATTTATCAACACTGCCGTTTTGAAAGAGTACTTTAGATTTTTATATTAACAACAAATCAAGTGACTATTATAGATTTTTAACTTCAGACCCTTTAGGTCCATATTTTAATGACATAACATCTGTTTGTTTAAAAAGGAAAGTATTTGTTTAAAAAAACCTCTTTTGAATATACATATAACTATGTCAATTCAATTGTTAAATAAATTAACATACAAAGTGTTTTTAAAAAGAAAACTCTTCTCTCTACATGGTTGCCACAAGACAAATAAAGATCTGATCTTTTAAGCAGTGAGTTTAGTACAAAACTCCTACAATGTGCTAGAAAATATGCTCACACAGAGAAAAACATAAATATAATTTCACATTTATCAATTAAA
This sequence comes from Homo sapiens, assembly GCF_000001405.40. NCBI lineage: Eukaryota > Metazoa > Chordata > Mammalia > Primates > Hominidae > Homo > Homo sapiens. Next base: position 18,493,781 of record NC_000024.10, read on the forward strand.
GTTATGTACAGAATGCTGTTGTTAATTGTATTCTAAAACCTCAGTTTTCTCTTGAAATAAACTAAATTTTGTTATCATTTGTTAATTTACTTATATTACCTCCCACCCTGAGTTTCAGTTCCATGTAAGATTTGAACATTGCTACTTACTTTGCTGTACTGACGTGGATATTTAGAAGTAATACAATGCACCCCAAAGTTCTCTTCTCGTATTATGAAAGTGGGTTTCATTGAATTACTTTCAAAGTAAACTATTATTAATGAAGAAAAACAGCTTTATAATTTAAAAACTCACTAGTTACTGCTTTGTCTATGTAATATATTGCATTCAATCAGTCTACTATCTTTCTGAGGTTCTTTCCACAGCCCATAGCTAGTGCCACAAGTAGATCAAAACCAGGATTGATGGCAATGGTAGAGCTACAGACTGGAAGAGCTGGCTCTGCTGGCAGTTCTTTACTTCTTAAATACTACAGTTAAACTTGATGCAGGGAAGAGAACAACATCAATTAATTCCTAGTAAGTTAGAAAAAGAAATCACATGTTATTAGTAGAAAACATATGTTAAGAAAAATATGTCTTTTCAAGAAAATACTTTTATGTTTATTTGACATAAACATCTCATTATATCTTGAAACAATTTTGGATTGTGTTCCAAAGAAAAATCATTTAAAAAAAACCGAGGACAATCAATAAATGTAATTCATTTCCAAAATTAGATTTTTGAAGAAATTTCTAAAACTTGAGAGTTTTACCCAAAAGAAAAATAACATTCTAAATTAACCTACTCTTTTAATTACACATTAATGGAAGTAAATTTATTTTCAAAAAAAGAAAATGCATTAAAATTACGTTATTTTTCTTGAATTATGAGACATATAAACAAAGTCATCAAAAAGATGATATAAAAATAAGTTTTTGCAAGATGGATGTTTTCTCAATTAGAAATTCAATCAAGGACAAGGCATGGTGACTCATACCTGTAATTTCAGCACTTTTGGAGGCGAAGGCAGGGAGCATACTTGAAGCCAAGAGCTTGAGACAGGCCTGGCCAATATGGTCAAATCCCATCAGGTGTGGTGGTGCTCACCTTTAATTTCAGCTAATCAAGAAGCTGAGGCAGAATAATCACTTGAAACTGGGAAGCAGGGGGTTGCAGTGTGCCAAGATTGCACTGCTATACTCCAGCCAAAGACACAATGTGAGATTCCTTTATAAAAATAAAAGAAAATAAATTAAATCAATTAAGAATTGAGATATACTGCTTATTTACTTTTCAATGCAGTTTGTGGCAACTCTGAACTGCAATTACAAAAATGTCCTAAATAAAGCGCAGCACACATTTCAAAGTTACTATAACCTCACCTCTGCAGAAAGAAAGCTTTTTATTTTTAAATGCTGCTCCTCTTCCTGTGTCTATGTGTCTTTAATGTTCAATGTGAACATTGTTGATTGTGAACATGTACTGCTTGTTTTTGTTTTTAATTTCTGTGTTAGTTTGCTGAGGATGATGGCTTCCAGCTTCACCCATCTCCCTTCAGAGAACATGATCTCCTTCTTTTATTGGCTGCATATTATTTCATGGTATATATGTGCCATGCTTTCTTTATCCAGTCTGTTACTGATGGGCATCTGAGTAATTCAATGCCTTTGCTACTGTAATTAGTGCTGTAACACACATACACATGCACCTATTATTAGAATAGAATGACTTTTTTTTGAAGGGGGGCTATATACCCAGTAATGAAATAGCTGAGTCATTTGGGTTTAAGCAATTGTCCTGCCTCAGCCTCCTGAGAAGCTGAGACTGCAAGTGCCCGCTACCATGCCCAGCTCCTTTATCTTTTTAATTATTGTCACATCAAATCTAGAACTAAGCATGTGAAAAGAAAACTAGGTATGAGGAAAATGAAAAGCAAACCACAATGAGAGATATAAATGTATATTAAATAGAATGGCCTGTAATCAGAAAGAAATGACAGATGTTTGTGAATATATGGAAACATTGGGAAGCACATCCAAATTGCTAGTGGGAATATAAAGTGAGGTTGCTTCTTTAGAAAACAGTCTGTTTCTTAAATAATTTGAGTACATTTGCATATTTTCCAAAAATCAAGGTGTATTTATGCTAATTTGTATAGGAATGTTTGTAGTAGCATTAGTCACGATATAAATGTTTCCATCAACTCCTAATGTGGAGGTAGACCTAGGCCGATGCTACCCTTGCCGTGCATTGGCATCATACGTTCACCTACCATATATCTGATATGATTGATGCAAATCCATATATTCTATAATGAAACCACCAAGATAAAGAATTTAGACAAAATACTGAAACTTTTTTGCCTCAGTATGCCTGGCTTAATAACAGGAAAGAATAGCAAGCCTGTTGCAGAAATCTCAAGCTTAGGAGACCCCAGCATTGTAAAGAAAGGAAACTCTGCCTTAGAAGGAGGCATTGTCTTTACCTTTCATGGGTGTTTCTTATACATAGCCCCTTGAGGATAATCTGCAACAGAAGGCTGTAAGTCACAAACAGCCTCATACTGTATGAATCCATTTATATGAAGTGTCTGTAATAGGCAAATCCATAGTGACAGAAAACGGCTTATTGGATACCAAGGGCTCTAGGAAACGGGGAAGCTGGGAGTTAATGGTAATGGGTGCAGAGGTGTTTTCATTTTTTTGATGATGGAAATCTTCTGTATTTAAAAAGTGGTGATGTTTGCACACCTTTGTGAATACCCTGAAAAAAAACAGAGTATGTACTTTAAAATGGCTAATGTGATAGTTTGTGAGTTATCTCTCAATTAAAAAACTGTTGAAAGCTTGGTCAAAGTTTTGAGCACTACGAGCCTTAGCAGGAATGTAGATGCAAGTTAAACACGAGACAAAAGTATTGAATGGGCCTCAGTCACATAAAGTGGCAGAGAAGTGAACAACTGAAAAAACAATGTGAGCTAAACTCAAAATTGGAATTGAATAAGAAAGAATGCTTTCTCCAGTCTACACAGCAAAACTGGGGGAAATGGCCATGTAGGTGGATGATGGTTTACTTATAAATAATGCCTAGAAATATGCCCCTAAATGTTAAACCATTTTATATAAGAAGGCGAAACTCAGAATCTAGAAAGAAGTTGGCAATATCCGTTTTAAATTATAAATTGTGGAGCATACACCTGAAGAATTTAATGTACCTTTTAATCCTTGTTATACATAAATAGAAGCAGACAGAATTATCTAGTTTGACAATAAAACCAGCAGGATAAATAATTTAGACAAATTATGTAACTTTTTATTGCTTCAGTCTCCACAGTTTAATAAGAAGACCAAATAATAAGTCGTGTTGCAGATATTATGTCTTTGAACCTTTTAGAATAAAGGTCATGCCAGGCATGATTACTCACACATTCAATCAAAACAATTAAGTGTGGGGGGCCAAGGCGGGTGGACGACCTGAGGCCAGGAGTTTGACATCAGCCTGGCCAACATGGAGAAACCCCGTCTGCATTAAAAATGTCAAAAACAAACAAACAAACAAAAAAACTGCCAGTTGGTCTGGGAGGCCCCTGAGTTCCCAGCTACTCAGGAGGCTGACACAGCAGAATTGCTTGAACCCAAGAGGCAGAGGTGGCAGTGAACTGAGATCCTGTCACTCCAGCTTGAGCAACAGAGCAAGATTTAATCACACTCCACCCCCGGGCCATAAATAGATAGATAGATAGATAGATAGATAGATAGATAGATAGATAGATAGATAGATAAATTTAAGTGCAAATATATCAAGTATTGTTTATGCCAGTTCACCTGACAAAAGACAAAAATCCATGTTCTGATGGAATTTACATTTTGGCTTTAGTGAAAAGTAGTGACAACAGCTAGTGATTTTATTTTTAAGTAATAAAGATAAGGTTGGTGGGTTCATTTATAAGCAGGTAAATAGTATAAGCTCAAAGGAGATCTGAGCAAACTTATTGAAACAACAAGGAGTGCAAAACCTCTGAAGTTGTAGCCTACACTGAGGCTCAGAACAAGAAAGAGGACGGTAGAAGAAGATAAGCAAAATATAAGAAGAAGAAAATAATATGCAGTGGTTTATTACATTATAAAGACCATGGTTTTATCTTAGGACAAAGGGAAGCTGGGATTGAATGCTAATAGGTAGATTTACTTTTTAAGGTAAGGACAAATAGTGATGGTTGCATAACGTTGAGAATATCGTGAAAATCACTGAATTTGTACTTTACAATGGCTAATTTTATAGTATCTGAGCTATAACTCACATAGTTGTAATAGTGTAATAGTTGTAATAGTGGAAGATAGGAGATCACTAAAGAGGCTGAGTTAATCAGATGGGAAATGTGGATGACCTGTATCTGGGTGACAGCAGGAGAAACAGGGAAAAGTGGTGAGATTCGGGACCCGTTTTAAAAGGAAAACATGCAGAATTTGGGGATTAATAGAAATGATGAGATGTAAAGAAAAGCATCACTGTTGACCTTACAGTTTTAGGCCTTTGCAGCGGGATGTAATTACTATCAGGTGAAATGGGAAACACCTGGGGAAAGTTTTTTGGCAGGAGCATCAGAATTCAGTGTGTAGCCTTGAGATCAAATTGTCTGTTAAACATGAGTATGTGCATTAGAGTCATCCATGATTTGGGCTTTAGTAAGAGACTGGCTGGAGATAACAATCTGGGACTCAGTACCATTTAGAAATCCATGGTACTGAAGAGATAACTGGGAGATTGAGAGTAAACTCACTAGGAATAGTTCAAAGAAGAGACAAACTAAGAAATAGTTGTTACATTTGGCCAGGACTGGTGGCTCACACCTCCAATGGCAGCACTTTGGGAGCCTGAGGCAGGCAGACGGCTTGATCCCAGGAATCAAGACCAGCCTGGGATACAAGGAGAGGCCGTGTTTCTACCAAAATTAGCTAGTCTGGGTGGCCTGTAGTCACAGTCACCCTGGAGGCTGCAGTGGAAAGATCGCTTGAGCCTGGGAGGTTGAGGCTGCAGTCAGTTCTTGATAAAGCACTGCACTCCAGCCTGGAGAACAGAGGCAGACCATGTCTCAATAAACACACAAACAACAAAGACAAGAAATTTAAAAAACAAACTATTATATTTGGCAAAAAGGGAAGCTAATTATTTTAAATATAGTACATTTGGTAGACTGTTGGGGATGAAAGCCTGACTGGTAAAGGTAAGTAGAATTTTCAAATGAGAGTGTAATATCAATGGTAAAAATATTCACCTGAAATTCAAGGTAAAATTTTAAATTTAGCAATTAGGGTGTCACTGATGACCTTTGAGAAAGGACTATGACTTCACTGTTGTGGGATAAAACTTGAGGCAGAATAAGAACTGATGGAAAGGAAATAGCTAATAGAAATTCTCTGTGCAAATTAAAGCAGAGAAAAAGGTCAGTACCAAAAGAGACAGTTTTTTTTTGTTGTGGATCATAAAATATGGAGTTTTTTATACATGTGTGATAAGGAAATCAGGGCAGTGAAGAAGAGAATAAAATTAATTATGCAAAAGAGGAAAATATCAATCATATTGATGAGTTGGGTCCAGGAGGATGTATTTTAAAATGTGATAAATGTTTTGTCTTTGAATAAATAAGTGCATATAGATAAAGGTGTGATTAGGATCAGAATAATGAACAACAGAAGTTGAGGAATTTAATACTCTGCAGCATAAAACTTAGCAAATTGGAGGAAAGCATATTTATGATAAGTTATGAGAATAAAAGCAATGCAAAGAAAGTTCAGGAAATAAACATCTTATCAAATAAAAATAAAATAGTAACTTCTTGATTCTTCCCTTCCACTTACTTAAACTACTGCTTCTATTTTTCCCATTGTTATATTTTAACAAAAGACCAATGTCTTCTGGGAAAATATTATGTTTTCTCTCTGGTAATTTGCATTAGATTCTTACACCTTTCATGCCTTTTTATTATATTAACAACCTTTTTAGTCAGAAAAAGGTTTCTGTTCCAATATTTACTTGAGTTAAAAGTCCTGTTGCCTTTTCTCTTCCTTCTTATTCATTTTTGTTTAATATTGCTTCCCACACATAATGACTAATTGACCTTGACAGTATATCAGTAATTTCTCTGGCAGTTTGTCTGCAAAGAACCTAATAAGAGCTATTTCACCCCACCCCTACCCCCCCCCAACAAAATAGAATTTGGATCTTCTATAACCATTCAAATCTGGATTTCATATCTATTTAAATTGAAACTTTTCTTGATTAATAACTTCATTAATAACTTGATTAATAACTTCATAACTTTACTTGATTAATAACTTCATAACTTCTGCATTAAATCAAGCCAAGAATCAGTATTTTAAATGAAAAATGGCCAACAACTAACAATAAGTGGTACTTAAAGGGCTCACTATTTTCTATTCCTCTCTCAATCAGAAATACCTGTTAGATACTTTTCTCAGTGTCATCATGGTTAGATTTGGCTTAGACATTGTGCCCTTTTGTTTTAGTTGATGTCAGCAGGAGACACTGGCTGAAGGTCACAAAAAGGAAACTTAGGAGAAATGTGCACCTTTTTTCTTACTACTTGAAGACAGGACTATCATCTTGGTATTAAGGGGTAGTCAATGCCTCATACAAGTTTTATTGTCTATTTCCTTTAAACAATATGTACTGAAGAAATAGTACGTCAAGTTACTGGACATATTGACTGAATTATGTCAAATGCTTTAATTGACTAAATTATGTCAAGTCATGGTTTAATATTTCTTAAACAAGACATAGATTTTTAAGTTGTGATTAGTGAGCCGTATTTACTTTTTTATATTTTCCATGAACAGTGAATTATACAGAATCTGGTTTTCTTCTGTTTGGATTTGATACTGAGCTATACTGGATTCACTGACAAGAAGAGTTTGAATTAGCAGCATGCTGAGAATGGACACAGTGTTTGAAGAGACTGATAAAGAAAGTACAGGAGGAGTTTTATTTTTGGAAGAAGAAATGGTCCTTGGGCACAGACCCCATATGAGTTTTCCTTTCAGCGTTCTCTGCTCAGCTGTTCTCTGCTGTGGTGAGGCGCCTATGCTTTGTATATGTCTGAAATTAATTGAAAAGCTAGTGACAGATTCTGATGTCATTTGCCATGAGCTTTATTGTTGTGCAGGTAATTTTGGATCAAATCACCCTAACGTTTTTCAACAAAGACTTTAGAAGAAATAAAGCTGCATTACTTTTTCTTGGCGCATTCTTCCTTTAGGACCTATAGTGAGGTAAGTGACACAAATATCTCTCATTCTCTGTTTCCAAACAGTAAATAGAATATAAATAGTTCACGAACAAGATTAAGGAAGTGATAATCATCGTTCCTCTAACTGAAATGCACCCTCTGTTTAGATTTATTTACTTTTCACAATTTTGAAAATTTTCCCATGCAATTTTTATCAGTCATAAGGTAATGATAGTTTTTTAACAATGCAAATGGGATTAAGTCAGTCGTTTTTTCTGTTCCTTTTAATATTATTCTAATTCAGCCTCATGGGCATTCCAAATAGTTATGAGGGATAGAAATATAACATTAAATTAAGGGATGAGAGTAGAGTGAGAAGAGAGTATGGCTCAAAATTAATCTCATAAATTTTATTTGTCAACTGACGTGATTTAACACGTTAGTGGTAGATTTTCTAGATATCCCTAAATTTGTAGCTATGACTTGGAATATCAAAACATAGCTAGGCAGTTCATTTCCATCTGACTTCTCTCTGTTACTATGCTGATTTGCACGAGTACTGTAAATTTTGTAAGAACTAATTTCATTCAGATGTGCATTTAGAGTTCCAAGATAGTAAAATGTATAAAAATTATATACATTTTATATAATTAGGAGGCAATGGGGATAAGTGTTACCTTTCAATAAAAAGGTAAGTGCAGAAGTTTATAAACACATGCAAAAATGTGTAACCTCACGATTTAATCTTCTATGCAAATACAAATTAGTAATAGGAGGAGCAATTACTAACACTAGGAGCAATTAGTAAAAGCAAGAGCAATTAGTAACACTAGTAACACTAGCAATTAGTAACACTAGCACTAACAGATGTGCATGTAGAGTTCCAAGATAGTAAAATGTATAAAAATTATATACATTTTATATGATTAGGAGGCAATGGGGATAAGTCTTACCTTTCATCAAAAAGGTAAGTGCAGAAGTTTATAAACACATGCAAAAATATGTAACCTCACGATTTAATCTTCTATGCGAATACAAATTAGTAATAGCAGGAGCAATTAGTAACACTAGCAGGGCAATAAACATTCCTGCAAAGCCAAAGGCTTAATCTGAGTGACAATGCATGCAGTGATTCTGGACCATACTCTGGAGCTAATTTAAGTTTAATTGACTGAATCTCCTGAAAGAAAAGGACTTAGGCAGAAATAACAAAAAATGAACAACACAATAGCCAAAAAACTCAACAAATAAATAAAACTCCTGACAATATCAGAACCAATAAATCTCCATGTAGTAAAAACACACCTCATTTTGTTGCTATAGTTGTTGTTGTTTGGAGACAGAGTCTCGCTCTGTCACCCAGGCTGCAGTGCAGTGGTGTGATCTCACCCCCCTGCAGCTTCCAACTCCCAGGTTCAAGGGATTTTCCTGCCTCAGCCTCCCGAGTAGCTGGGACTACAGGTGCACACCACCACGCCTAGATAATTTTTGTGTTTTTAGTAGAGATGGGTTTTCACTATACTGGTCCGGCTGGTCTTAAGCTCCTGACCTCGTGATCCACCCACCTTGACCTCCGAAAGGGTTGGGATTACAGGTGTGTACCATCGTGCCTGGCCAACTTTTTCTTTTTTACAAGGTCAACTTATGAAATTTTATAAATTTCTTAAATTTCTTGCAATAGACCGAGCATGGTGGCTCACACCTCTAATCCCAGCACCTTGAAAGGCCGAGTCGGGTAGATCACCTGAGGTTGGCAGTTCCAGGCCAGCTTAGCTAACATAGTGAAACCCCATCTCTACTAAAAATACAAAACTAGCTGGGCGAGTGGCACGTGCCTCTAATTCCAGCTACTTCAGAGGCTGAGGCAGTGGAATCGCTTGAGCCTGGAAGGTAGAGTTTGCAATTCTGTGATCATGAGAAATGTTAAGATTACTATATGCATATATATGTGTGTGTGTATATACATATATATAGTAATCACCTACATATATATACACACAGCCACAGACATGCACACACCCACACACACACACGTGCACACACACACACACCCGTTAGCTCTGTGTATATATTCTTTTGAAAACAGAAGATACTTATTTTTAATTAGGTTATTATTTCCTTGTTCTTTTGAATCATTTTTAGTTCCTGGTATATTTTGATTAACTCCTTGTCTGATGTACAGTTTGCAAATATTTTCTCTCATTCTATCACTCTGGTGATTTATTTTATTTTATTTTCATTTTTGCTGTATGGAAGTTTTCTAGTATAATGTAACCTCATTTTTCTGCCTGTGTGTTTTTTGCTTGTGCTTTTGAAGTCTTATCCAAAAAACATTCCTGCCCAGACCAACGTCATTAAATGTGTTTTGTGATTTATTCAACTAGTTTGACAGTTTTGTGTTTTCATTACATCTTTATTTTTAAATGTTTTTTAAAATATATTCTTATAGGTGAGGTCTCACTATATTACCTAGTGTGGAGTACAGTGGCATAAGTGTTTCATGCTACAGCTTTCGACACCTAGGCTCAGGTGATCCTCGCATCTGAGACTCCTGAGTAGCTGAAACTACAGGGGCACACCACTGCAGTAGGCTTTTTAATCCGTGTGAGTTAATTTTTGTACGTGGTGAGAAATAGGGTTTTAATTATATTCTTTTGCATGTAGCTCTCTTGTTTTCCCAGCACCACTTATGGAAGAGATTGACATTTTCTCATTTTGTGTTCTTGGCACCTCTGAGGAATATCAGTTGGCTATACAGGTGTAAATTTATTTTTGTTCACTGTGTTCTATTGTATTGGTTTATAGCATTGTGACATCTCCAGTTCTGTGGGTTCACTCCCCAACCGCACTGCCATCTTCACGATTGCTTTGACTATTCAGGGTTTTTGTGTGTGTGTGTTTGTGGTTTTGTATTAATTTAGGATTTTTTCAATTTCTGTGAAAAATGCGATTGGTGTTTTGATAGAGATTGCATTCTATCTGTGCACTGCTTTGGCTCATATAAACATTTTAACCATATTACTTTTTCCAATCAACGAACATAGAAACATAGATATATTTTCATTTAGTTATGTCATTTTAACATTTTATTAATGTTTCATAGTTTTCAGAATGCAGATTTTTTTACCTCCTTGCTTAAATTTACTCCTTTTTATCCCCCATAGCTATTGTAAATGAGATTGTTTTCTGAAGTTTTTTTTTTAATACATACTTTGCTATTAGTGCATGGAAATGCTATGGAATTTTATATGTTGATTTCATAAACGGAAACGTTACTGACTTTCAGAATTAGTTCTAACTACTTTTTAGTGGTATGTTTAAGGATTCCCTTATATGTCATTAGCATATATGGACAATTTTACTTCTGCCTTTCCAACTTGGGTGACTTTTCTCACTTTCTCTTGACTAATTTATCTAGTTAATGACTTTCGGTTTTATGTTACTATAAGTAGTGAAAGTGAACATCCTGGTCTTCTTTCAGATCTTCACAGCAAAGCTTTCAATTTTAACTCTCACTGACTGTGATACTAGCTAAGGGTTCATCATATATAGTGTTATCTGGTTATTTGGGTCTATGTCATTTGTTGTGTTGAGTTACAGTTGTTCCACGCATGATTTATTAAGAGATTTTATTGTGAAAAATGTCGAATTTTGTCATTTTTTTCATATATCGAAATGAATGCATAGACTTTGTTCTTTATTTTGTTGATGTAATCTATGACATTTAATAATTCTCGTGTATTAAACCATTCCTGCATCCCTGTAATCTCGTTTGATCACGGTGAATGATTTTCCAAATGTGCATTATAAGTCATTTTCCCAGTATTGTGTTGAGGATTTTTGCATTATGTTTATTAGATATAGTGGCCCATAGTTTTCTCTTTTTTCTTGTATCCTTGTCTGGTTTAGTAATCAGCGTAATGCCGTCCCCATGGAATGAGTTGGAACGGTTCCCATATCTTCCTTTTTTCTTTTATGTTTTTGTTTTCACTAGGTTAAAAAAAAGTGGCAGTAGTTTCCTTTTTGTGGTAGGTAGAATGCAGCAGTGAACACATCAGGTCCTGGGCTTATCTTTAACAGGTGACTTTTTACAGCTGATTCGATTTCTTACCATTAATTTATTTCTTGGTGTCAGTTATGGTATCTCTTTTTTGGCTCTGATTTTCTTTATTAGGGGCTTTGTTTTTTTTTTACTTTTAAGTTTAGCTTTTTGTTTTTCTGATTCCTTGATTGAAACATCAAGTTGTGTATTTGATATCTTGTTTTACATGAAGGCATTTATTGCCATAACTTCCCTCTTAAAACTGCTTTGGTTGTTTCCCACAGGTTTTGCGGTGTTGTGTTTCTATTTTTGACTCAAGAAACACGGTGTTTTATCCTTATTGTCTTCATTGATTCACTGGTTGTTCAGGAGTATGTTGTTTAATTTTGATATACTTATGATTTAGTGATTTCGGAAGAGATACTTGATATGACTTTGATCTTTTCAAATTTGTTAAGATGTGACTTTTTTTGCCTAATGTATGACGTATCCTGGAAGATCTTCCATGTTTGCAGTGGAGAAGAATGTTTATTTTATAGCTCTTGGATGGATAGTTCAGTAGCTGTTTTTAGCATTTGCCCTACTCGGCATTTTAATCCAATGCTTACTTATTGAATTCAGTCTGCATTATCTATTCTTTGCAGAGAGTAAGGTGCTGAAGTTTTCTATTATTATCTTGCACTTTTTATCTGTCTTTGGATCTATTAACATTTGTATTATATATATGCATATATTACTTATATACTTGCATTCTTGAAATAATATTTTCTTTTCTTTCTCCTGCTTAATTCTGTATCCTCTCTTTGACTTTGATATTTGGTGGTTAGGTTATATTAAGTCATGCAGATATTTTTATTGATATTGAATATGATTGGAAGCCCTTGATATTCCTGTAGCAGAATATTTATATTTCTATGTAAGTTTGGAAAGGTTTCTCATTATTTCTCTAAATAAGCTTTCTACTCTTTTTTATACATTTTTTTGTTGAGATGGAGGTTTGCTCTTGTCTCAGGTTGGAGTGCAATGGTGTGATTGTGACTCACTGCAACTTCCAAGTCCTGGGTTCCAGAGATTCTCCTGAGTTCAAGTGATTCTCCAAACTCAGCCTTCTGAGTAGCTGGGGTTACAGATGTCCACCAATATAACTGGCTAATTTTGGTATTTTAATAGAGAAACAGTTTCACCATGTAGCCAGGCTGCTCTCAGGCTCTTGGCAACATGTGATCCTCCCACCTTGGCCTCCCAAAGTGCTGGGAATACAGGCATGAGCCATTGTGCCCAGCTCTACCACACTCTTGAATGCTAGTGTCTGATACCTTTGCTGTTTGGATGTTATCCCATTAATCTCATGAATCTTATTTATATTTGCTCCTCTGACTGTGTACTTTGAATTGACCTATCTTTGAGTTTTGCTGCTTGACCATTTCTGTTGGCATTGCTGTCAACTGCATTTTTTATTTTGTGGTGTTTTATTCTTCAAGATTTTTGTTTGTTTTTTTCTCCCATTATTTTAACCTCTCAGGTAAGTTTCTCTGATAAATTTCAGAATCCTTTGTGTTTTCCTGAAGTCCACTGCATTGTCTTAAAATAATTATTTTGAATTCCTTGTCAGGCAATGTGTCCATGCCCGTCTCTTGTGGGTCAGTCACCACTGACACCTTATTTTGACCACTCGATGCCATCATCTTTCTCTCATCGATCCTAATCCTTGGGACTACGCATCAATGTCTGCACAGTGATGTAGGTGCCTAATTCAATGTTCATGGTTTGGCTGTGTTTGGAAGCTTTCTTCCACGGTAAGCCTGTCCAGAGATTCAGGGCAAGGAGAAGAAGGAAATTAAGGTGTTTAAGTCTAAGATAGCTTCAGCCCTGGTAGCACTAGGGGAAACACTAATGAGCAGACTTTCATGGTTGGTGTAATTTGACCGGCAAAGCTGAGTCAATGCCAGGCTCCATCTGTAGCACACAGTTGAGCAATGGGTGCACTCAAGGTCTGTAGCTTCCATGGTCTGCCCTGTGTCGTTTATTTGGTGCCTGAAGTTACTGCAGTCAATCAACAGGAATATTGACAGGAACTGAAGTCCATTCTGCTGAGGTCATAGTTTCTGATCTGTTGCCGGGGTTGGTCTATAAGGTTAACCCTGAGTATCAGCCTCCTAAAGTGCTGGGGTCAGGGGAAAGGGATATAAAAGTCCCAAGGCAAAAAAGCTCTATGCCTACTACCTTTGCACAAGCAATCCTCCCACCTCTGCCTCCTGAATAGTTGAGATACAGGCATGTGCCTCCATGCCTCCCTAACATTTTTTTGTGTATTTCCTTGTTGTTACTGTTGTTCTTTGTTGTTGTTGTTGTTGTTGTTGTTGTTGTTGCTGTTGTTGTTGGGCTCAAGTGATCTACTCACCTCAGCCTCCTAAAGTGCTAGGATTACAGTATGAGTCACTATACCCAGCTAAAATTACTTTCTAAGACTTAATTTTTAGGTCATTTATTTTTATTCAGTCTTATTTCTCATAAATACAGTTCAGAATGTTATTGCTTTAGAGTTTCTCTTTGGGTATTCCTGAAGGAATAAATGGACTGTTGATATTCATTTTCTAAATGGTGTTATAAAATGAGTAATTACTTTAGGTAAGTGATGACTATTTGGCCTCTTTTTGTTTTCTAGCTTCATTTCATTGTGTATGAAGAGTGTATTTTTTTAACCCACCTGCATATGTGAAATGAAGTTTTACTCTTTCAACTGAATGTAGTACAGAATTGTTTAAACTGATTATTCAACTACTTCATAATTTTGGTTTTCTTTCTTGTGCATATTCGTCTAATTATTCGCAGAACAATGTCAAAATTAAATTAATTTGCTTATGAAAAATTTTTCTGATAAAATTACATACATACATGCAAACAAAAGCACATACACATGTAACACTTAATTTCTAAAACTTTTAGTTTTTCTTCTTCTCTAGTACCTGGTATTCCATCACTCAGCAAAATCTGTTCAGTTCTACTTCCAGGATTTACTTTAACTCCACAGCTTATTTCCTACTTTCTGTTATCACCATAATCTAAAACACAGTTTATATTACATTTGCCTCCTATTTTACTCTGTAATTTCTTACTTTACACTCTAACTTTCTATAAAAAAGAAGCTACATTTTCAAGGTCTAATTCAGGTAATTTGATTTTTTCTTTGTTGAGAAATCTTTCTATGTGCTGTCACACCTTATAGCATCAGATATGAATGTATCTATCTAATTTCATCTGTTCCAGCTATTTTCTTTGAGGGAATATGTATAGAAGTTTATAAATATGAATATATATGTATTCCCTTATTATTTGTTTTTCCCAGGAGTAATATATGTTTTGCATGCATAGATTTACTAAATCCCTGATAATGGAAAGTTAGCACTTTTTTTTTGTTTCTTTTAAGTCAATTATTTTCTGAAGGAGGTGGGTTGGGAGGCATATATGTTAACATGTCAAGTTTAAAAGAGAAAGTGGCCATTACTAATACAAATTATTCTCTAACATTTTCATATTTACCGTTAATAGCATCGCTGATTATATGTTCCCTCTTATCAGTTGTGTATGGGGCCATTCACCGCAACATACTAGCAATCCACACCTGCAACAACTTTGCTGCCATTAAGCTATGGGTAATAAAATTCATCTTTGTCATGATATGGCATTCCTTGGTGACTATCTCACGTGTAGTGACTCTGGCATTTTTCCCTGCATCTCTGAAACTGAGGACCCTACACTTTCTATTAATCATATATTTTGTATTATTTTTGGCATCATGGCCGGAGATTTGGAAAACTGGAGTTCATTTTCATAGCAACACAGAAAATAATTCCAGCATGGCGGGTACAGTATGGATGCTTATCTTAACCATGCTAGTATAAGCTGCCATCAACTTCTCTGCTGGTCATCAGTTAAGCTGCAGCTGTCAAATAAGAAAATAATTGACAAGAGACAGAGGTGGACCACACAATCCAACACTGCAGCTTTCCGGTTTTAGAAAATGTGATAATAATATTGGTATTTTGGTTCTTTGGAGGGAAAATTTTACTGAAGCCTTGCGACTCATTAATTGCCATGTAGCTCATCATAACCTACCTATTAGCCATTGGCTTTATGCTCCTCTTCTGTCAGTGTCTGCATCCAAGGTGATCAGACAAAGTATTGCCAGGACATACAGAAAATCATCCAGAAGCACTGTGATATTGTGTAAACATCTAGAGAAAACTCAAAAGAATAAAAATAAGCAGCTGAGGAATTACTGTCATTCATGGAGAAGGGTTGGATGTTATCAATAAAAAGTATGCAATATCCATAAAATATACATATATACTTTCACAGAACAAAGAGTAAAGAGGCTGGATATGACTTTATAAAGATACTCATAAAAATATAAACAGCAAAGTCTTGGAAGTAGTTTCTAATAAAATTGATTTTTCTCCTGTTACTATGCATTAGCAATTTTTATTTTCTTCAATATAATTGTACAAATTTTTAAACAAAACAAAACAAAATCAAAAATCCCTCTGGGTCCAAAATCTGGGCAGAAAAAAAACCCATAATGCATTTTTCACCTGGTACACTTTTGGAACATGTGCCTTTAATTTAACAAGTGTTTGTAATCTAGCATATACATTATCAGCGAATATTTTCTTTTCAGAAAGAGTACTTACCATAGTTTTCATTCTGTACTTAAGGAGAACCTGAAAGAGAAGTCTTATGAGCATGCTCCTACTTATATTAATTTAAGGTAACCAAAGTGTTTCTCATTAAACTGACTAACAGAAAACCACTCATATTAATGCATCTTAAAGCACAAAACCTGTTCTCTTAAAAATAAATCATCAGGTTAATAACGTAATATATTAATTTACATTCCTACCAATAGTGCACAAGCATTCTCTGTGCCCTACATTCTCAAAAACACTTGTCGTTTTTCATCTTGATAGTAATGGCCATTCCAACATGTGTGAAAGCAGGTCTCATTGTTGGTTTCAATTTGCATTTCCCTGATGGTGGTGTTGAGCATCTTTAAACATGCAGTTGTTCAGAAATTAGCCGGGTGAAGTAGCACACACCTATAATCCCAGCTACTAGGGAGGCTGAGGCAGAATTGCTGGAAACCAGTGGGTGGAGATTCAGTGAGCTGAGATCACATCACTGCACTCCAGCCTGGATGACAGAGTGAGAATCCATCTCAAATCAATCAATTAATCAATATTTAATTTAGAGTTGTTTGCTAGTTGTATGTCTTCTTTTGAGAAATGTAAATTCAGGTCCTCTGTCCATATTTCATAGGCTTAATTTTTGTTGTTGTTGTTGTTAAGTGGCTTGAGTTCCTTGTATGTATTTATTATTCACCTTTTATCATGTATGTGGTTTGCAGATATTTTCTCCAAGTGTTTTAGTTGTCTCTTCAATCTATTTGTTTCCCTTTTCCCTTTGCAGTGCAGAAACATTTCAGTTTGATGTAATATGATCCAATTGTTTTTTGTTGTGCTTTTGTAGCCTGTGCTTTTGGGGTCATAGAATTGAGGTTTCAAAAATAAAGTTAAATTAAACATAGAATTACCACATGATCCAGCTACTCTACTTCAAAATATGTGCTCAAAGCATATAAAATTAGCATGTCAAAGAGATAGCTGCAGTCCTATATTCATCTCAGCGTTATTCATAATAGCCAAGATACAGTAACAACCCAAGGGCTCATCAACAGATCGACAGATAAAGTGTGGCACATATATACAATGAGATATACTACACAGCCTTAAAAACAGGAGGAAGTCCTGTTACTTATTTGTGACCAAGTGAATGGAAATGGAAGATATTATGCTCAGTGTAATAAGAGAGGCACAGAAAGACAAGTATAGGGTGATCACAATTATATATAAAAAAGTTGAACTCATTCAAACAGTGAATATGTCAGATATGGTGGCTCATGCCTGTAACTCCAGCATCTTAGGAGGATGAGATGGTTGGATCACTTGGGGTCAGAAGTTTGAGGACCCAGTGAGCCATACTTGTGCCACTGTACTCCAGCCTTGGCAATGCAGCACGGCCCTGACTCTAAACAAACACGGAAAAAAAGAGTCCGAGATTGGAGTGAGGGGTGGTGATAGGAGTGGATAGAGAAAGGGGAGATGTTCATCAAAGGGTAAAATATTTCAGTGAGAAAGGAAGGAGTTCTGGAGATCCACTGCACAGAATGGTGACCACAGTTAATAAGTCAACTTCAAAGTTGCTTAATAAAGAAAAGGGCAGGCATGTTGGCTCATGTCTGAAATCCAGGCACTTTGAACGCCTATGGTGGGAGGATCACTAGAGGTCAGGAGTTCGAGACCATCCTGGCCAAAATGAGGAAACACTGTCTCTACTGAACATACAAGAATTAGCCAGGTTTGGTGGCATGCGTATGTCATCCCAGCTACTCGAGTAGCTGAGCAAGAGAAAAACTTCAACTCGGGAGACAGAGGTTGAATTCTATCTCAGACAAATAGGTTGTTTAAAAAGTAGAATTTATATATTCTTACCACAAGAAAGAAATGGTAAGTATGTGAGGTGATAGATATGGTAACTAGCCCAATTTAATTCTTTTGCAACATATACATGCATTATAAAATCAGTTTGTGTCCCATAAATATTTACATTTGTTAATTTAAAATAAAAATTGTAAAAGAATGAATTATAATTAAAATAAAATGGGCTTAATGTATATAGACAGTAATATATGCTAAAGGTTTCTTCTATTTTGACTATTTGGATTCTGTTATTTCTTGGGGAAACAATCACAGTGGGAAGGGATGAAGAACGCTAAAGCTTAATGTTATATAATTTACATTATTTTGTTGTTGTTTTCTCCTTTTTTTTTTTTGTTTTCTACCAACCAATGGAGACTACTTTCTTATTCACACTTTCTTTTGTGTTTCTTTCTCATGAGAAATCACCACCAACAATAAAGCTCCTGTAGATTTGTGTATTATTTTTCTGCTCCTATCTATGACTCTCTTCACCTGTCCTTTGGATTTCAGAACTTCTTAAAAGACTGATTTACTTATTATTTGTTATCTCTCTGTACCATTACTTCTTCACTCTACCTACAGGATCATTATCCTTACTCTTTTATTTTAGTTTAGTTTAATTTTTTTTGAAGACGGAGTCTCTGGCACAATCTCAGCTCACTGCAACCTTAGCCTCCCAGATTCAGGTGATTCTCCTGCCTCAGCCTCCTGAGTATCTGATGTTAGAGGCATGTACTGCCATGCTTGGCTAAATTTTGAATTTTTAATTGTGATGGGGTTTCACTGTGTTGCCAAGGCTGGTCTTGAACAAACCTCGAGTGACCCACCACCTCAGCTTCCCAAAGTGCTGGAAGTACAGGTGTGAGCCACCAAACCAGGCTTGATCATTTTCTTTACTAGATCTACATGCTGTTAGTCTTAGTCCTAGATACGGCACTCTCAACTCATTTGTTTATTTGCCGTGATAACAAGACTCATGGAAAGAGTTTGCCCTGACAAGGTTTAATTTTATTTCTCTTAACCCTCTTTTCTTCAGGCATTTACCCTGTTTTTTAGAATCATATCTTATACTTGTCACTAAATCCCATATTTCACTTGTCTGTTGCATATTACTCAAGCAGTCATGTGTATCTACAGAACTGATTCACACCCTCATTCCTGAAATACTATTTTGCTTTGGATTACATGACTCAACTTACCTCTGATTTCTCTATTTAACTTTACGTGCCCTGTCTTTCATTTTATCTCATAGATGTCTGTTCATGAGACCACTAAGGTAACTACACAGAATACCTCTTCCTCCTTCCCTTGCTCATTTCCCTTTTCCCTTCCTTTTTTCTTTTCTTTCCTTAAGAAAATGTTCACCCAGCCTGGAGTGCAGTAGTGAGACCTGGACTGACTACAGCCTCAAATTCCTGGGCTCAAGAAATCTTCCTGCATTTGTCTCCACAGTAGCTGAGACTACAGATGCACACCACCACACCTGGCTTTTTATTGATGTTGTTTTGAGACAAAAGCCTCTTCTGTTTTAAACTTGTAGTTCTAATGAATTCAACCAGTGTTATGACCTTTGGATTCCTATACATTATGCTTTTATTTTTTTACAAGCACCCCAAGATTAAGATAGCTAAATTGATAACTTCCCCTGAACTTCTTTACACTTTCTACATGCCTCTCTCTTCCATCACTATCTTGTCTAAAAATACATCATCTGTATAACATAAAAACTGAGGTATTCCAAATATATTATTTTCCCTCATATCTTTCATATTTTATCTACAATAACTTTTTTATTATATACCACTTACAAATTTTTTTTCTTGTTGCTGTTTATACATTCCAGTTGAGGTCATCATTCATTGTTCCCTAAATGATAGTATCAACATCTTAATTTATTTCCTACTTCAACTGATTTCTCACTGAGGGTCTAGAATTATTCTTCTTTTCAATGGATAAAACACATCTCTTTTCTTTTTCTTTCTATTCTTCTTCCTTTCTGCTTTACTATTAACTGTTATTGTATACAGTGAGGAGCTATTTCAGTGTTATTTACTATTATATCCACCATTTTAAGCTAAAATTCAGAGATATAATAACTTCTCTATAAGTGCTTAATATTATAGTAAAAAATGCAACTTTGTAATTTCAGTGTTAAATATTTGAATACCACGTCTATAGATTATTTATGAAACAAGATTTCAGTTGAGTTGCAGATAAGCTTATGTTAATTTTTTATTCACTCCTTCCATTTCTATCCATCCTAGCTATAAGACATTTAGAGGTGGGAACTTGGCATACTCTTCCCTATACTTGAGAGCCTGTTGAAGTCACATGAATAACGAAATGTACACTGACCATTTAATTCATATAACTAAATATAAATATTTTATATTTAAAATGTATTGAAAAGTTTTTATTGCTTAAATTTATTATGACAGTTATTATTTAGATTTTTCATTATTTAAAACTCAAACAATACAGGAAACAAACATGTAGGGAAATCTCAAGTAATTCATTATTTATTGTTCTTTTTATCACAGAAGACACAAGCCATCTCCTTACTGGTTAGGGCCATATTATCCAGAACCGTCAGAACATTTCACTTTTCATTTCCCATTGAAATCTGAGGAGTGTGTTTTGAACTCTATAGTGAAATGCCTACAACTACCCAGTGTAACTCTGTCTTCTTAGGAGGGTATGATTCTGCAAGATGAATATGATAATGTCCTAAAATATCACCCTTACATTTAATTATATAAAACACCACTAATGCAATAATAATACATGAGCTGAACGTTACATAGTCTAATTATAAAGTTAATTTTTACACTCAAATAGTTGAGTTAGAGACTGTGAGATTAAACTGGTGGAAGATGGAACTTAATTTTTTGTAACAACTACCATACCGTGGTGAAATGAATTAACTGAGCTCTTAATAATTTGGAAAATAATAAAGTTATATCTATTAAAATTACTAACAAAAACGTACATTTCTTAACTGTTTCTTATTATGTGAAAGACAGAATGGCTCTCGTGATAATGATGGAAGCAGCCTGAAATAAAATCTAACAAAACAGTCTGGACATGATGGCTCATGCCTGTAATCCCAGCACTTTGGGAGGCTGAGGCAGGTGGATGACTTCAGGTCAAGAGTTTGAGACTAGCCTGGCCAAAATGGTGAAACCCCCTTTCTACTAAAAATAAGAACATTAGCCAGGCGTGGGGGTGCATGCCTGTAATTCCAGCTACTCAGGAAGCTGAGATAAGAGAAT
Organism: Homo sapiens; assembly: GCF_000001405.40. Taxonomy (NCBI): domain Eukaryota; kingdom Metazoa; phylum Chordata; class Mammalia; order Primates; family Hominidae; genus Homo; species Homo sapiens. Next base: position 18,514,859 of record NC_000024.10, read on the forward strand.
CCCTTGAACCTGGAAGGCAGAGGCTGCTGGGAGCTGAGTTTGGACCACTGCACTCTAGCCTGTAGGACAGAAGGAGACTCCATCTCAGAAAACCTCTCTGAACATTAAAAAGCAAGGCAAATTTAATCAAGTTTCTATTTTATGCTGTCATTAGAGTTCATTGGGTTAAAAGTGCAGAGATATAAGGAAGAGAAAAAGACCTCAGACTTGACTTTTGGAGCTCTGGAATCTAATAACATAACTCAGGAGTGTGTTTAATGAAGAAAGACCTGACCTCTAAGTCTGGGCGAGACAGTATGTGTCATTTTAACTTCCCATCATCACCCACTCCATGGCTTCATGGCCACTGTGAAGAAGATTAAATTATAGATGCAGCTTTTGATGCATATGGGGAAAATAGAGAGCTTATCTCAAAGAATTATGGTTGTGTGATTTAAAATGTCTGAGGTTCCCTTGGAGATTATTAGCTCAGAGGCTTTTCTTTAGCCCACCTCAGAGCTTTCTTGTGGGCAGAAGTTGACTCCCAGGAGGCATTTATGGAAAGGAAATATACTAGTCAGAGCCACTTGCAGCAAGGAAAAAGAGTCAGGTCAAGCGGTACACAAACAAAAGGCCTGCAAGAAGAGTCTGGGAAGAAAATTGAGGCGGAAAATCAGCTTTGAAAAACTCTCACGGTTTATTGTTGTTTGTTTTGGATTAGGTTTTAAATAGAGACAGAACTTGCCCTGTGGCCCACGTTGGAGTCCGCTGGCATGATCGTGATCCACTGCAGCCTCAACTTCTTTGGGTTCAAATGAACTTCCCACCTTAGCCACCTGAGCATCTCGCCTATCTGGACTCCACCTATCCTCCCCTGTCAGCATCTCACAGCATAGGCATGGGCCACCAGAACCAGCTTATTTTTGTATTTTTTTAAGCAGAAGAGATCTTACCATGTTGTGAAGACTGGTCTCGTACTTCTGGCTGAAGTGATTTGTTCTCCTAAGCCTTCCAAATTGGTGGGATTACATATGTGAACCACCACACAAAGACTCCTACTGGTATATTTAGAAGGATATAAGTATGCCGGTTTTTGGATGCATGCATGGAGAAGACCCCAAAGCTTTTCACTTTTCCCTGAGTTTGGGCTAAACACTAGAGTTCCTCAAAGAGTCCATATCCAAAGTCTGGGCAGTTTTTCTTTTCTTTCTTTTCCTTTTTTTTTTTCTTGGATTGTTTTTAAAAAATATGTCGAGAATAGTAGACCATCAAAAAGGTGACAGAACACAGATTAAGTGGATATACAACACAAAGAATGCAGACCACAAAAATAGCTCTGGAGGGTTGCTACACAAGTAAACAACCCACAAACTAAGGAATTGTGGATGTTAAGAATTTGTTATCCAAATATGCTGAATACTATCCAATATTTCAATTCACTTCATTTTACTATTCTCAAAGACCTAAGGGAACCCAGGAGTACAGTGATTCAAAACTGAAAATACCAGTAAAGACATACAGATTATTTTAAAAATGAAATCAATAACCTTGAAGTTACTAGGAAGCTGTGTGATTGAAAGTCAGTCACTCAATCACATGATCCTGGGATTTTCCTCTACATGTGGGACTACCCATACCTTGCAGCATTGCTGTGAGTTCACCTGAGCAAGACACCTGCACATGGTGGTGCTCAGGAAATGTTAATTTCCCTTTATTGAAATGGAACAACCCATGGGTATTATGTCTTGAGGTCTGGATTACAGTTGAGCAAGATACAGAAGACGTTGTAAACCCTGAGGAGGCATCACTGATCACTGGGAGTCTGGAAAGGCAGCAGAGAAAAAGTGACCTGCAGCTGGAAATGGCCAATGGGTCTGTTACAGGAAGTTACACAGGCATGAGTGGGGCAGAAGAGAGTTCTCCCATCCACCTACCAGGAATGTCAGGCCATCGGGTAATGGTTGGACAGTTATCACATTGCTTTTCTAAAAATAATAATTTAGCAGCAGAGCCAGGGATAGACAAGTTCCTACTGATACACAGCTGGTAACATTAAAGTGTTAACTAAAGTCACACTCCCGGGAGGGGGAAAAAGGGCTTCTAGTAAAATTTTACATACTGGGTGAGTGAACTGAGACATGCACATTAAGAGACGAAATGGTACAGCATGACTTTCTGGGGTCACTCCACCAAAAAAAGGGAGGAAGCTTCAGATGGGCATGCATATAAATGCTCAAACACACTGCCTATGCTCACTTCTCAAGGGTAAGGAGGGCACTGTGCCTGCTGGCAGCCCACACTTAGGAAAGAATCATGGAAAAAGGTGCACCAGATGCTCAAGGTGGGCCAGCCTATAAAGTCCCAGAATGAAGAGAAATGGCCACACTTGTTCTTCAAGTCACCCACTTGGATCTCTTCCAAGTGCACTTTTCATTCTTTCCTGCTCTAAAGCTTTTTAATAAATGTCCACTCCTGCTGTGAAACTTGCCTCAGGATTTTTTTTCCTTCTTTATGCCCATCAGTTGAACTCTTTCACCTGAGGAGGCAAGAACTGACATTGCTAAAGACGCAGATGGATTTGCTGCCAGTAACTCCGATACTTTCCACCAGTAACAGATCTAGGAGCTGGTGGACATAGTTGCTGAAGCATGTGTCCAGAATGTTTCTGCCCAGGCCACAAGCAGTCCTGCACTGTAAAGGGACTTGAACCCCAAGCTCAGGGGACACCATGGAAAGAGACTTCAGCCCGCTGATGGAATACTGGAGATAGGAATTTTTTATTGAGGTATAATTCCCATAATATGTTAACTGTTTTTTAAGGTATAATTCAGTGACACAGGAATGTGCATGTTCTACCACTTCTTAATTCCAAATTATTTTCATCATCTCAAAAGGAAATCCCCTACCTATTAAGGAGCTACTACCCAATCTGTCCTCTTTCTGACTCCTGACAATTAACAATCTGTTTTCTTTCTCTGTGAAATTATTTATTTTGGATATGTTTATAAATAAAATCATACAATACGTGACTTTTGTGCTTAGCTTCTTTAAACACAATGGTTTTGCAGTATCTTCACATTGTAGTATGAATGTCTCAATCCTTTTTATGGCTAAATATTATGCCATTGTAAGGATATGCTACATTTTGTTTTCCTGTTATTTATTGATGGACATTTGTGTTTTTTCCATGTTTTAGTTATTGTGAATAATTCTGCTATCAATATATGTGTACACTTTTTTTTAATACCTACTTTACATTGTTTTGTGAATATACCTGGGAGTGGATTTGCTGGTTTCTATGATAATTCTATGTTTAGCTTTTTGCAGAAATATCAAGCTATTTTCCACAGAAGAGGAATTATTTTACCTTTGTGATTCTCCATTTCCATGTCAACACATTTTAGTTTATGGTTTTAAATAATAATAATTATAATGAGTGTGAAGTGGTGTCTTATTGTGGCTTTGATTTGCATTTCTCTGAGGTGAGTGATGTTGAGCTAATTTTTATGTGTTTTTTTGTGTATCTTTGGAGAAAAGTATTTTCAATTAATTAATTTATTTTTTTAATTGGATTGTTTGTCTTTTTGTTCTTGAGTTGTAAGAATTCTTTCTATATCCTGGATAGTAGACATTTATTCTTATATATGGCTTGCAAATATTTTGTCCTACACTGTTGGTTTTCTATTGACTATCCTGATAGTGTCCTTTGAAGCATGAAAGATTTTAGTTTTAAGGAAGTTCATTTTATCTATTTTTTTCTTTTGTTTTCTGTGCATTCTCTGTCCTACCCAGGAAACCATTGTCAAATTCAATGCCACTAAGCACATAAAAATATGTTCCACATCATTAGCCGTTAGGTAAACAAATATCTAAACCACAATGAGCTTACCACTTTATACCCACTAGAATGCCTTTATTTTTTATTTATTTATTTATTTATTTTGGAAAAAAGGAGAGTTGGAGAATATGTGGAGCAAATGGAACCCCTGTGCATTGCTGGTGAGAATGTGCAATGGTGGTGGTGGTTGCACGATAACATAAACATACTTAATGCCACTTACCTATACACCTACAAATGTTTAGATTGGTGAATTTTATTTTATGATTCTTTTACCCCATACAACAAAGGCTTCCTGAGAATTGGTCCTGAAATAGTTTAATGTGTAGTGAAAGAAGATCCTTCTCTTCTAGAGTGAGTAGGAGCCTTTTATTTTTCTTGAGACAGAGTCTTGCTCTGTCACCCAGCCTGGAGTGCAGTGGCGCAGTCTCCACTCACTGCAAATTCCACCTCATGGGTTCATGCCATTCTCCTGCCTCAGCCTCCTGAGTAACTGGGACTACAGGTGCCCACGACCATGCCTGGCTAATCTTTTTGTATTTTTTAGTAGAGGCAGGGCTCCATCGTGTTAACCAGGATGGTCTCTATCTCCTAACCTCGTGATCCACCCACCTCAGTCTCCCAAAGTGCTGGGATTACAGACATAAGCCACCACGCCAGGCAGAGTAGGAGCCTTTTTATTCACGCTGGTACTACACACTACTGGCTCTTCCAAACACATAGCATGATCTCACCAACCAGAGGGAGCTTAATTCTAACTGGCCCATTTGTACTTCTTTCCAACATCCTATTCCCCTATTCAACTCACTCCCTGCCCTCTACAAACCACTGTACATCAGAGGTCGGTTTACCTTCGCTGTAGACTTTTCATAATGTCATAGAAATGCGATCATACAGTACATGACATCTTCAGACTGGTGCTTTTTGTTATTATTGTTTTCTCATTATTCCATAATTGCTGCCAAAAGAAGCATGCATATGTTTTGCCACAGAAAACTGATCGTAGTCTGAGCTCTACTTAGTAAACATTAAAAAAAATATGCTAGTACCTATTGTGGCATTGATCCTGTTTTTTAATTGATGATTTCTACAATGAGATAGTAAGTTGTAGCTAATAAGACAATGTGCTGAATTAGTGTGATACTTCACTATGTAGAGATCTCATTCAACAAAGTGATTCCTTTACAGGTGTCTGCAGGGGTCTGTCCCACAGACCCTGACTCAATGGTGGGTGAATAAAGTACTCTGAAACGCAGATACTCTGCTTTGCCAGTCCAGCTGAGCATTTGGGCTGCTTACAGACTGCAGGCAGAGTGGTGTAAACATTTTTGACTGTGGCCCTGACCAACTACTAAGACTTGCATTTATTCAGTAACGACTAATTGACAAAGGCTTGAGTCAAAACCACTAAGGGGTAATTGACAGTGTGGACTTCTGATTAGAAAGAAATTAAGCACCTGTGGAAAGTCAAAGGATAGTCTTCAGACCTCACGAGTAAGCAAGCTAGTTACACAAACACCCCATATTCCTTTGTTTCTACTCTAACATATTTAAATAAAGGGAAAAGGCTGCCTTCATCCAAGTTTATTACTGGAGCTGATGCCAACCCCGCAGTCATTCCAGTAAGGTTTGCATCTGATAATTTTCCCCACCATCCTGACTGAACCCCCACAGATGTGAAAGCAGCAACAGGAATTGCTACAGTACAAACTAGTTTCTTTGGGAACTGAAAAAAACCATTGATTTCAATTTCAGTACATATTTTGCAACACTTAATATTTGATACAGAATAGAACTCTGGAGGTTTTCCTTCTTAAATCTGCTTTTTCAAAGTGAGCCAAAATGTGAAATCACATGATTTTGGTCTGTTAGTTTTTCCTTCACCTTTCACAATGTGGCACTGATTTTGATTGACATTTGAAGACAGAGACTAATTTATTAAAATATTTCTCCCTGTTCTTTTTCTTTTTGCTTTTAAACATCACAAGTGAAACTTCTGGTAATTTCAAGAGTGTACACTTTAAATAAGAATAAAAGCCAGTGGGCATCTGGCAAGATGGTTGAAAAAGAAAAGCTTTTGTTGGCAGCTCCCACAGAGACCAACAAAAGACCGGTAATTTCTGCATTTCCACCTAAGGTACCCAGTTCATCTCGTTGGGACTGGTTAGACATTGAGTGCAGCCCACAAAAGGCAGCAGATACAGGTGAGTGTTGCCTCACCAAGGAAGTGTGAGGGGCTGGGGACTTCCTCCCTAGCCAAGGAAAGCCATCAGGGGCTGTGCTATGAAGTCCACATCCTGCACATTTCTCACAGGTTTTGCAACTCACAGACCAGGAGATTCCCTAGTATGCCTATGCAACCACAGCCTTGGGTTTCAAGCACAAAACTGGGTGCCTGCTTGGGCAGAGGCTGAGATAGCTGCAAAAAAATATTATGTACCCCAGTGGCACCTGGAACCCCAGTGACAAAGAACCATTCACACCTCTGCAAAGGGGGCTAAAGCCAGGGAGCCAAGTGGTCTCACTCATCAGGTCTCACTCCCATGCAGCACAGCAAGCAGAGATGCACTGGCTTCAAATTCTCACTATCCACCTAGAAGTCTGAAGTCAACTTGGAATGATTAAGCTTGGTGGGGAGATGGTTGATCACCATTACTGAGACTTGAGTATAAGGATTTCCCCTCACAGTGTTAAGAAAGCTGCCAAGAAGTTTGGACTGCATGGGACTCACACAAGCAAGCAAAGCAGATGTGGCCAGGTTGGCTCTCTAGATTCCTCCTCACTAAGTAGGGAATCTCTGAAAGAAAGGCAGCAGCCCCAGTCAGGGACTTATATGTAAAAGTCCCATCTCTCTGGGAAAGAAACTGTGAGAAAAGGGATGGCTGGGAGTGCAGCTTCAGCAGACTTAAACATTCTTGCCTGCCTGCTCTGAAGAGAGCAGTGTATCTCCCAGAAGTGTGCTCGAGCTCTGCTCAGGGACAGACTGCCTTTTCAAATGTGTCCCTGACTCATGTGTCTCCTGACTAGAAGACACCTCCCAGCAGGGCTCAACAGATACTTCTACAGGAGAGCTCTGGCTGGCACCAGTTAGGTACAACTCAGGATCAAATCTTCCAATTACTGTTGTTCTGCAACTTCAGATGGTGACACCCAGGCAGACAGCATCTAAAGTAGACTGCCAGCAAACTCTAGCAGATCTGCAGAAGAGATGCCTGACTGTTAGAAGAAAAACTAACAAACAGAAATCAGTCACATCAACATCAACAAAAAGGACACACACACAAAACCCAATCCAAAGACTATCGGCATCAAAGATCCCAGGTAGATAAATCCACAAAAAATGAGGAATATCCAGCATAAAAGTGCTAAAAATTCAAAAATACTAGAATGCCTCTTCTCCTCCAAATGATTCCAAGCACTCTGCAGCAAGGGCACAAAAGTGGATGGGGAATAAGGTTGATGAATTGACAGAAGTAAACTTGAGAAAGTCGGTAATAACAAAATTCTCTGAGCTAAAGGAGCATGTTCTAACCCAATTCAAGGAAGATAAGAACCTTGATAAGTCATTACAGGAACTGCTAACAAAAATAACCAGTTTAGAGGAGAACATATATGACCTCATGGAGATGAAAAACACAGCGCAAGAAACATTGTGAAGCAAAAACAGGTATCAATAGCTGAATTGATGAAGATGAAGAAAGGATATTAGAGAATGAAGATCAACTTAATGAAATAAAGGATGAAGACAAGACTAGAGAAAAACGAATAAAAAGGAACAAACTAGCCTCCAAGAAATATGGGACCATGTCAAAAGGCCAAACCTACAATTGATTGGTGTACCTATAAGTGATGGGGAAAATGGAACCAAGTTTGAAAACACACTTCAAGGCATTATCCAGTAGAACTTCCACAACCTAACAAGACAGGCCAACATTGAAATTCAGGTAATACAGATAACACCACTAAGATACTCCTTGAGAAGAGCAACATGAAGACCTATAACTGTCAGATTCTCCAAGGTTGAACAAAAATAAAAAATGTTAAGGACAGCCAGAGAGAAAGGTCAGGTTACCTACAAAGGGAAGCACATCAGAATAACATCGGCTCTCTCTGCAGAAACCCCACAAGCCAGAAGAGAGTAGGGGCCAATATTCAGCATCCTTAAAGAAAAAAAAAAATTCAACCTAGAATTTTATATTCAGGCAAACAAAGCTTCATAAATAAAACAAAAATAGAATTGTTACAGACAATCAAAGGTAGATGGTTTTTGTCATCACCATGCCTGCCTTAGACAAGCTCCTGCAGAAAACAGTAAATATGGAAAGAAAAAACCTGTACTCACCACTGAAAAAAATGTCAAAATATAAAGACCAACAACACTATGAAAAAAGTGGATCAACTAGTATGCAAAATGACCAGCTATTATTGCTATGCCAGGACCAAATTGACACATAACAATATTAACCTTCGATGTAAATGACCTAAGTTTGCCAATTAATGTACACAGACTGGCAAATTGGATGAAGAGTAAAGACCCTGTGTTATTCTACATTCAGGAGACCCATCTCATGAGTGAAGACACATGTAGGCTCAAAAGAAAGGGATGGAGGAATAGTTTCCAAGCAAATGGAAAGTTAAAAAAAAAAAAAAGGATTGTAATCCTAGTCTCTCCTAAGACAAACTGTAAACCGACATAGATCAAAAAAGACAGAGTAGTTGCATAATGGTAAAGGGATCAATGAAACAAGAAGAGCTAATGATCCTAAATATATATGAACCTAATACAGTAGCACCCAGATTTATAAAGCAAGTTCTTAGAGACTTACACAGCCTAGACTCCCATACAATAATAGTGGGAGACTTTAACACCCCACTATCAATATTACACAGATAAATGAGACAGAATATCAACAAGAATACTCAAGACTTGAACTCAGCTCTTGACCAAGCAGAGCTAATAGATATCTACAGAAGTCTCCACCCCAAATCAACATAATGTACATTATTCTCAGCACCATATAGCACTTATTCTAAAATTGAGTACATAATTGGAAGTAAAACACTCCTCAACAAAAGCAAAAGAACAGAAATCAAAACAAACCGTCTCTCAGACCAGGGTGGACTAAAATTAGAACTCAGGATTAAGAAACTCATTCAGAACTGCACAACTACATGGAAACTGTAAAACCTGCTCCTGAATGACAACTGGGTAGATAACAACGTTAAGAAAGAAAGAAGTTGCTTGAAACCAGTGAGAACAAAGACACAACCTACCAGAATCTCTGGCACACAGCTAAAGCAGTGTTAAGAGGAAAATTAATAGCACTAAATGCCCACATCAGAAAGTGGGACAGATTTAAATCAACACTCTACAGTCAGAATGAAAAGAACTAGAGAGACGGGCATGGTGGCTCCTGCCTGTTATTTCAGCACTTCGGGAAGTTGAGCCAGGCAGTTAGCCTGAGTTCATGACTCCAAGACCAGCCTGGACAACCAGCATGGTGAATCTCTGTCTCTACAAAAATGTAGCCGGGCAAAATGGTGCACAACTTTAATCCCAGATACTCAGGAGGGTGAAGTTGGGTAATCTCTTGAACCCAAAAGATAAAAGTCGCAGTAATCTGAGGTCGCACCACTCCACTCCAGTGTGGGTGACAGTATGAGACACCTTAAAAAAATGAAAGAAAGAAAGAAAGAAAGGAAAAGAACTAGAGAAGCAAGAACAAACAAATTCAAAACCTGACACAAAAAAGAAATAACTGAGTGCAGAGCGTAACTGAAGGTGATAGAAACAGGAAAATCCTTCCAAAAATCCATGAATCCAAGAACATTTTTGTTGTTGCTGTGAGGATTAACAAAATAGATAGACTGCTAGCCAGACTAATAAAGAAAAAAGAGAGAAGAACCAATTAGACACAGTAAAAAAAAGGACAATGGAGATGTAACCACTGATCCCTAGACACACAAACTACCATAAAAGAATACTGTAAACACCTCTATGCAAATAAACTAAAAAATCTGGAAGAAATAAATTAATTCCTGGACACATACACCATTCCAAGACTAAATCAGAAAAAAAGTAGAATCCCTGAAGAGACCAACAAATTCTAAAATTGAGGCAGTAATTAATAGCCTACCAAACAAAAAATTGCCAGACCAGAGAGATTCACAGCTGACTTCTACCAGATGTGCAAAGAAAAGCTGGTGCTATTTCCTTCTGAAACTATTCCAAACAATAGAGAAAGAGGGACTCCTCCTGAACTCATTTTATGAGGCCAGCATCATCTTACTACCAAAGCCTGTCAGAGACGCAACAAAAAGAGAAAATTTCAGGCCAATATCCCTGATGAAAATTGAAGTGAATATCCACAATAAAATAATGGCAAACTGAATCCAGCAACACATCAAAAAGCTTATCCATACGATCAAGTCAGCTCCGTCCTTAGATTGCTAGTCTAGTTTCAACATATGCAAATCAATAAACATAATCCAGCATATAAAGAGAACCAATGACAAAAACCACATAATTATCTCTATAGATGCAGAAAAGGCCTTTGGTAAAATTCAACATCACTTTTTGCTAAAAACACTCAATAAACTGGGTATTGATGGAATGTATCAGAAAGTAATGGGAGCTGTTTGTGACAAACCCATAGGCAATGTCATACTGAATGGGCAAAACCTGGAAACATTCCCTTTGACAACCTAAAACAAAAGGCACAAGACAAGCATGGCCTCTCTCACCACTCCTATTCAACATAATATTGAAGGTTCTGGCCAGGACAATCAGGCAAGAGAAAGAAATAAAGGGTATTCAAATAAAAATAAAGGAAATCAAATTGTCCCTGTTTGCAGATGACATAGCTGTATCTTTAGAGTACCCCATTTTCTCAGCTCTGTACTCCTTAACAATAGACAAGGAACTTGTCTATTGTATATGTTTCTTAAGCTTGTAAAGAACACCAGCAAGGTCAGGCTACAAAATCAATGTGCAAAAATCACAAGCATTTCTATAAACCAATAGTAGACATACGAGAGCCAAATCATGAGCGAACTCAAATTCACAATTGCTCCAAAGAAAATAAAATTACTAGGAATGCAGCTTACAAAGCATGTGAAGGACTTCTTTATGGAGAGCTACAAACCACTGCTCAAGGAAATAAGAGAGGACACAAAAATATGGAAAAAAAATTATGTTCATGGACAAGAAGAATCAATATCGTGAAAACGACCATAGTGCTTAAAGTAATTCACACATCTACAATGATCTGATCTTCGACAGGCCTAACAAAAGCAAGCAACGGGGGAAGGATTCCCTGGTACTGGGAAAACTGGATAGCCATATGCAGAAAGCTGAAACTGGATCCCTTTCTTATAGCTCATACAAAAATTAACTCAAGATGAATTCAAATCTTAAACGTTAAATCTAAAACCATAAAACCCTAGAAGAAAACCTAGACAATACCATTCAGGATATAGGCATGGACAAAGGCCTCATGACAAAAACACCAAAAACAATGGCAACGAAATCCAAAATTGACAAACGGGACCTACTTCAATCAAAGAGCTTCTCCACAGCAAAAGAAAATATTGTCAGAGTGAACAGGGGACATACAGGATGTGAGAACATTTTTTCAACCTATCCGTCTGACAAAGATCTAATATCCAAAATCTACAAGAAACTTAAAAAGATTTACAAGAAAATAAAAAACAGACAAACCCCATCAAAAAGTGGGCAAAGCAAATGAACAGACACTTCTCAAAAGAAGACATTTAATCAGCCAACAAACATACATAAAAAAAGCTCGGCGTCACTTGTCGTTAGAGAAATGCAAATCAAAACCACAATGAGCTATCATCTCACACCAGTCAGGATGGCGACCATTAAAAAGTCAGGAAACAACAGATGCTACTGAAGTTGTAAAGAAATAAGAATGCTGTATACTGCTGGTGGGAATGTAAATTAGTTCAATCATTTTGGAAGACAGTGTGGTGATTCCTCCAGGATCTATAACCAGAAATACCATTTGACCCAGGAATCACATTATGTGGTATACACCCAGAGGATTATAAATCATTCTGCTATAAGGAAACATGCACATGTATGTTTATTACAGCACTACTCACAGACAAGAAAGACATGGAACAAACCCAAAAGCCCATCAATGATAGACTGGATAAAGAAAATGTGGCACATATACACCATGGAATACTATGCAGCCACTAAAAAGAGTAAGTTCATGTCCTTTTTCAGGGACATGAATGATGCTGGAAACCATTATTCTCAGCAAGCTAACACGGGAACAGAAAAGCAAACACTACCTGTTCTCATTCATAAGTGGGAACTGAACAATGGGAACACAGGGAGGGAAATATCACACAATGGGGCCTGTCGGGGAGTAGGGGGCAAGTGGAAGGAGATCATTAGGACAGATACCTAATGCATTCAGGACTTAAAACTTAGATGATGGGTTGATGGGTGCAGCAAACCACCATGGCACATGTACAACTATGTAACAAATCTGCATGTTCTGCACATGTATCCTAGAACTTAAATTATAATTAATAAAAAAAGTCGGGATAAATAACAAATCAAATAGTATCCATGAATTTATGATGACTCCCTATTTGGTTTTTACTAAATACTTTTTCTGTGTTTTGTGTCTCCAAGAAAGCAAAATAACAATGCATTGTACCAAACATTTTAAAAGAACTTACTAAAAAGCAATTCGAGTCAATCAATTCTTTTATCTCTTAATGAAAACAAGTGTGGGTTAAAAACCAGCTCTCCTAATGCTTGTCAGTGCCTCAAGGTGCTTAGGATAAAAATAAAACTTCCAAACTAAGGACACTTGGCAGCCTCCAGAACTTTAAGAAAAGCTGAGATATAAAGTATCCAGCCTCTGGCTCTTTCTGGGACAGCATGTCCAGTACCTTGGGGGCCCCTGGGCCCTGAAGGAAGGGCGGAGGTCGGGTAGGTGAGGGTGGTCTTTGGAGCCACTGCGGCTACTCATGGGACAGGTTGGAGTCTCAGCCTTCAGCAGAAGCAGCAGGCTTTCAGCCAGCAGTGTTTGGGGTGCCTGCCTGTTTTCCATCTCTATGTGATGTATCTGCTCAGGTTTTTACCCTGGACTTGGGTTGCTTATCTTTGTCAGTTTTAGAGTTTCTGTGAACTTTGTGCATACAAGTCACTTTTCAGGTGAGTTTGCTACATTTTTCTATCTGTGGCTGGTTTTTTGGTTCTCTTAACCAGATTTTTTTTTTTTTTTTTTTTTTTGAGGCAGAGTTTCATTCTGTCGCCAAGGCTGGAGTGCAATGACCCAATCTAGGCTCACTGCAACACCTATCTCCCAAGTTCAAGGGATTCTCCTGGCTCAGACTCCTGAGCAGCTGGGATTATAAGTGCATGCCAGAAATTCCAGTTAATTTTTTGTATTTTTAGTAGAGATGGGTTTTCACCATGTTTACCATGCTGATCTGGATCTCCTGACCTCAGGTGACCCAGCCGCTTCGACTTCCAAAAGTGCTGAGATTACAGGCTTGAACTGCCATGCCCAACTGTAGAAGGGTATTTCACAGAGTAGACATTTCAGCTTTCAATAAAGCCACTATTATCCTTTTTTTTTTTTCATGGACTTGCTAATAACTCATTACCAAACCCAAACCCATGAGGACATTTTCCAATTACAACTTTGCATTGAAAAATTTTAATGTATGGCTATTTTTGACTATTTTTTTTAGCTATGAAATTTGTATATATGTCCATTTGTTTCCATATAGTTTCCAGCTGTTTTCTTGCCCCTTGTGGAATAGACTTACCGTTTCCAAATTTTTTACATTTTTTTGACATGTTTGTCACAATTTTGACAAATTTTTTTTACATTTTTGACAAAATCAGTTGACTTGGGCCTGTGTGGGGGCTGTCTATTCTGTCCACTTAACTACTTGTCTGTTAAATCATCAATGCCACACTCTTGTTTGCTAAGCTAGCTTTAGTGTAAGTATTCATATCCATATGTGTAAGTCCTTTAGCTTTTTTCTTCTTCAGTCTTATTTCATCTATTCTAGGTTTAGGAAGAGATTGTTGATATATTTGCCTGGAATTTGATTGGGATATGACTGAAATATTAATACATGTGTACTTCTCCAGAACAAGACACATCTCTTCCTTTATTTATTTATTGAGAAAGAGTCTTGCCGTGTCACCAAGATTGGAGTGTAGTGGCACGATCTCCGCTCACTGAGATTCTCCCACTTCAGCACCACAAGTAGCTGAGATCACAGGCATGCACCACCAAGCTCAGCTTAATTTTTGTATTTTTGGTAGAGATGGGGTTTCACCATGTTCCTCAGGCTGGTCTCTAACTCGTGGACTCAAGTGATCTGCCCACTGTAACCTCCCAAACTGGTGAGATTATAGGCATGTTCCACTGTGCCTGGCCTGTATGCATTTACTAATATTTCTTTTGATTTCTCTCAGTTGTGACTGATTGTTTTCTGAATGAACTTTGCCTATTTTGTTACATTTATACTTAATGGATTCAATTTTGTAGGAAGTATTGTAAATGGTGGTTAAGTATTTCAAATTCCAATGATTTCTATTCATTATTGCTGATATAGAGAAAATCAACTGAGTTTTGTCTATTGACGATCTTCTTTGCTTCTTTTTATATCCATTCAAGGTATGGGAAGGTTGGCTCTATTTCACTTCCACTTCCTGAGATGACCGCCTGGATTAACCCACCCTGAATTTCAAAGATTTCCCAGGGCTACTACCGGGGGAGGGGGCATGGGGCAGATGCACTGAGCTTGCAAACCAACTCTCTGAGGGGCAGGGTGTTCTCACAGTGACTTGGACAGAGATTCCTTCTCCTCAGGACACACCCAGAAGAGGCCGTTGTTTTAGGGTACCTGGGGAACCTATGGCCACGTTCATGGTGCAGACTAATGCTACTTCATTTCAGGACCCACCCAACAGTGGCCTCAGCTTGGGGACATCTGGAGTCGCATCCACCATGAGGACGAAGCCTCCTTCTCTTCTGGACCTGCCCAGGAGTGGCCGTTGCTACAAGACCTCTGTTGCTACGTCCAGGGTGAGAATAAAGACTTCTCCTCAGGACTCTCCCAGGAGAAGACATGGCATTGAGACATCTGGTGGCCAGGTGAGGAAAAGACACCCTGTCTGCAGCACCCAATACTGATGAGGGGCACTGTCCTGGGCCTTACTTCCCAGTCCTGGCCTCCACTTCTGACTTTACAAAAGTGTCCCTTGAGTGAGGCAGTGACCACGCATTTTAACGGCTACCAAAGTGTGGTTTGCAGATGATCTGGACTTGTTTCTGGGGGTAGAGTCTGTTACAGAGAAAGGAGAGGTGCTGAGTGGAGCCACCGTGACAGGCTCTATCAATACTTTTTTTCGTGCTTTAATGACTCATTTTTCTTAGAGAACTAAAGTATATAGTTGAAACAATATAGAAAAATTTTAAGTAGGCATATTAGAACTCGAATTATTATTTAAATTTAAATATATGATGTATGCCTGGTTAGCAACATTTTTTCTTTTCCTGAGACAGTCATAGTTTAACTGAGAATGCATTGGTAGTGATAATGAAAATGTCTGTTTTATAAGGATTGACATCCTACATTAGCTGAGATATACTAACAATATCAAACTTTGATATTATACCATAAAATTAATTGAATTCTGAGCCAAATATGAGTGACAAATGGTCCATGACACAGCCCTACTCTGGAGATCCTGAGAACATGTGCTCCAGGTTGTGTATTCACAGCCTACATTTATGCATTTTAGGGAGACATGAGACATCAATCAAACGCATGAAGATGTACATTGGTTTGGTCCAGAAAGGACGCACAACTTGAAAATAGCCATGGTGCAGGTCTGGGCTTTCAAGTTACAGGTAGATTTACATATATTTTACTTGGCAGTTGGCTGAAAGAGTTAAGTTATTATCTAAAAACATGGAATCAGTAGATGGGAATGACTGGGTTACAATAAATAATAAAGGCTGTAGAGACCAAGTTTTATCATGATGATGAATCCTCCATGTAGCATGCTTGAGAGAATAAGAGGTAAATATTTCTTATTAGACTTAAGGTATAGGTCGCTGTTAATGATGGTCAACTTTTTCTAAAGTTCAAAAGGGAGGAGCGTGTAATGAAGCATGTCGGTCCCTCTTTCCTGTCAGGACCTGAACCAATTTAGGAATGCCCCTGGTCAAAAGGAGGGCTCTATTCTGATGCCTGTGGTGGGGGCGGGGGAGGAGGGGCAGAAGAGTTATTTTTTTTTTTTACAAGTGTTTCACTTCTGTTTACAAAAGTATAACCTTCTAAATTGTTATAAATTATAATTAGTCTAAGACCTAAAAGGGATTTCTTTCATCAAAAAAAAAAAAAAAAAAATAGAACATTAAAAAACCTAAGCCACGACACCTTGCCAGATTATTTTTTTCTTTCTGTTTCTACAGTTGCCAAGGATGCTTTGCTTATAAGTCATATAGTTGACTCATTGACCATCTGGGTATAGTTCTGTTGCTTCTTCCAAAATTGTACCTAGTAACCTTCAAAAATTGTTATGAAAAAGTGTCTTAAATTGTAGAAATAAACAAAATGAAAAGACACTTTTAAACAATGCTGGGATTTATCAAATGACAGAAGAAATTTCTACTGTTTTTTTTTCTTTTTGAGACAGGGTCTCACTGTGTGGCCCAGCCTGGAGTGCAGAAGTGCCGTCATGGCTCACTGCAGCTTCTAACTGCCTAGCTCAATTAATCCTCTGTCTTAGCCTCAGTCACCATGTCTGGCTAACTTTTTGTATTTTTAGCAGAGACAAAGGTTTGCCATGTTGCCTGGGCATGTCTCAAACACCTGGAATCACAAGATTTGCCTGCATTGGCCTCCAAAAGTGCTGAGATTATAGGCATTGATAAGACATTTATGTTAGGGTTAGATAAAAATCAATATTTTGGCTAAGTTATGAAGATGCATATAATGCAATTATTAATTTATGCCTAATTTTCATCATTTTCTTTCCTTTTTTTTTTTTGAGACGGAGTCTTGCTCTGTCACCCAGGCTGGAGTGCAGTGGCGTAATCTTGGCTCACTGCAGGCTCCGCCTCCCGGGTTCACGCCACTCTCCGGCCTCAGCCTCCTGAGTAGCTGGGACTACGGCCGGCTACTTTTTGTATTTTTAGTAGAGACGGGGTTTCACCATGTTGGCCAGGATGGACTCCATCTCTTGACCTCGTGATCCCCCCGCCTCAGCCTCCCAAAGTGCTGGGATTACAGGCATGAGCCACCATGCCCAGCCAATTTTCATCATTTTCAATGTCAACATTACTCATTTTAAAATCATACTCAAGGCATAAGGCAAAACCACTTATGAACTGGCATATTTGTTTATTTCTCTGTGAAAATGTCCTTAGTTTGTTCACAGTACAAAAAAAATTCAATTATGTTATGCAAAAAACAGAAGAGAATCTTCTTTGCAATTAATTTTATAGTTACCTTGATACAGGGAATGTACTATCTATAAAAAATAAATGTTAACTGAACTACAGTTAGTTAAACACTGAAAAAAATTAAGTTTATTATATTTTATTTTATCCTATCAATTAATTGTATTTATATACAATCTAGAAAGTTACAGCCATCAACAGTTCTAATGCAGTTTCAGGTGAAATGGGAATTTGGAAATCTCTGTGGAGCTTTAGGTGTAGTGAAATATTTAGGTAAAATATGTGCATGCTTTTGGCAGCACTTGTGAAGGGATGTCTCTCAAATTGACCTCAATACTTTCCTTCTCAGCAAAATGACCTGGGCCACTCAACATGGCTTTCATTGTTGTTGATGTTCGTGCATGTTCGCCTTTTACCATAAATTTTTGACTCTGAAGATATCCATTTGACATCGTGGCTTTAGGGCTTTCAAAACCACTGTAGGTTTTCTACTCTTCATCCACCACGTACTTACATAATTCTACTTTGATTCCCCAGGAACTTGACTACTTTCTGGTTAGCCCTATGGCCAGTGCAGCCCAGCTCCCAGTGTAGCAGCACTGACTCGACTCCAGGGCTATCCCCCACACCCAGCTTGTGGCTCCTATGGGTTCCAGGGAAGTTGGAAGACAGGCTGCTTGTTGTTTTCACAAATAAAATTGTTGTATTAATTTCATTTTCATATGGTTTATTACTAGTGTACAGAAGTAGATTTTATTATATTGATATTTTATAATGTATGTTTGTTTAGTTTGTTTACCAGATGTCATGATTTCTTGTTGGTTTCTTATGATTTCTTTATAGGAGATCATAAGACCCAAGGGTAGATAGTTTTACTTTTTTTATTTTTATTTTTCCACATATGAATGGCCAAAACAATTGGAAATATATACATATTTTGCTAGAATATCCATCCAAAACAATTGGAAAAATATATATTCACATATATATTTATATATAAATATCTATATGTAAAAATATATATAATAATATATGTGCATATAAATATTTGTATATGTATATATGTGTATATATAAATATTTATATGCACATATACTACATATATCATATATATATATATATTTCCAATTGTTTTGGATGGAAATTCTAGTACAGTGTAGAATACAGTGATGAAATTTAGCATCAATGCTTTGTTCCTCATCTTAAACTTTGATTCCCAACAATTCAGATGCTGATTGTTACAGGTTTTGCACAAAGACGTGTTATGTGAAAGAAATTTGAAGCACAGTTTATTGGATGTTGTTATCATTAAACACGTTGACTAACTTTAAGTATTTTCCATAACAGTTGAGATAAACATGTACTGTTTTCCCATGATTTAGTTTACATGGTATATTGAAAAGGGATGGCTTCAGAATGTTGAAAAACCCTCAATTTTCAAAACAAACAAACAAACAAACAAACAAACAGAAAAATCTTAATCATTGAGGTGCATAATGTCTTCCCCATGTAGCAAATTTCAGGTACTAGTTTTTGGTTAAACATTATAATGACTTTAATTGTCATATTTCTTAACATTTAGTGTTTTGTCCTAGTGATATCATCTGTTTAATTCAATTTTCAATTGGAATTAATGAGAGGTAAGGTTTAGTGTACTCTTAAGGGCATTAGGGGTTAGAGGATAGAGTCAAAGGTTATATATTTAAAATTATTTTGAAGGGTGATATGGTAATACTAAGGATGGGAGAGAAGTTTGGGATTAGGAATAGGGGTTTACAATTGCAGAAAAAAGGTTAGATTGAGGGTTAGGTCTGGGGTTGACTTAAAGGTTCGTGTGGTGGTAGGATTAGGGTTATGGTTAGGATTAGAATTTGGGACCGTTGTCGAGGTTAAGGTAACGTTTAGGGCTAGAGTTAGAATCAGGATTAGAAGTTAGGTTTGGGTCAGGTTATGCTTAGGCTTAGGGTAAGAGATAGGCTTACAGTTAGATGTTGGGGTTAGTGGAGGGTTAGGTTCTGGGTTAACTCCATGGTGAGGGTTATGGTTAGTGCTAAGGGTGAGAACTAAGGCGACAGTAAGGGTTAGGGTAAGAGGGTTAGTGTATTAGCGTTAGGGTTTGGGTTTACTGTTGGTGTTAGGATAAGAATAAGGATTTGGTTTAGGGTTTAGAGTTCAGGTCCTGGTTAGGGTTTCAGGTTAGCATTAGGGTTAGTGTTTAGGGTTCAGTGTTAGTTTTAGGGTTATTGTTTAGCACTTAGGTTTAGGTTTAGGGTTGGTTGAGGGTTAGGATAAGGGGTTAGGGTTTGGCATAGTGTTAGAGTTTAGAACTCTAGGATAAGGGGTTAGGGTTAGGTTTAGGGTTGGGTTAGGTTAAGGGTTAGAGCTTAAGGTTAATGTTGGGACTGGATTTATTGTATAGGATCATAGTTTGGATTTAGATTTTAGTGTTAAAGCTAGGGTCAGATTACTGTTTGGGTTACGTGTTTGGGTTAGGGTTTATGATTAGGCTAAAATCAATGTTTAGTATTAGGTTTAATATCAGGGTTTAGGGTATGGCTAGGGTTAGTGTTCTAGGTTATTTGGGTTAGGATTAGTGTTAGGGCTTTTGGGAGTTAAGGTTAGTGTTAGGGGTTACATTTAGGTCTAGGATTAGGTTTACATTTTAGTGTTTGTGTTATGGTTATGATTAGTTGTGAAAATAGGGGTGGGTGTAATATTTTGGGTTAACTTTAGGTTTAGGATTAGGTTTACATCTTAGTGTTTGTGTTATGGTTATGATTAGTTGTGAAAATAGGGGTGGGTGTAATATTTTGGGTTAACTTTAGGTTTAGGTTTACTGGTAGAGGTTTTAGCTTAGGGTTAGTGTTAATTGTGAGGGCTAGGTTGAGGGTTTAGTGTGTATGCTTAGGTTTAATGTTAGGTTTTGTGTTAGCATTGATTCCTACTTTTAGTTTCAGGATTATGGTGATGTTTATGTTAAGATTATGGTTAGGTTTATTTTTTAAGCTGATGGCTTTGGTTAGGGATAGTGTTAGGTTTTGGGTTGAGTTGCGGTTGGAGTATGCATAGGGTTAGGGTTAGTGTTAGTGTTACAGGATAAGGCTATGGTTAGCGATTAGGTTTAGGGTTAATGGGTTAGGGTTATGGCATAGGTTTAATGTTAAACTTAGTGGTTAGGGTGAAGCTTAGTTTTAGGCTTTAATTAGCGTTAAGGTCAGCATCTGGGTTCAGCATTACATGTTAGAGTTTAGGTTAGGTTTTATTGTTATGGATTAGTCTTTAGGGTTGTTGTCAGCTTTAGGATTTTGGAATTAGTGGTTGTGTTTGTTTGCAGTTGGTGGTGTGTTTGCATTTAGGGTCAAGGTCAGAATTAGAGCTTAGGGTTAGGTTTAGCATTAGGCTTGCGTTAAGGATTAGGGTTACATGTTAGTATTTAAGATTAGGGTTTTGGTTGGGTGAGTGTTAGTGTTTGGTTTCAGTGTTTAGAGTTATGGCTGGCATTGCAGATGGTTTAGGGTTACAGTTAAGGTTTTAGGTTTGGGGTTAGGAATTGGGTTTCCATTAGGGTTATGGTTAAGGATTAGGTTTGTAGTTAGGGTTGGTGTAGCGTTGGTGTAGGTTATGTTTGGGATTATGGTTTATTACTAGGGTTTAGGTTTGTGTATCTGTGTTTGGGTTAAGTTTGGTGTTTTGGTTAGTTTTATAGTGCTAGGCTTAGAATTATAGGGCTAGTTTTTCAGTTAGGGTTTGGGTGAGGTAATGGTAGTGGTAGGGTTATAGTTTAGCATTAGAGTTAGGGTTTTTTGTGTTAGGGTTTGAGTTTTTTTTTGTTTTGGTTAAGGTCGGCTCAGCACTACTTTTGCATCAGTGTCAGTGTCATGTTTAGGGTTATGGGTTGGAATTGGGTTTAGTGTTATGGCTTAAGGTCTGGGTTGTTTTTGGCATTGGGGTTAAAGTTAGGGTTATGGTTGGGGTTGCGTTTGATGTTGTGGGTTAGAGTTAGGGTTAGTGTTAGTGTCAGTGTTTTAAGGATAGGGTTATGGTCAATGAATTGTTAGAATTAGGGTTAGGGGGTAGAAGTTTGGATTAGGGATATTGGTTAGATGTTGGACTTACATTTTTAAGGTTAGAGTTTTAGTTTTATGGTTACAATTAAGGTTGCTTTTAGGGTTAGTTTTGAAGGTAGCTTTTGGGGTTAGAGTTAGAGTTGGGATTAGTGTTCAGAGTTTACAGTTAGTGTTCGATTTAGGGTTTGGTTTAGTATTTAGGTTAGGGTTTTGGTGAGTGTTATGGTTTAGGGTAGATTCAGGGTTTTAGTAGGTTTAGGTTTAGTGGTAGGTGTATGTTTAGGGTTATAAGTAGGGGTAGAGTTACATTTAGGGTTAGGGATATGTTTTGTTAATGGTGCAGGTTGGGTTTATGTGAGGATTAGGATTAGGGCTTGAGGGTTATTGTTAGTGTTTCAGCATTAGTATTAGGGGTCATTTTTAGGTTTACACATCTTTTTCTTTTTCAGCCATCTCCACCCATGGACCAACCAGCCCATTCTCTCTGCCCATGTGCATTCTGAGGTCCATATATATTCCATACTTATTTAGGTTATTTATTTAATTACATATGTATTTATTTATATTTGTATTTATTTATTTTTACTTGTATTGATTTATTTTTATTTTGTTTTTTTTGGAGATGGAGTTTCGCTCTTGTTGCCGTGGCTGGAGTACTATGGTGTGACCTCGGCTCACTGCAACCTCTGCCTCCCAGGTTCAAGCGATTGTCTTGCCTCAGCTGCTGAGTAGCTGGGACTAAAGGCATGCACCATCACATCTGTCTAATTTTGTATATTTATTAGAGACAGGGTTTCTCCATGTTGGTCAGGCTGGTCTCGAACTTTCAACCTCAACCTGACTTAACGTAGATTTACCAAGTGTGTGCCACCTCTCCGCTGTGAGGTGTACACTTATTGGGATTGCATGGCTGCAAATAGATAGGTCTCCTCCAAACTTAAAGCTGCAGATGCATTTCAACAACATTCCTGCAGATAGAAGCTACCCACTCTGAAACTTCTCTCCACTGAGGACTTCAGAGATGTTTTAACAACCTACTTTTCCACTGAAGCTGGTCACTATTGGTTCTGTCTTCAGTGAGTGTTGCACAGATGCAGGTATGTCCTGTTTTTGAAATGGAGTTACCTGCTTTCTGTCTCCTGAGAGCTGTACTTTCACTCAATGAAGCATCTATTTACCTTGATTATTCTCCTGTTGTTCACATACCTCATTGTGCCTGGATATGTGTCAAGAACTCAGGACCCACTTAATGGTGAACCCGAAAGATTGCTAACAGAAACAGCGCCGAAACACACAAACCCACACTTACCACATTCTCGGTTACAGGGATAAAACAAAAAAGGATAGAAGAGGTTCAGGTAAATTATGGGTGATTTATCAGTTTAATTTTGATGAAATCATATGTACATTAAATTTTTAAAATATATCTTTAAAATACATAATTTATTTGATGGGCAATATTTAAACAATAGTAATATTTTAGCTGTCTTTCTCGGTCATTTTTATTATTATTATCCTAATAGGAAAAGGTTAAAATTGTCACAGCAGAGACAGGCACTATATTATTGATCTCTTAAGGTGTCATTAACTTCTTAATATAAGACAATTTATAATCTATATAATCAAAATATAAAAATGAAGTCATCTCTTTGATTTAAAAGTTCTCAGATGAAGCAATTGTCAAGTACATATTTTTATCTCTATGGATATTTTAAGGCAACTCTAAATATTTTTTAAAAATATGACCAGGGCACTGTTATCACACATAATACAAATTAGTTTACAAGCTTGGGAAAAGGGGCAGAACCCTGTCCTTACAAAAAAATACAAAAATTATTCAAGTGTCGTGATATCAGCCTTGTAGTATCAGCTACTTGGAAAGATAAAATACCATTTCATTTGTTAACTTTTGATATTTGTTTACACTTTCTTCATTACATTGTTCAAGTTAGAGTAGTTCATCAATGATGTCTTTTAGTTTGTAGAGCAACATTTATCTTTGAGATTTTGTATAATAGTCACCTCAAAAGTCAACATTTTCATCATCAAATAAACATTTTTATTATCAAATGAATATTTTAGTCACTGACAAAAAAGTACTGCTTCCTAGTCCTGCAAGAAAATATATTTATATGATATACTTATATGTAAATACATAATATATAACTCTATATAATATACATATATGTTTTGCAAGCCTGAATGTAATCATAATTTTTGAGCCTTTTACAAAAGTGACCAATAACACTTGGTCCGTTTTTAGATTTGAAAATGTTCAATTGGGCCAGGCTTAGTCATGCACACTGATAGCCTTAGCACTTTGGGAAGCCAAGGCAGGTAGATTACTTGATCTCAGGAGTTAAAAAAAAAAGCCTGAGGTACATGCTGATATCCCATCATTACTAAGATGCAGTAGAATGGCTGAATGTTATGGTCTGCACAAGTAATCTCATCTACCTTTGACACTGAGGTGAAAACATCCCCTGAGCTGTAATTGTTTTGCTACTCTGCAGACTGAGTAATGAAGAGAACACATGCCACACACACACACACAAAACTTACACACACAACCACACACACACACACACACACACAGAGAAAAAAATGGCTTAATAACATCTTAATTTTTTTTTCCTTTGTTTCACTCATTTTATCAAGGCCACATTTGTGGCATGTATGGTAATAAAACACTGTTGCACAACTTTTTATTATATGATGTAGTACATAGCTCTTTCTAGTTTATAGAAGAAGCTGCACCCCTTCATAAGAGTTTACTGTTCTTTCAAGAAGGTAGTTCTTAGATAGCTCAGAGACAGGAAGAAAAAGGGATCTTCTGATTTCTGGGCTGCCTTCTGTTTCACTCACAGCAGTTCCACTTCTATGTACTAGAATATCACTTAGATTTCTTTTAAAAGTCATTAGTGCACCAGTAATGCACTGACTTCCCATTATAACTTTCAGTATAAGTTTCTAAATTTCATAGCTAAACTGTAAGCCTACGTTATGAGTATGATTTGCATATATAATTCTAATTTACATATTTCAGTTCTTTATCCTCACATATCCCTCACTCTTGTTTTTTCTTGTGTCAACAATTTATTTTCTTTCTTTTTTTTTTTTTGCAATCCTTCTTTGAGAATTTATTTCATCTCTCTTCTTTTTTTTATTATTATTATACTTTAAGTTTTAGGGTACATGTGCACAATGTTCAGGTTAGTTACATATGTATACATGTGCCATGCTTGTGTGCTGCACCCATTAACTCGTCATTTAGCATTAGGTATATCTCCTAATGCTATCCCTCCCCCCCTCCCCCCCTCCCCCCACCCCACAACAGTCCCCAGAGTGTGATATTCCCCTTCCTGTGTCCATGCATTCCCACATTGTTCAATTCCCATCTGTGAGTGAGAACATGCGGTGTTTGGTTTTTTGTCCTTGCGATAGTTTACTGAGAATGATGATTTCCAATTTCATCCATGTCCCTACGAAGGACATGAACTCATCATATTTTATGGCTGCATAGTATTCCATGGTGTATATGTGCCACATTTTCTTAATCCAGTCTATCATTGTTGGACATTAGGGTTGGTTCCAAGTCTTTGCTATTGTGAATAGTGCCGCAATAAACATACGTGTGCATGTGTCTTTATAGCAGCATGACTTAGACATTTATGCAGCCAAAAGACACATGAAAAAATGCTCATCATCACTGGCCATCAAAGAAATGCAAATCAAAACCACAACGAGATACCATCTCACACCAGTTAGAATGGCAATCATTAAAAAGTCAGGAAACAACAGGTGCTGGAGAGGATGTGGAGAAATAGGGACACTTTTACACTGTTGGTGGGACTGTAAACTAGTTCAACCATTGTGGAAGTCAGTGTGGCGATTCCTCAGGGATCTAGAACTAGAAATACCATTTGACCCAGCCATCACATTACTGGGTAACAAGTTATTTTCATTAGTTTTCTCTATTCAAAACACTCCTTTTTCTGCAATCTAGTCAATGTTTCTGTTCTTGTTCTTTGAACTTATAATAATACTTTGAGCTTCTGTCTTCAAAACTTTCACTCAAAAATTTATGTGTGCGTACATCTACGTGTGATTATTTGCAACAGTTTGGCACCAGGGATGGGTTTTGTGAAGACAAGATTTTTCATGACCTGGCGTTGTGGAGACAGTTTTGGAAAGATTCAAGTGCCCCGCATTGTTTTTTTGCTTTATTACTGTTATTATTACATTATAATATTTAATGAAATAATTATACAATTCACCATAATGTAGAATCAGTGGGAGCCCTGAACTTATTTTCCTGCAGCTAGATTGTTTTCTCTGTGGGTGATGGGAGACAGTTACGGGTGATCAGTTTTTTGATTGTTATAAAGAGTGCAAAAGCTAAATTTCCTGCATGTGCAGTTAATAGTTGTGCTCTCACTTCTATAAAAATCTGATGCTGCCACTGAACTTACAGAAAGTGGATCTCAGGCAGTAATATGCACCATACATAGTGGTTTAAATAGAGATAAAGCTTCCGTACTTGTTCACCGCTCACCTGCTGATGTGTAGCCCAGTTCCTAAGAAGACACAGATGAATACTGGTTGAGGAAACCCCAACTGAAGCCAAAGAGTTTGAGACCATAGTGAACTGGAATTGTGCCGTGCATTTTAGCTTCAGTGACAAGGAAATAACCTGTCCTCACAGGAAAAAGAAGTAAAGAATATATTTTATAATTTGTATTTTAAATACTATCTTTTGATACAAACGTGAGAAATCTTTTACAACTTTAAATGGGGACATTAACAGTCATCAAAATGTTCTTGATTCTTGGGAATAGGATATCAAATGGAAGGTGCAAATGCACATCATTGTAAAATGTGATAAAAAGTACGTTTTTTTCAGCTTTGAAAAAAAAAATTATCTCTTTGAACACAACCAGAAGACATTAGAAGTGTTTGTGCTCATGCAAAAAATTAACTTCTGCTTTCTCTTTACTCTTTTAGTGGTATCAGAGAGGTAGTCAAGATGATAACTTGTTTAAAGGGAAATGCTATTGACAAAATAGAGTGACTGACTAGGGAAAAAAAGTGATTCTTACTAGGTTAATAATTTTGGATGTAAAATAATCTCCCAGATTGCTTTCATCCCTACTCTAAAATAAATTGCAATTTAATGATTGAATCTTGAAGAGTTGACAGAAGAAAGCATTTTTCTCTTTCTAGTATAGATACATCTATACTATAAGCAAAAACTTATAAGTCTAAAAGCGAAAAACTTCCTTAATTTTATGGGGTTACAACAAATTTTAACAACCACTTGTTTCACAAACAGATTTCTTTCTTTAGGCCTAACCAGCTAATTTTATTTCTCTGCAATTTGATTGGGAGATGTAATGGTAAAATATATTTGAAGATATTATATGTTAAATAACATGTATGTCTTTCTTGACCTTCATAACATCTGACCTCCAAGCTGCCTGCATTATTTCGCACTTACCTGCCATTTAAATTGTGGTTTATTTTTAACATCATACTGCTTGCTATTTACACCTCTGAGACTTGAAACAATTGCTTTTCACCCTACCTGCCACTCAATCCACACCTTTTAAATTAATTATATATAGGTTTTACCTTTTTATAAGACAGACAGAACAGCCTTGCCAACAGGGTGAAGCCCCATCTCTACTATAAATATGAAAATTAGCCAGGTATGGTGGCAGATGCCTGTAATACTAGCTACTGGAGAGGCTGAGACAGGTGAATCGCTTGAATCTGGGAGGTGTAGGTTGGATCTGGGAGGTGTAGGTTGCAGGGAGGCGAGATTCTGCCATTGCAATATAGCCTAGGTGAAGAGAGTGAAACTCTGTCACACAAAATGGACAGTGAGGATTAAATTTATTAATATGTGTGCGGCTTTTTAATGTATTACCTTGTCTTTAAGCACTATAAGTATTAGCTGCTATTATTATTGCTTACTATATATCTTTAGTTTATTCACACCAAATTCTGCTTAATCGCATACAAGAAAACATTAGAGAAGTAA
The DNA here is from genome assembly GCF_000001405.40 of Homo sapiens. Lineage (NCBI taxonomy): Eukaryota > Metazoa > Chordata > Mammalia > Primates > Hominidae > Homo > Homo sapiens. The sequence goes on from NC_000024.10 coordinate 18,542,264, forward strand.
CACAGATAGTAGTGGCTATATGGAACCACATAGCCATCAGTGTCTGTGTCAGTAATGTTTTCTGGTGTGCAACAAATAAGAGACTTTTTACATACACACGTTCTTCAAACATAGATTTCTCTAAACATATATTAAAATGTTTGAAAACAAAAACAATACTACAGTAAAATGTAACAAATTTAAAAGCCATTAGATTATAACTGTCTACATAACATTTACATTTTACTAATGATTTATGCAAAGTTAAAGTAAACTACACAGGAGGATGTGGGTGCATTATATTTACATACTACACCATTGTAAATCAGAAGCTTGAGCAGACACAAATTATAGTATTTAAGAGGGTTCTGGAGCCAATCCCCTACAGATACCAAAGGATTGCTATATATAAATATTTTAAGCTTTGGTAAGAAAGTATTGCTTAAGTTAGTTATGGCATAATTACCCTAATGATGTTAATGATTATTTACTTTTCTTTTTAAAATAAATTTAAAAGATTATAAACTTTAAAATTATCATTAAATTGTTTTAATGTTTGTTCAGGAAATGAGAACATTTGTACCTGTTCTCTGTTTATGGTATGTTAACACAGTTAAGCACTTGCTATTTAAATAATTTTCTTTTGTTTCTGTGGCCAACACAAATGATTTGAGTACGACTAAAATAATGTGCAATTACATTCGGTGATTATTTTGAATTTCCTTGGGAGCTGGATATGGGACCTTACACAGCAGCATGCATTGCAAAGCTGGAACAGAATAATTTCAAGTCAGAAAATCAGTTGATTCAACAGAAAGAGTAACCTGAAAATAAAACTACAAAGATCACAAAATACAGACTTGCAGATGTGCCTGTACACAGTGGTCTAGCAAGCAGTGGGTATTATTATTCTTATATTATTCAAACAATGGTAGGATGATGACTGCGATTCCTGGTATAAATTTGATGATGAAGATTTAGCAGAATTTAAAATGGATGATGATCAAGAAATTTTAAAAATCAGTGTTTGGATGGAGAGTACATAAATATATTTGATCATACGCTGAAGTGCATGTCACATAGACGGTAAAAGAGCTGGTAAATTGCTTATATAATTTTCAAACAATAAACAAATGGACATGATAGATGAAGATGATGAGATGATAAGATATATATTATGGCTAACTCTTGTGAGACCTCATCACATTATTATGTCACCAGCCTTTGAGAAAAGTGTATACTAACAAAATGTGACACTTACGCAAAAGTGAAAGCAATAAAGTTGAGAGCATTTGCAGTTTGTGAAAGAACTGCTTATATATATTGGTGTTTATTGAAGTCCTGTTCATGATAAGCTTTTTGATTACCTTCTTAGTAATAAAAATAATGTATGCTTGGCTTGTATGATTCTTTACAAGGCATCAACATGTGTTTAATACTTTTCTTCAGTCTTCTTTTAGCTTTTTTCATGGCATCATTAGCCTTAATTTATGTGAATGTGTAGCCTTTCTATTTTAGTTATTTCAAAGTAAGAAAAAATTAAGATGTCTGTACCTTAAAATAGTGGACTTTATGTATGGAAATATGAAGCACTTTTATTTATTACACAAATTATTATTTTTTACTGAAGCATGAGCTTGAAATGCGGGTTAGTGAAGCGGCAGGATAATCACTGAAAATTGGTCTTACCTAGCAAAAATTTTATTAAGAAAGAGCTTGAAAATACAAATGTTTTTGACTGTATATATACTTTTTATTTAGAGCAGAATTATTTTTCTGCCTGCATCAAATTAAATGACTATCATTAGCATACAGTTTGCACCTATATTCCTCATTACCACTGGATTTTACATTAAAAAAATAGCTTGTGGTCCTGCCAGTGACTGGTATTTGGCTTTGGATTTTATTCACAGGGAACTTATAATTGGTTTGGTTGTCTATTATCCTGCTTTACATTTTCCTAACCATAAAAATATTATTTCAGATTTTAAATATGCATAAACTTTTTTTCAGTAATTGTGAGAGAATTCTTAGTACATTTAAAATTGTCTAATCTAAATGTGTGTTTATTATGTAAAAATTGGCTTCTACTCCAATACATTTATATTACACCTTTTTCCACTTTATCATTAAGTATGAAGTTTTACCTTTACTAGATAAAATATTAAGTGACAATTAAAAAGATACAACATATTTTAGATGACATTTTTTGCCTCACATTTGTAATTCCAATAATTTGGAAGGCCAAGGCAAAAAGAATGCTTGAGGCCAGGAATTTTGAACCTGGTTTGGCAAAATGTGAAACACTATCTCCACAAAAGCTTTTTAAGAAATAGGAAGATATCGTGGCTCACACTGGTGACCTTAGCAATTTGTAAGTCCAAGGTGGGTGGATCACTTCAAGCCTATAATTTCGGGCCAGCCTGAACAACATAGCAAGATTCTGTCTCTAAAAAAATTAAAATAATTCATTAAATTGAATAATTATCTGAGCCTACTAGGCGTTTCCTGCAGAACCAGCTAATTGGGAGGCTGAAGCGGCAAGAACATGGGTAGCACAGGCTGTCACTAAGAAGATCAGACAGACATCTTATTCTTTTTTATAGCTAAGTGGATACAGCCTACTGAACATTTATGTTTTTCATATAAAATTTCTTATTTTCTTGCTTTTTTATGACTAAAAGTAGGCTTCCAGTTTGGAGTCAGGGGACACCTTTAGCTGAGCCATCTCCCCCTGAACACACCAAGGCATTCTTCCTCCCTAAACTGTCACCTATCTTAGCTCCCCAAAATGCTCAGCCACAATTTGTCTTAGATTATCCTACATTTAATGTGATTTTGTCTTCTGATTCTCCTATTAACTCCCTCTTTCCTCCACACCCATGTCCTATCTTTTGCTGCTCTCAGTAATCATTCATCCTCTCGCATCACAAAAGAAGTCTGTACTCCCTTCAGCTAGAGCAACATGAAAATTCCTGAGAAGAACAAAAAAAAAAAAAATTTTAATTTTGCACTTTTTTAATTTTAAAAAACTGTCAAAATTGAGAAACCACATGCATCTGGTAGGGGCACCTGTTTCATCTTCACAGAGTTTACTGATTTGAACATTTTTGTTACATAATGTTAATACAGAAAATTCTGAATTAAACAGGCACACACACAAAAAAACAAAACCTAAACTATATTAAACCAAGGCAATTTTCTAACAATGACTCCTCTTTCCAGTATGAGAGAACTGCCTCCTACAGTATGAGAAATATCAATACTATATTTCTTTCTTCCACACATATTCAACACTTACCAATGCTAAGGAGTTCGAATTTTAATATACCAACTGTCAACCATGAACATATAAAAATTCTGACTGTAAATGATCCATGGTTATTTTACTCAATACTAAAATTATTTCACAAATTCAAGTCCTGTTTTATAATGATACCATTATTTGCATGGCACAAAGATTATTCCTTACAAAATCTATTCTTTAATAGAGATTTGGTTCTTGGAGCCAAATTAAAAAAAAATATGCTGCTTAGACACACATACATATTTACTTTTCTTAAAACATTTTCTCAATATTTTTATTTTTATTATTTTTTTAATCTCCCACTCTTTGGGATCCCCTTACAAGTAAGTCACCCGCTTTTAAAATCTCTTTCATCTTTAACATTTGTCAGATATTTAGAGACATACCAAATTAAATCATTATATATTCTTCTGATATGACTGAAACATGTTTTGAAGAGATATGCATAAATATAACGTTTCATTCTGAAATATAATCAGTTAGTTTTATTCATCTTTGTCTTCACCTTAACTTTTGAAGGTAAGTTTCAAATAACATAAAATTACATTTGAGTGTATAATTGAATGGAATTAAATATGTTTATAATGTCATACGATCATCATCTATCAATAGTTCCTAAATATTTCTATTGCCCAACCAGAAACTCCATATCTATTATACAGTTCTTTTTATTGTCCAGCCCCTGACAACCCGTAACCTACCTTTTATCTCTATGGCCATGTCTTTTTACCACACAGGTTTAGCATTGCATCAGTTTTCAATCCAACATGCCAAACTAGTTTTAAAATCATTCATATTTCTTTTTCTTTCCTTTATTTTATTTTATTTTTTTGCATTTTGCAATTACTAGGCCTTGTGCTCCTCACACCAATCTAGTTATAATGAGTGTGTCAGGAAGAACATTGGATTTATTTCAGGGATTGAGGACATTATTTCCTTATTTATTTAAATAATGATGCAGGCAAGAGATTTTTGCAGCTTACATTGTGTAAGTGAGCAGTCTATATTTTATTTTCACTGGATACATTTCTCAGATTGGGAAGGAAACCCTTTGGGCTAGAATTTTGTTGGTTGCTAGGAGACCAAAGTCCCCTTGTGATGTCATTGTTACTCAGTTTGGGAACCATTGTGATGGTCTAGATAAGTGTACATGCTTAGGCCTTCTGAAGCAGCATTTGAAGCTGCAGTCCTGAAAACCATGCAGGCCGGAAGAGTAGATAAAGAAATATTTATTTGAGATGGCACATGTTTCTTCAGAAACTCAAGATGTTTCCCCCAAAGATGAATTAACTGCTTCAGAAGCCTCCACTAGGTCTCCATTGTGTGAACACACCTTCCCTGGGGACTCAGACTTACGGTCAATGATTGAAGAACATGCTTTTCAGGTTTTGTCACAAGGATCCTTGTTAGAAAGTCCAAGTTACACAGTTTGTGTCTCTGAGCCAGATAAAGATGATGATTTTCTTTCTCTGAACTTTCCCAGGAAACTTTGGAAAATAGTGGAAAGTGACCAATTCAAGTCTATTTCATGGGATGAGAATGGAACTTGCATAGTGATTAATGAAGAACTCTTCAAGAAAGAAATTTTGGAAACAAAGGCTCCTTACAGAATATTTCAAACTGATGCTATCAAAAGTTTTGTTCGACAGCTCAACCTTTATGGATTTAGTAAAATTCAACAGAATTTTCAAAGATCTGCCTTTCTAGCCACCTTTCTGTCAGAAGAGAAAGAATCGTCTGTCTTAAGCAAGGTATTTGACATATTTGAGTTACCACTTTATGTAAAGTATATATGTAATTTTACTTTGTACATCAGTAAATATGTTAATACATGCAGTAAGACCAGCTTTTGAAAATTATATAAAATATTAAGGTAGAAATTTTGTTTTGAAATTATTGTGTTCAGCTTGAGCGTTAACCTTTTAGTGTTTTAAGAAATTTTGCTAACAACTTTGAATCTTACCAGTGAATTCCAAATAAATGTACCAAAGCCACTTAATGAAATATTACTATTAATATATAACATGTTTTCACTTGAGGGCTTAACAACTTGAGTGGTTTTTCACAATAAGCACATTCTTAAAAATAGTAAACGATGTTTATGAGTTATTTGATGACATTAAATTTGTGTGATGAAAGAGAAATCTGATATTTGATGTGTTATGTTTGTTATTTTCACTTGTCTCTTGGCTTAAAATGGCACTGAATTATGTTTTTCTTTGGTTTTAGTTAAAGTTCTATTATAATCCAAATTTCAAGCGTGGCTATCCCCAACTTTTAGTAAGAGTGAAGAGAAGAATTGGTGTTAAAAATGCTTCACCTATATCTACTTTATTCAACGAAGATTTCAACAAGAAGCATTTTAGAGCAGGGGCTAACATGGAGAATCATAATTCTGCCTTAGCTGCTGAAGCTAGTGAAGAAAGTTTATTTTCAGCCTCTAAAAATTTAAATATGCCTCTAACAAGGGAATCTTCTGTCAGACAGATAATTGCAAATTCATCTGTCCCCATTAGAAGTGGTTTCCCTCCTCCTTCACCTTCAACCTCAGTTGGACCATCAGAACAAATTGCAACAGATCAACATGCTATTTTAAATCAGTTGACCACTATTCATATGCACTCTCATAGTACCTACATGCAAGCAAGGGGCCACATTGTGAATTTTATTACAACCACAACTTCTCAATACCACATCATATCTCCCTTACAAAATGGTTATTTTGGGCTGACAGTGGAACCATCTGCTGTTCCCACACGATATCCTCTGGTATCAGTCAATGAGGCTCCATATCGTAACATGCTACCAGCAGGCAACCCGTGGTTGCAAATGCCTACGATCGCTGATAGATCAGCTGCCCCTCATTCCAGGCTAGCTCTTCAACCATCACCACTGGACAAATATCACCCTAATTACAACTGATCTGCCATTAAAAGAGGACCAGATTATGAATGACAACAGAGACTAACATTTACATTGACAAAAAACCCTAAAAATTTCTGCAATTATCTTATTGAACAATAAAATTGCATGTTTACTTCTATGTTTGCTTTTCCTTTATTTCTAAAAGTATGGTTAAGAAAAAAATGACATTTTGTTTCAGTGGGAGGCTATTGTACTACTTTTTAGCAAAAATATATATGGGCTTTTTGATCCTTTGAAAGCAAATTTGACATGTGCCTTTGTAAGTTAAATAATTTATCTCTCTAAAGAGGAAGAAATAATAAAGTTTTGTGGTCCATTTTCTGCTGAAACAACACAATACCACTGCCTGGGTAATTTGTAAAGCAAACTTATTTTGCTCACTTTCCTGGAGGTGGGGAAGTCCAAGGGGTTGCATCTGGTGAGATCCTCTTTCTACGTTACAACATGGCAGGTCGGCCTCCTACGGTGAAGGGCATGAGATGAACAGAAAATCGGGGCCAAACTCATCCTTTGATCCAAAGGCCACTCACACAATAACTAACTTGTTCTCCATATAATACCATCAAGTCAGTCATGAGGTTGCACCCACATGGCTAATCAACTCTTAAAAGTCCTACCTCCCAACACTATCACAATGGACACAGAATTTCAATGTGAAATTTGGAGGTGACATACCAAACAATGACAGCAGGCAAGGGAGAAGAAGCAACCGGAGTTAGGAAAAAATAATAAGTGACTTCTCAAGTAGTCTGGCATAAATCAAATGAGGGTATAAATTTGAGTGGCACAAAGGGAATAAATGGACACATACACACAGACAAACACACACACACAGACAAAATTTAGAGAAGAGTTAACACATACTATACACTTCAGTATTTTCTCAATTACATTTCCCCAGTTATTTTAAACTTGGATTTTAGTTGGCAAAGATTGTCTTCATTGCAATTCATCCCTAGTGAACTCAGTGACCACGATCACAACTGTTTGTGTCATCACTTGAATAATAAAGTTTACATCATATTATGCTCATGGATTGCATCACTGTCAGAACATTGTGGAATTTTACAGCTGGCATTAACAGTACACCTTTTTGATCCTACATCAAAGCATTCCAACCTGTTTGTGCCTTTAATTACCTCCTGTTAGAGTCCACTTTTCATGTTTTCTAATGCACATTTCCTTCTGTTTTTTTTTTTTTTTTTCTCTGAGACAGTCTCTCTGTGTTACCCCCGCTGGAGAGCAGTGGCATTATTTGAGCTCACTGATACCTCAACCTCTAGGTTCAAGCAATTCTTGTACCTCCATCTTTTGAGTAAGTAAAATTATATTTGCCCAAGATGCTGGGCTAGTTTTTGTACTTTTAGTACAAATGGGGTTTCACCATGTTGGCCAGGATGGTCTTGAACTCCTGGCCTCAGGTAATCCACCCACCATGGTCCCCAAAAGCACTGGGATTACAAGCTTGAGCCACCAAAGACCACCTCTAATGCAGATTTTCAACACGTTGGTTCCATGCTCCATACAAAGTCAGATTTAATTGTTTTTGTCAGGATTTATTAACTTTTAGATTCTGAGTCCAGATCATGAGCATGGCTGAACAAATCCATTCCAGACCTGATATTTGTTTTCCTTTCAGCTTCATGTCTTTGTGTTTCACCACAGTCTATTTGGAGCAACATTCGGAGAACATCACTTTCAGCCATGCCCTTTACCATCTGGTAACAAGGCTCCCATTTCTACTTGGAGGTAAAAGGCTCTCTCCCTGTTTGCCTACTTAAGACTCATACAACACAGATATCACTCCTTCTAGGAGGTGCTTCTCATCTATCATATTAGTTTTCTTGTCTGTCTGTGTGCCTTGGACAACCAGCACTGATGTAATACAGTATCTGACACATATATGTATGTGAGTGTGTGTGTATATACACACACACACACACACACACACACACACACATGTATGTGAATTAGTTGATGTTGACTGCGGACTTACAATCATAAACTCTATTTTCGTTGTCAAAAACACATATTCTTGGTATTGAGGCATTATTTGTTATTCTTCGTTCCTCACCACAACTTATCATAAAAGCGTACCTCACAGTATCCTTCACTAGAGATGCAATATTTTGGACTTACTGAGGCTAGCGTCCCTGCTTATCCCTTTGACTATCATGCTTTCTTTTTACATCTAGTTATGATTTTCCCCTGCTTCTTCTAAAAATTCTTTTTCATCTTCTGCTTTGAGTAGCAGGTCCTTGTCTGAAAGAACTAGCTGTATCCTTACCACTCCTTCCTTTATTTGCAGTGGAGATTCCTGGTTGCTGTGATGAAATGGGATACACTGGGGATCCAGCTGCACAACTTTTCGGAAGCAGCATTCACTGTGGATTTGGTATATTATGCAGCTTTTGGTGTCACAGGCTAAGGTCTGACAAGATTCACCATGCAGTTTTCTGGGATAGCAGAAAATGAACATGGATTTGGACAGCCAGATTCCTCAGGATGGAAACCTAGTGGTGCCATCTAACCATATACGTATATTTCCAAGTTGTGCATAAGTAGAAAAAGTTTAGAATCCATCATCTAAAAAGGGAATCCTGATTTCCTTTCCTGGCAGACCATGACAGAAAGACAAAGGTCATTTCACCTATATCCACATGCTATTAACTTTTTAGTTCTCAAACTGGGTTTTCAGAAGGTAGTGTGATAGACATGGTTAAATGGTTAACAGGAAGAATGTTTAAAAAAAAAATTCCGGCTGGGGTGGTGGCTCAGGCCTGTAATCACAGCATTTTGGGAGGCCAAGCTGAGTCAGGAGAATCGCTTGAACCCAGGAGGCGGAGGTTGCAGTAAGCTGAGATCCTGCTTTTGCGCTCCAGCCTGGGTGACAGAGTAAGACTTCATCTTAAAGAAATCCACAACAATAAAAAGGCTAATGCCAGACACAATAAAAAATGAAAAGAATAACTTGGGTGAACAGCAAGGCAAGAAAGAAAAAAGGAAATGACAGTTTAGAAAGTGAGGATAAAGTAATGAAAGATGGAATGAGACAGGTTAACATGTGGAATACATTATTGTAAGTTTAAGGCCCGAATAAGACGAGTGTCAAACAACAAAAGCAACAGTAAAATAAGCACAGAGAGGAGGAGAGAGAGTGTGAAGGAGGAAAAAGAGTAAGCAAATGCAAAACATAAAGTGATCAGCATGATTAGAAAATCTGTCCATTCCCACCCTCGGAAAATTCTTTGTATTTTGAGGAACATCCTTACAAGATTTTAATGTAACCAATCACAGAGCAGTCTAACCCAGAAAATATCCTAGCTTCTTCTAGGATTCATACAAAGACATTGTACCTTCTTAAGTATTCTCTCTCTATCTAGGTTAAACTAGCTTAAACTGTTTCAATAACAAAAATTACTTTGAATTTTCTGCCCAAAAGGAACATCACGGACGTTCTTCATCTTGAGTCATCACTTGAGTAATAAAGTAGATGGAGAAGATGTACTTTCTCCCTCACATAAATGCAATTAATATCCGTGCGTGATATATATAAAGCAAACATAAGACTGAAGGATGGAGCAAGAAGATAAACTGGTGAGGAAATTTAAGATGCAACAAGTGATAAGATGGTTGAGTTCCCTGAATTCTTTTTGCCTGGTGTTATCACAGACTTGATCCTGAAGGAGCTGGTACCGACAAATATAAGTAGGTATAGACAGAATTGTCCCCCAAAAGCTCCAGCCTCTATAGACACAGGTCTAGGAAAGGGACACCTTATTAAGACAAAAATCTTTGTACAATAGCCATCCTACTTTCGTCAAACATTACAACACAAAACAAAACGACCCAAAAAAGCTAGCCAGGACAACAAAGTTTAAGTTGGAACATAGAGAGCACCAGGCATTAATGAAGCAACCCAACCCTCTGCCGGAGTGGAATCAGGGAAGGTAAAGTAGAGAGCTAGAGTTTTCAACCCTGCCGTGTGGTAACAAGATACCCTTCCACTTCTAGCCAGGAAGGTACAAGTAACACCTAGGTTGAAGCTGGAATCTGCATATTTATTTATCAGTAATGAGGAGCACTGCCTTGGGTGTCAAAGGAAGTGAAGACGGGAAGTTGGAATTGTGGCCCTACTTGACAAGTATACACTTCCCTCTGTTAGGGTGGTATCAGACAAAGCCAGCTACAGATGAACAAATAGGATGTCAAAATATGGTCCGGAGTCTCCTAACGGTCCCCCAAATGTTTAACTTTCAAGTAAAAATCTGAGACAGAAATTCTAGTGCTACTGTTATGGGATCACTGTGGTGTCAATTTTACTTGCCAGAAACCTCTGTGACCACGATGCCTTTCCTTGAGTTCTTGTCCTGTGTGCAGGGAGAATGAGATAGAGAGTCAAGTGAAGGGTAAAGAAGAAGAAGAGTTCTATTTAGTGTTAAAACAGTTCAAAGTATTGGTGTTCACTCAGGACGGTAGCAGAAATACTAAAGGGAAATATTAGGGAAAGATATAGGGAATAGTCACAAACCTTTTGGAAGGCTGAAAGGTTACATAGCTTGTAATAATTGAACAGGCTGAAGGCAGCCAGTTCTTACCTTAGAGCATTAGGTCATAGGATAAATACTAGGGACAATAGAGGCTTCCCCATTTAAGCTTGTTAACCTTACCTCCATTAACTAACCTTTAAGGCAGATTGCCCTCTTGGAGGAAGGTTGACCAAGGATATTGCCCTTTAATGGAATTTACTTTAGACCACGGTACCTGAGCTTTAATCATTCATAGAACTACTCTCTCAACCATGTTAATTATGTACAAGTGTGCTGACTCAGAGTTTCTGTTGTTAATCACATACTAACTAAGTGACTGGAGTGCAAGCTTCTAAGGGCCGGTCACAGTAAAAAACATTTCTTGATGTGCAGGCGCTTGGACACCCAGCTGTACTGGCAAAGCAGAATATTTGTCAGTTTATGCTTTATTCATCCATCTTTTGGGTCAGGGTCTGCAGGCAGACCCCTACAGCTAGTGCCCTCTTGTGAGGAGCAATACCTCACAAAGGAGTGGGTAGCTCTTCTCTATAGGCAGGTCTTCCCATGGTGTGTTCACTCTATAGAGAGGGAGGCTCCTCTCTGCAGGCAAGTCATTTACATGACTCTGCAGGTCTCTGCAGCTCTCTGCTGCAGCTGCTGCTCCCAGCGGAGAGGGTACTGCTCTCCTCCCATGGTCTGCAGGGATCAGCAGGAAGGGTACCCCTTTCTGCAGCAGACTGGCTTTTTAGTGTCTTCATAAGAACTTTCACAGAGCAATAGTTTTTAATTTTGATTTGATCCAGTTTATCGGTTTTCCTTTTATGGTTTATGCTTTTGGTATCAAATGTAATAACACTTTGCTACAACTAAGAGGCTTCAATTTTCTTATGATTCTTTTATTCTGAAAATGTTTTATAAAATGTCTTATAATTTTATATTACATTGAAGTTCATGAGCCATTTTGAGTTAATTTGTGTAGAGTAATGTTTATGTTAAGGCTTTATTTCTTAAATTTATGGATGTCCACATGCCATAGCACCATTTGTTGAAAGGCTGTTTTTCCTCCACTGATTTTTGCTTGCCAGATTTATGTCATATTACCTGGTCATATCCACACCAGTGTGGCTCTATTCCTGGGCTTTCTCTTCTGCTCCATTTTTTACACGAATCTGTCTCTATGCCAATACTAAACTGTCATGATCACTTTAGCTGTTTAATAAGTCTTTGAAATGTTGTTGATGGATTTCTCCCACTATATATTAAACACTAATAATTGTCTTAGCTATCCTAGTAAGTTTGCATTGTCTGCAAAAATTCTTGCTGAGATATTGATAGGAATTGCATCAAATATATAGATCAAGCTGGGGAAAATTAACATGATATATTATATCTTTACATCCATGAACACCGTGTATCTCTTATTATTTCTATTTGATTTATTTCACCAGTATTTTATATGCTTCAGCATACAGATCTCATACCTGTTTTCTTTTGTTTAAATGCATATCAAAACATTTGATGTTCTTTGGAGCAGCTGTAGATGATACAGTTTCTAATCTGGGGAAATGGCAGAGTGCTAACTAGTTTAGATTTACTTTGTCTGTTCAGTTCCTAGGAGGGTGGTTTGTGGTAGATGGTTAACTCCCCACTGAAGCCTTCTGACAGGATAGGTTAGAGGAGGGTAGTGGGGACAGCAGGCAAGACACACAGTGCAATCTGTCCTACTTAGCTCTGGCTCTTTAAAAACTGTGGTTGTTGGGTCGACCTGTATGCTCAGCTTGCTACCGGAGTCTGCTGACATAAGGGAATTAGAATGCTCTCCTCTGCTTTCTCCAGGAGGGTGATAGAATATTCTCTCTGGCCGGGCACAGTGGCTCATGCCTGTAATGCCAGCACTTTGGGACGCCAAGGTGGGTGGATCACCTGAGGTCAGGAGTTTGAGACCAGCCTGACCAACATGGAGAAACACCATCTCTACTAAAAATACAAAATCAGCCGGGTGTGGTGCCACATGCCTGTAATCCCAGCTACTTGAGAGGATGAGGCAGGAGAATCATTTGAACCAGGGAGGTAAAGCTTGCAGAGAGCTGAGATGCTGAGATTGTGTGTCATTGCACTTTAGCCTGGGCAACAAAAAGAAACTCCATCTCAAAAAAAAAAAAAAAAAAAAAAAAAAAAAAAAAAACACAACAACAAAAAAAGAACGAAAAGAAAAAAAAAAGTTGCTGACTAGTTTGACTTCATGGGGAATGAGAGCATCACTGACATGTTGAGAAGACTGTCTCTGTACATGGCTCCACAGAAATGGCAATACTAGTTAATTTTATTTTATTTTATTTATTAATTATTTTCTGGTAGTGTTTATCTGGAATAGTTTGGTTATTACCTTTAGAAGTGTTTCATGCTATTGTGTGTGGTTAGGTCATCCTCTCCTTGTCCTTTGGTTGAGAGAGAAGAGGATTTCCTTGAAGTCCTTTTCTTCTGTGCCTATTGGAGATTCTGGATTGGAAACTTCTACAGTCCATCATCTGCGATATACGGAAGACACTAGGAAAACCAAGTAAAGTGACCATGATACCACTCTGCAAGTCCTTATGTCCCCAGACAAACTGTCTTCCTTTTTCTATCTTTCAGATCCTGTCCTTGTTTTTTGTCTTTACATCTGTGGTGTTTCAGTTGTTCAGAGGAAACAATGGGGTGTTGCATTGTAACTAGAAATCCTAGGAAGTGAAAGTTTGAGAATGGCTTTTAAAGTACCATGCAAACCAAATCTCATAATGCAAAACATGGGAAGATATGGCATGACATAATTTACCCAAAATAAAGTGATTTTTATAAAATAAAGTCTTCACCAAATTTAAATAATCTCAAAGAAGTCTGCTGAGATCAGCTTGGTCATGGAGACCTTAACCCAGCTGTGCTAGAGGAATTAAAGACAGACACACAGAATTATGAAGTACAGAGTGGGAATCAGTGGGCTGACAGCCTTCAGAGCTGACAGCCATGAACAGAGTTTTACCCACATATTTGACAGTAAGCCAGTGATAAGCATTGTTTCTGTAGATTGTAGATTCAGTAAAAAGGAAGACAAAGAGTTGGGTTCTCACTAGTTATCTGAAGCAGGAGCAGGTCCTTGAGGCACAGATCGCTCATGATATTCTTTGTGGTTCAGGAATGCCTTAAGCGGTTTTCTGCCCTGGGTGGGCCAGGTGTTCCTCGCCCTCATTCCAGTAAACCCACAACCCTCAGTGTGAGTGTCATACCCATCATGAGCATGTCATAGTGCTTCAGAGATTTTGTTTATGGCCAGTTTGGGGGCCTGTCTATGGCCAGATTTGGGGGTCTGTTCTCTACATATTCCTCTTTTTGGTTTTTCCAATTCGATAAAAGCAAAGGTGGCTTTATCACGGTGAACTACGTCTCACAGGACTTGGGATCTGCATCTGCAGACTATACAAAGACAAACAACACAGATTTAAAGCACAATCATCTTTAAATCAGAGTCTCCAAGTGTTTTTGTCCTTTTTAATGGGTTAATAGCAGCTAATCCATCCACAGCTCTTTCAAGCACTCCTGTTCCTGGCATTAAGATCAAGCGTGCCTGGGATAATTCAAATATTTGCTCTTCTTAATTTTGCAATATCCAAAGACATATTTGTAGAATGTCCTTCTAGATGCGTTTTTATTCTTTCCCAAATTTTGATCAGATTGCCGTTCTAGATGCTTTTTTATTCTTTCCCAAATTTTGATCTTATTAAGAGCCAATAACAGTTTCCACAAATCCTAATGTTTAGCTCCTAGAGCGGGTTGTATCATTTGTTGTTGAGGTGCCATTTTACCTCCATGTTTCCAGAAGATCTCTTGCTGTATCTCTTACCATTTCTACCATCTGACCATTTTGGTCAGACAAGCTGAACATAGTGTGGCCTTGGCACACAGACCGAGAGGTGCGATTTAAGCTAAACTTCCCCTTAGGGGACAAATCAATAAATATTCCATAGGAATCGTTGCAGAGCACCTCTGCATGTTCTGCAATGCAATTTTCTAAAACAAGTACATTCATTTATTCTGGCCGTGTCTATTTCTGTTTACAATTAGATTCTTGAGGGCAGTATGCCTCAATTCTAGGAGCAGATTCATTATGATAAACACTGAGACCAGAAAGCATATGTAACTGTGTCAGCCCTGCAAAGGAATACTCATGGCAATGGTGATCACCAGTATCATAGCTATCATTATATGGGGGACTCATTGTCCTACTTTCCTCAGGTTTTCTTTTGCCATCTGTGGCAGCTTCTTGATCTGTCCCCAGGTAGGTGGCTGTGTTCAATGCGTGTTGCTCGTGATAGTTGGGGTACTCCTCAGCATCAACTTAGAGAATGCTGCCACCGCTGGATCTTTGAGATCCTCCTAACACCTCTTCCAGGGTATCTGGCTCATAAGCAGGGCTTTAGGCATCTCAGTAGCACCCACATTGGCAGTTGATCAGTCCTGGAGAAACACAAGCATAACCTCTACCCCATGTTATTATTTTACCTATTTCCTAATTTTCTGTTATTGGATCTCACCACCAAACCAGTTTTTCTGCTTCTGTCTTTGCAGCTGGTTTCTGCAGATGCTGATCAGCTGCTGATAGCATCTGGCCTCTAGACAGGCTCAAAAAATTTAGAGTCAATAATGCTACATTCAATTTCCTATGTGGTATCCCGTAGTCCTTGATTCCCCCTTTGGCTTTTGCAACTGCTCTTTCAGGGAGAGATTCATTCTTTCCGCTACGGCTTGTCCTTGAAAATTATATGAGATACAAGTTATGTGTCTAATATTCCATATAGAGAAAAATGTCGCTACAGCTTCATTAGGGTAGCCTAGGGCATTGTCCATTTTAATAGAAGCTGGACTGCCCATCAACACAAAACACTGCAAAAGTTGACATTTAACACAGGCAGAAGACTCTCCTAATTGGCACGTAGCCCAGACGAAGTGAGAAAAGGTGTTTACACATACATGTACGTAAGTTAGTCTCCCAAATGAGGAAACATGTGTGACATCCATTTGCCAAAGATCCTTAGGTTCCAATCCTCAAGGATTAACTCTTCCTGTAAAAGATGAGGAATGCAAGCTGGGTATTGCTGGATAATAGCTTTAGCTTCTTTCCAGGTAATGCTGGACCTGCATTTGAGACCAAAGGCATTAACATGGGTTAAATTGTGAAAGTGTTTGGCATTAGATATTGTAGCAGCAAATAGGTGGTCAGCCATTTGATTCCCTGCAGTCAAAGGTCCTGGAAGAGATGTATGAGCTCTAATATGAGTAATGTAAAAAGGGTGCATTCTACTCCTAGCTGCTCTTTGTAATTGGGTAAATTCATCAGTCACTCATCTGTGTGGAATCATGCTGAGCATTTTCAACCGACTGTGTAGAATGAACCACATATGAAGAATCAGAAATCACATTTATAGGCATATTACAAGCAGTCCATACCTCAATTACAGTTACAAGCTCCGACTTTTGAGCTGAAGTATAGGGCATTCAGAAAACTTTACCTTTCGAGCCAGAATAAAAAGCTTTGGTATTACTAGACTCCTCTGTGAAGATATTTTTAGCATTTTCAATAGGTTTAAATTTGGTTATTTTAGGGAGAATCCAATGAGTTAATTTCAAAAATTGAAATAATTTTGTTTTTGGAAAATGGTTATCAAGAATACAAAGTCAGATAAATGTGTTTGTCAAGTAAGGCTATTTGTAAAAGCCTGTTGTATTTGTGTCTTTGTAAGGGGGACAATAATTTTTCCAGGATGATATCCTTGTAATTTAATGATCTAAGTTCTTCCATTTCCTATCATAGTAGTGATTTGATCCAAATAAGGAGTCAAAGTCCATGAATTAGTACGTGGAAAAAAAATCCATTCTACAAGGTATTGCCCTTGAACAATAACACCAGTAGGTGAATGCTGAGTTGAAAAAAAAAAATCTGTAAATCTAGAACTGGAGCCCACACTTGTCCCATTGTAACCCTGATGCTTCCGAACTTCTCTACTTACTCACCATGGGGATTTCTTAAGAGTAGCCAGGTGTCCTTCAGTGTAGTTCCACATTCTCCCACCCTCACTTTGGTGACTCTTTGACCTGGGTTTGATTCCCCCGTATGGTCACGACTTGCCGAAGCCACATCAGTCATGGAGACCATAACCCAGTAGCGCTAGTGGCATTAAAGACACACACACAGAAATAGAGAGTGTGGAGTGGGAATCAGGGGGCTGACAGCTTTCAGAGCTGAGACCCATGAACAGAGTTGTACCCACATATTTATTGACAGCAAGCCAGTGATAAGCATTATTTCTATAGATTATAGATTAACTAAAATGGGAGACAAAGGATGGGCTCTGGCTACTTAACTGCAGCAATAATTTGTCCTTGAGGCAGTTTCAGGAATGCCTTAAGAAGTTTTCTGCCCTGGGTGTGCCAGCTGTTTCTTGCCCTCATTCTGGTAAACCAACAACCTTCAGCATGGGCATCATAGCAATCATGAGCATGGCCTGTTCCCAACAAATTTGTTATAATATATGTAAACTAGCCAATGATTTATAGCATATTAATAATATAGATCAATGAAGAAATGATAAAATACCTCTCCTACACTTGGAAATGAAATAAAGTTGGCAAGGCTTCCAGAAAATGTAATCAAAAATATGTACTTCCTCAACTGCAGAAGGGTTATAGTAAAAATACCTTTCTCAGAGGTTTTATTTGTTAAGTGGCAAATGATTTAATAGAAATCAAGCACTTATGTCTAGTTCACTGGAGCAAAGTTAAAAGTTGCAAAAGCAACTCTTATGAAAGCCAGAGATTATAACTGTATGACAAATTTTAAAAAATCACACTGACTATCAAGAAAAGAAACAGCTCTGAGGTTTGGACTTTAGCAATATTAGTTTGAGATTAAACTTGGTCGTTCATTGAAACAGTCAACAGAGCAGTAAATTTAGATATATTCCCAGGAAAGAGACCATTTCTGTGTTCAGCGGGGTTGGGCTCCCTGCCTAAATACTTGGTGAAAAAAAGTGTGGTTCAGACATTTAAGTAAAATATTTAAGTCAGTACAGAACATCATGTCCTGCAGATAGCAGGATCTAACACAGAATGCGGTTTTTTATTGAAATTGATGAGAAAAGATTTTTATCTCAACCTCTATCCTGTGGGATATGCAAGACTGAGGTTAGATTTTTCATGTTACCTACATAATATAACTACCCCCAAAGCAGAAACTGGTATAAAATACTAGATTGCACAATTAAGTTCCTAAAATCCTGAAAAGATTAACATAAAACTCCCCCCATAAGTATCACTTTACACTCAAGAACTAAAGATCGCTTTACCACTTCACAGACAACATTAACAATTCACTGATGGATGTTCCACGTCCTAGGAGGTAGCCAGGGAAGACACACTTAAGGGTCGTACCCAAGGATAAAAAGTTGAATAAAAAATGAGTAAGTTTAGGTGTTCTCTGAGATGAAGAAATGGAATCTAAAAGCAAAAACAGGTGGTAGGAGGACAAAAATAAATTTTTAAAATAGACAATTATACATTTTTGAAAAGTGAACCATATATGAAGGTTCATGAACCATATATTATAGGAACTCAATTTTTTTTTTGTTTGTTTCTTATGCAGTAGATTCCACACAAATATAGCAAGAATAAGTACTTTCCTAAGTAGATCTGTAAGTAAGTTTGCCAGGTGCAGGGTGATAATAATACATTTGAAATGTCACCTTTCAATTTAAATTTAATTACTTGTGGCTGGGCATGGAGGCTCACACCTGTAATCCCAGCGCTTTGTGAGGTGGAGGCAGGCAGATCAGGAGGTCAGGAGATCGAGACCATCCTGGCTAACACGGTGAAACCCCATCTCTACTAAAAATACAAAGAGTTAGCCGGGCGTGGTGGCAGTGGCCTGTAGTCCCATCTACTCGGAAGGCTGATGCAGGAGGTACTGGGTATTAGTGATGGTAATCTTTGTGTTTTTCATTATGAAATAATGTATGTAACTGTTGGGTACATCAGTGCTTTTAAATGGGCTGCTTAATTTAGGATTAACTATGTATATTCATGTTAAGAATTAACACGATTTGACTGTTTCCTGTATTTTATAGTATACATGTGCAGAAATATATTCAAAATTGAGGAAGGAAGCATACCTTTATCAGGGTGCTATTAAACTTGAACATCAAGTATCATATATCAGTTGAGGGTTTTTTTTTTTTGATTACTCCATAAAAACGCCTATTTGGGGTGTTTTTTTTAAAATTGGGAGAAGCTGTCTTCTGTGTAGGACGGCTATTTCAAAATATTTTAGTGTTTTGTTTCCTGTTGCATGACAGATTTAACTTTTTTTTTTTTTTTCCAGCAGTCGTGGTACATCAGAGTCCAGTGTTCTAGAAGAGGCAGTGTCTCCACCCTAATTTTACTTTTCTAATTCTGGTAGCTACAGGAATTTTTGAAAGTTTTGTTTAAGTAGTCTGACATTTTTATGTAAAGAGCATGAAATCGTGCTATGTATAAATTTTCAACATCTAAAAGTGAATCAACATTTTCAATCCTTGAATCCCAGCATTTTTGGGAGGCTGAGGTGCATGGGTCATGAGGTCAGGAGATCGAGACCATCCTGGCGAACACGGTAAAACCCAGTTCCTACTAAAAAGTTAAAAAATGAGCCAGGCATGGTAGTGGGCCCCTATAGTCCCAGTTACTCCAAAGGTTGAGGCCAGAGAATGGGAGGAACCCAGGAGGCGGGCTTGCAATGAGCTGAGATCCCACCAATGCACTCCAGTCTGGGCAACAGAGTGAGACTCTGTCTAAAAAATAAATAAATAAATAAAATAAGAAAAAAAGAAAATATTTTCAATCAGTGCCAAGGGCTTCTTGAAGTTCCAATCAAGTGTTACAATAAATATTTGTAGATAATGGTCGATACTTATGCATACTTATTTTAAAGATATATTTAGGTGGGAATAGTTGTGGATGTATTAAGAGTAATGAAATAGAATGTTAGCTTCATTTACTTGTGTTTTTACCATATAATAAATCCTATCATTTTTTTTTTTTTTGTCCTCAGTATGGTGTCACATTTGAATAATGTGCATAACAAAGATTTCACATTGTTATAAAATCAAGTCTGTGAATGCTACTTGTTTTATTTCTGGCAAAAATCTCTTCAGCAATTTAAGAAAATATTATAATTCACTGGTGCAGTATTGGGCATAAAATTGCCACTAGCACTTTGTAGTTATCTGTATAAAGTTAAAAGTTTTCTGACCAGTTTTGTAGCAAATTAAATCCATCTACCTGTAAGATTAACAAGGCTGAAACTTGGGCAAAGTACAAAACAAGGGCCCCTGTGCAGTTGCTTATTTTTCAAATGGATGGTACAAAAGTTGATGGAAAGATTTACTCAGGAATATAAAGAAACCTAGTTCTAACAGTTACTCTCTAGAGTAGCAGAGCTAAATATGTTACTCAGGATTTTATTTAACCTGTTAAATTATTAAGGGAAAGACCACAGTTATGATAGAAAAAAATCAAAAATTTTGTTTCGGGTTTATTTGGTATCTTCATAATGTTCTCAGTTTCTTCCCTGGGGAGTTTCTGCCTTAGCTTACAGGTTTTATAGTCAGTAATTCTTAATGAATCAATAAATTCTTTAATGCAAATTTCTAATAGTTTCTCTTGGCTGACTAAAGGAACCATTCAGGGTTTGTGTATGGAACACGCTGTGTTGGGAAACCAGGTACATTTTGACTTTGTCACTAGATTGAAGCATGCCTGCAGGGAGAATTCTTGGACCATCCTTCTTGAGCACTGATTACATGGGGGAAAGGGAATGATTTTGAAATTAGGTATGCATTAATTTTATAAAATACATTGCCCTAAGAACCATTATTGGAACATATATGTAATTTAAAAGCCTAAAAACTGTGGTGACTTCTAAAAATAAAATTTAGCAAGTACATCAAAATAAACCATCAGGTATGCTTTTAACACCAGGATACTTCAGACTTACATAAAATATTAATGTCAGTACTCATGTACTTGTTATATGATGATAAGTCTTTTCTTTCTTACTCCTAAAATAGTAAGTCATCTCAACCTTTACAAACTTTGACAAATCAAAATCTCTTAAATATTTTATCTTAAGCAAAAAACTATAAATTTTTCTCAAAAGAGTGAAACATTTGAAAGACGCAAGGATCCATATAAACTTTGGATTTTTAATGCCTTTTTACCTTCTTGTCTTCAATGGGGAAGAAAGATACCCATTGCAAGCAGTTAAAATAAACCACAGAAGCCCTGGATGTCTTCCACCCACAGATTCCCCTGTCCATGGGCATTGGCAACTTATCTGTTGACTCCTGGTCTTGCTTCCACTGAATGATTTTTATGTATTTCTCTAAGGAATTTTCACAGTGAGCACATTTGTCTTTGGTTTCTTCATTACTCATTCTTAATTCATTTTTTAAATCTAATTCATTTTTTCAGTGTTCACTTATTCCTGAATCATCCTCTTTAAAACACATGGGCACCAAAGCAGGAAATACACAAATACATTTGTAAAATATTTTAAGTGTTTAAAAAGGCCGTAATATAATCGCAATTTTTAAATTACAGCATGTATGTCAGTGAACTGATTTTTAAAATTGAAGTCATTGCTATCATCAACAGAAGGCAAATAGGTCATCTCAATGAAGGAAGCGATTAATTTCCTTCAAGTGGCCTGTGCTTTAGATTTGAATTAACCAGGAGTCTTGGGAACATCATATGTTGGTGTAATTCAAGCAAGACTTAGAATGTGTGTTAACTGGACAGAGAAATGTATCTGCTAAGCCAGAATCAGAACACAGAAGGGAAGCAGAGGTGCAGAGGAAGGAGGGAGGCGGTGTATGTCCCTGTAAGCAACCTTGGAATGGAAGCCACCTCCACCCTTGGTTTCTTCTACTGCCTGCTATCTGACGTTGACAACCTCTTGTTTAAGCTCCGTTTTTTGTTTAATTGGCTTTTGTTTATGTTTTTTGTTTTTTGTTTTGTTTTGTTTTGTTTTGAAACGGAGTCCTGCAAGTGGACGGCGGCCCCTCCTAGGGTTTTAGCAATTACTCGGATGTGGACCCTTTCCATAACTTTTATTCTACTCCTGATCTCTATACATAGCCTCACATCCACATTTCTGATAGTTTCCCTCCAAACACATGCAGAAACTCCACAGCACCAGCTTCATCACAGGAGTGATTATCCCAGTTCTTCGCTCACGCTCTATCTTCCATCCACCCAGTAACCAGCGCTGGCACATTCCCACTCCCTGTCCTGTGGCTGCAAGAGGGGTCTTCCTCATCATCTGCCTGGAATACTGAAACAGCCCTGTCAAGGCTCTCTGTGAATTCAGTCTCTGCCTGCCAGATACCTGTGGTCATCTGCACTAGGCATTCCCTGAAGGGAAGATATGTATCTCATGTGCAGTGTCTCCGTTCTGGCAGAGTCCAATGCCTTGGTATTCTGGGCTCTGATAATCTGCCTTTTTCTTTCCAGATTGATTTCCCACAACACCACCAACGTTGTACTAGAAATGTTTCATCTGTACCAACCTGCTTGCTGGGGCTGGGCTATGGCTGTATCTTCCTTGCTTGGCATTTGCCTTCACTGTCTCCTCAACCTGTGGCACTCTCATTCTGTCATAAAGCCTGATATGCTGTTGGAGACCCAAATGAAATTTCATCTCCTCCTTATTTCTGAATTGAAAAGTAACCACTCCAGCACCTTACTTGCACAATATCTTGTACCTGCTTCTTGAAAATATACACATATTTGTTTCTCCTACTTCTATTTTTTCCAGGGAAGGCCCATATTTTAACAAATTGTCTTTTCCCTCTGCATCTTGGCATGGGTCCCTACATCTCAAATATTTAAATAGACCTCATTCTCAGAGACAACTATGCTGACCTTTCTCTTCTGGTTCTAGCCATAACCTATTTTTTTTTTTTTTGGTAAGTTAGCAATGCAAATAAGCAGAAAAATATATAGGTTCACCATAGGACTCTGAACTTTTTGCTCACCTTGTTCTAAAGTCATCAACAGGGACTGAGTTAGTTTCAAAAATAGGAGAAAAGCAACACAGTTTTTTCTCTATCTACTCTATCTACACCTGCCATCTCTTCTCAATCCTTCTCATAAAATTAAAATAACTGAAGAGACAGTTGATCATTTCCACAGGCAGAAATGTAACATCCTCTGTGCTAGAAGAACAAGAAGAAAAAAGTTACTCATAAATGAGGTTTCTTTCTTATATGGAATAGTAATTTCAAGATAGCAATGTTATTTAAGCACCTCTTTGTTAAGAAAGAAAGAGGAAGAAAAACTACTTCTTTGCTCTGGTGTATATTTTGTAACTACACAGTGGAATACTGAAGGATCTTTGGACACAACGGAAAGAAATGAAGTACGTCCATTGGGCACCTTATATCAGAAACAGTAAATTTCAGACTTTTCAATTTCCTTTGAGCCCAGATGAACAAGTGAAATGAGGAATATAAAAATTTCTCAATAACACCAATGCTACTCACTATGCTGTTTAATAAATTATTTTTATTATTCTTATTTTTTTTTAGATGGACTCTCACCAACTTGCCCAGGCTGGAGTACAGTTGAGTGGTCAGCTCAATGCAACCTCTGCCTCCTGGGTTCAAGTGATGCTTCTGCTTCAGCCTCCCAAGTAGCTGGCACTACAGGTGCATGCCACCACGCTTGGCTAATTTTTGTTTTTTTTTAGTGGAGATCTGGTTTCAACCATGTTAACCAGGATGGTCTTGATCTCCTGCCCTCATGATCCACTTGCCTCAGCATCCCAAAGTGCTGGGGTTACAGACGTGAGCCAACGAGCCCAGTCAATAATTTTTAAAGCCAATATTATAATCGACATTCCATCTCAGAGGCAGAACACCAAGTTATTCAGTTGAATTCCCTCATCTTATTGTGTTCTTTTTACTCCCTTTCCCAGGTCTGTGACAAATGGCTGCCTGTCAGAAACTCCCTCTTGTGGCCATGGCCCCTACTCACCTGCTTCAGCCCACCCCTGCTGCAGTACTGAGTAATAGCTTACTGATCATCTGCCTCAGTGGCTAGAAATTCAGGATGAAACGAGTTTGGTTTGATTCACTGTCATATGATCAGCCCCAAGGAAACTGCCCAGCAGAGACAGGCTCTAGATGAGGACTTACAGAGTGCTTTCCAGAGCACATTTACTCTTGAATCAGCAAAATCAAACTTCTCAAAACCCCTTGCCTCTTTAAGTAATTCTGTATGTTTCTGAAAGCCATGACTTTAACCAGAAAACTGCTAACCAGATGTTTGGAAATGTTTGTAAGATGATGTATTTCCAACATTTGGGAGGGATGAAGAGGTGGCCTTACTTGTGAAAACAGCTTTCATATTTGAAGAGTAACACTATGGTGCCAGAAGAAAAGGGCCTGGCTGTTTGCTCATCCCTAGAATAAAGGACAAATCTCCTACTGTTGTGGGAATTAAGGAACAGGAGAGACCAATGAGTGGAACAGGAGGATTTTATTGGATGTAGCTTGACTTAGTGGAATAGCATTTAAAGGCTGAGCCCTGAACAAAGACAGGGCTTGACTTTTAACACAAGCACCCAAAGAGGGTTGGCCAGCTAGTGGCATGAAATCTGCAGGATGGGCAAGCAAGCTTATAGAAGCAGAACAAAGACACTTTTTTAAAGAAAGTGACAGGTGTTGTAACTCACGCATGTCTCATGACCTTTGCAATAATACTTGGATAGAAAAACAACAGCAACTTTCAAAATGTTTGTAAACCTCCAGAAGTGGTTATAAAAATAGCTGTGAGAGCAGCACAAAGAATATTGGTGTGGCATGAGAGTTCTAAAGAGGGGAAATTGATAAGAAGAACTTGTTTTTCTCATTCCTGCTTCTCAAATCCATTCTTTCCAGGCCCTAGCTCTGCTAATAGTGCTATTAGAGCCCCAACAGGTTCTGGCTTATCACTGGGTGTTGGAGTGAGTCACCTCAGTACAGAGAAAATTTTTTGTGTGTGTGTGGTGTTGTTTTTTAGCATTCCCCAATTCATTTCCACCTTTGATGCTTTTCTTAAATGAGGTTTAATAGAGAATATAATCACCATTTAATTCTTCAAGGTGGGGCAGTTCCCTATTTGTCAGTGGTTGGTATTTAGTTAGAGCCATTAGTTGAGCGGTCGTGCATGGCCTCCATGGCTGCTTGAATGTTTCTAACAAGGAAGGTCAGAGACAAGAGAGAGCAAGGGAGAATCCTAGTATGGCTAGAACTATTTTTGCTAAGGTCTTAAATTCTTCAAGGGATGAAAACGAGACCCTGAATAGGAAAACTGGAGACTATCCTTTCCAGGTCTGGGCTGTAACATGGGCCAGTTTTGGGATTTTGGCAGTTATATTCTTGATGACCTTTAATTTGATATTAATTTCTAAGCAGCAATTTTTTAGACTGAACTTTCCACATGCCCCTCCTTCCTGGACTAGGAGGTAGTTTAAGGCCAGTCGATTTTGATGAGTAGCATTCTTCATTTTTGTGGCTTGTTGGGCCAGCAGATTTAGGGCATTTGCAGTATTATTAATAATAATTTTCAGCACCACCTGTAACCTTATGAGGTGGTAGAGCATGAAAATAGGGATGCACTATCACCACATTCCATTTTCTGCCTGGGTGGCTGGGCCATGGTATTCGATTTTTTTTTTTTGTAGGGGACCATTTATTGTTTTACCGATTTCTTATGGTTATGTCTTTTGAATTTTTGTTTGTTTTGTATTTGTTTTATCATAGACTGGGTATCCTAAAGATTCTCCCTGTTCCAAGGGGATTAGAAAGAAGACAGCCTAATTGTTCCTGGTACCCAGGCCCCTGACCATTTAGCCAGCAACGGCCAATATGCCTATGGCCCACAGATACTATAGAGGCCAGTGGGCACCTGCCAGGTATTGGGAGCTTTAAGTTGGTACAAACAATGGTTTAGAGAAGGGAATCAGGAAAATGGGCTTGGTTGGGGTGGTTTGGAATTATTTTTACTCCAACAGACAGTGTTTCTTAGTGTTTTAGTGTAATATTGTTCTAGGCAAGTTGACTTTCCTGCTGGGTCTGTAAATGTGTTTCTCCGACGAGCAATGCAGAATTTTCTGATAATGGAGGTCTTTAAGAACCAGATGCTCTTGCTTGTGAACACAGGTTCGGGGGAAGAGACAGTACGAGTGAAGTTATTTTGGGGCATTAGCTTTCTTGCCTCCCATGGCCATTGGTGCCCCGTCAAGCATAGCATGAGGAGTTATGTAGGCTGCCGGCTATGTTTTCAGCCAATTAAGCAAACGGGATTGTGGTTAAGGGAGAGGGCTCAAATATTTTCTGGTTGATATTTTTAAGGAATGACTTATAAACTTGGAGTTTTTGGGTGGAATGTATCCAAGATTTCTTGATAATATATCAATAGACTTCTG
Source organism: Homo sapiens (assembly GCF_000001405.40). Classification (NCBI taxonomy): domain Eukaryota; kingdom Metazoa; phylum Chordata; class Mammalia; order Primates; family Hominidae; genus Homo; species Homo sapiens. Next base: position 18,568,539 of record NC_000024.10, read on the forward strand.
AGTCTGTTTTCTGGCCACTACCTTGTATTTCCAGCAGAGTCTTTAAACCTGCATTCCATATGGGCAGATCCGGTTTAAGATGGTGAGATTTACAAGATTGCAACAGCTTGTCTTACAATTTTTTGTTCAGGTATTTTGGTAAGTATGACTGGCCCCGGCGATTGCAGGTTAGAGGACTGAATTATGCAGTTCCAGCAAGTTGTCTGAGAAATTGGCAAAGCAAGCAAGGGGTGCACATATATTTTTGTGACAACTATTACGGTGCTCTTCAGAATTGGAGATTATGGGAAAGGTTGTGCCCATCAATGTTAACTGGCACATATTAAAAGATAAGGACATAACTCCCCTGTGGGAGGGTGAGGCCTTGGTTTGGTGTGGCAGGTTTCCTTCTTTTGACCCATAAACTTTAAAAGAGGTCCCAGGTAGGAATTTTGGGTTATAACATACATAACGCTGGCCGTTTCCTGGGTCACAGACTGAGTAAGTTGTCTGGTTGTGAGTACAAGTTCCTAGGTGGGTCCCTGTCTACTTTTGATAAATGTGGTATAACAGGGTTTTGGTTATGGTGCTCCCTGACTGAGTATTGTGAGTGTAGTGGGGGCACTCTTCTATGGTCTCCTTTTCTGACACAAATAAGGGGAGTATTACAGTTAGGAGGGAAAGAAGTGGGCTTAGTTATCCCTGTGCCTGGAGTAGGAACTAAGTAAAGAGTAACATGTTTATATCCAAGAGGAAAAGAAGAGGTTTTTACCCAGCGGAGGAGTTTGAAGAAAGTGACAGAACGATAGTAAAACAACGATTTGATTTAAGATTTTAATCATTATTTTATTATTATTTTACTCCAGCTTTGACCGTACGTAGACTAGTCAACTTCCAGGATGACTAGAGCAGGGCTGTTGACTCCTCAGATTTTAGCTGAGCAGAGACTGGTCAGCTTTTGGAGTGACCAGAGCAGGGCTGTCATCATTTCTCATGGCAACTTGGTCCTGTCACAGGATTAACTGGCTCCAGTGATCTGGGTCATGTTGGCTGCCAGTTTTAACTGACTGTGGAGGATCCAGCGCACAGTTTCTGCAACTTTAACTGCCGTGGAAGTGGACAAGGTTAGAGTATAGGGCCCATCCCATGTGGGTCCTAAAGTGGTTGGATTTTATTTCTTATGTGCACAGAAGCCCCAGGTCTAAAGGAGTATGCTGGTTTTGCTAGGCTTATGGGCAGTTTTTCCCATACTCAGCCATGGACCACTTGCATGGCTGTCTTTAAGGCCTGCATTTGCCTTCTTAAAGTTAATTTCCCTAGTTCACAAATGTCACCCCTAATTTGAGCTATGATTGGGGGTGGCCGGCAGAAGATTCCATAGGACAAATATCCAGTTTGTTTTGTGGGGGTATACCTGACTCAGAGGAGCACCATGGGCAGGACTTGATTCCATTCCAGATGGGTTTCTTGGCAATATTTTTTAGAAGCTGTTTGAGTGTCTAGTTCATGTATCCTACTTTTTCTGAGCTTTGTCACAGGTAGACTGTGTTTAGTTTCCATTTTATTTTTAACAGCCATGTTAGTCCCTGAATTATCTCAGCTGTAAATTCCAGCCCATTTTCTGACCTCAGAGTTAGAGGCAGTCTAAATCTGGGGATAATATCTCTTAACCGTACTTCAGTTACTTCTCCTGATTTCTCTGTTGGGGTGTGGAAAGCCTCAAACCATCCCAAAAAGGTACAGACAAGCCCCAGTAGGTACTGATAGTCCCCTGATTGGGGCAGTTTGGTGAAGTTTATAAGAAGTTTTTCACAGGGTGTGGCTCCCGTTTCCTGAATTCCCAGGGGCCTAGTGGGCCCTTGTCATAGCTTGTTCTGGGCACAAGTTAGACATTGTTTGCAGATGGATCAAGTGATGGCAGGCAGCCGCAGCACATAAACATGGTGTCCTAATAGTGTTTTCAGTGACGTTTTACCCATATGGGTTCCTTGATAGAATTGTCTTACAAATTTTAGAGCCACTGTTTCATGGTTGGCTAGCCTCCTGTTGGAGAATTTTCACCATAACATTTTATATATTTTCCAGACTCTTGGGCAAAGCAGGGCTTCTCATTTGGAGGTAACTTGAAACCTCCGAGAGGAGAGGCTTTGGAAGTAGAGGCATAGCTATGGCTTTCTTCTTAAACTGAAGGGTAGTCATTGCTGCCCCTCTTGCCTCTCTGTCTATCTTTTTGTTCTTTTTGGCCTCCAGTGTTCCTGCCTTTTGGTGCCCCCTGCAGTGCATAACAGCCATCTTCTTCGAAGCACATACAGCATCTAAGAGTTGCAGAATTTTTTCTTTGTACTTTATTTTTTTGCCTACAGCCATTAAGAGTCCTTTTTCTTTATATATAGCCCCATTGTCATGCAACGTGGCAAACGTATATTTGGAATCTGTATAAACATTGACCATTTCGCCTTTTGCTAGCAAAATGGTCTCCTTAGGGCTATTAGCTCTGCCTTTTGGGCTGACATTCTGGTGGGCAGTGGCTGAGCTTCTACCACTGAGTCTAATATCATCACAGCATACCCAGCTTGCTGGACACCTTTCAGTGTAAAGCTGCTTCTATATGTATAGCATTTAACATCTGGGTTCCAAAGGGGTTGTTCTGTAAGGTATCTCTGGATTCAGAGTACCGTGTCTACTGTTTCCATAGAGTCATGAAAGGGGACTCCAGGTTCAATCGGGAGCAGGAGATAGCCAGCTTAAGGGTGTTTATTATTTTGAAAGTTATGTGGGAATTTTTGCATAAGAGCACCTGGTACCGAGTCATTCTCGGACTTGATAACTAATGGTGCCCTGTCTAATCCATTAAAGTTAGAACTGAATGCGGTACCTGGATGGTCAGTTGTTGTCTTAGAGTCAGTTTTTTAGCTTCTTGTTCCAATAAGGAGGTGGCAGTTAGTGCCCTAAGCCAAGGAGGCTACCCTAGGGCCACAGAGTTCAATTGTGTCGATAAGTACACCCCTGGGTGATGTCATGATTTCATGACTTGACTCAGGACCCCTATAGCCAATCCCTTTTGTTCATGAAGAGAGGCTTGATTATATTTGGCAGTCCTATGGCTAGGGCCTTAGTTAAGGCTTGTTTGGGTTGTTTAAACACCTTCTTCTCCTGGACAACCTCCAAAAGGAGGGGTTCCCTTTCCCCCCTCTTTGTGCCCTTATGTAAGGGCTTGGCCATTAGTAACAAATCTGGGATCCATATACAGCAGAACCATGCTTTCCCCAAGAATTTTCTTATTTGGCACTGGGTGGCCTGAGTTGGGAGTGCATAAACACGTTGCTTTTGCTCACTGTTAAGCCAGTGTTCCCCTTGGCTTACTATGAATCCCAGATTTTTTATGCTTTCTTGGCAAAATTGGGCCTTCTTTCTGAATACCTTATAACCAGTTTTCTATAAACATGGTGGAGAAAGACTTGGGTTCCTTGGTAGCAGTCCCCTGGCGTTGGGTCTGCCAGGAGAAGGTTGTTAACATATTGTAGCAAGGCACAGTTGTCATTTGGTGGGGTGTGGGCCTTAAGGTCTGATTCCAGTGTGTTTCCAAAGACTGTGGGAGTCTAGCCCATGTGAGCTCCTCCCCCATGCCTGTGACTGAATCGTGCCATTGAAATGCCAAGATGGGCTGACTAACTGGTGCCAGGTGAAGACAGAAAAAAATATTCTTTAAGTCCAGGCTAGTAAATTAGGCAGCACTTGCCAGAATGAGTCCTATTAGTGTGTATGGGTTTGGTACCACCAGGTGGATGGTTACAGTAGCCTGGTTCACATCATGTAAGTTTTGCACTGGCTTATATTTACCAGACCCTGGATTTTGTATCGGTAGGAGTAGAGTGTTCCAGGTTGACTGGCGCCAGACGAAGTTTCTGTGTTTGAAAAGTCACTTTAAATGTTTGTGAATGCCCTGTGTGTCTTCTCAGGGAAATGGGTATTGGAGAACCTCAACTGTGGTTGCTCCCGGTTTTAGCTTTACTATTACTGGTGCCTGATTTAGAGCCAGCCCCAGTGGGTTATTCTTAGCCCATAGTCCAAAAATTTTACCAGGTAGCATAAATAACTTCTCCAGCCCAGGCTTTTGAGACAATTCCGGTGACTGTTATGTGTATATTCTTTATTCCTCAGCCTGTGTAATGATGAGGGTTAACACCATGACCTTTGGGTGAGTTAGGTTTAAAGTTATATCCTAGTGTGTCCCAAAAGCAATCTGTGCCTGCAGTTTCTGGAGCAGGTCCCTTCCAAGTAAGGGAACTCGGCAATTTGGGAGGTATAGGATTTCATGTTGGACTTCTTGTCCCCCTATGACACAACTCCTTGGCCAGAAAAATGGCCTCTTTTCTGGGACCTCTGTAGCCCCAATAATAGTTGCATCGTGTTTAGATAGTGGCTCTATGGGCTGTATCACTTCTGAGTGATTAGTGCTAGTGTTCACCATAAAGTCCATCTGTTGATCCCCTACTTCTGCTGTGATCACGGGCTCCTGGGGGCCTTGGGAGATGCAGCCCAGTCTTGCATTGTCTTCATATTTTTCAGTCTCTACCAGCCTCATCAAGTTGATGCCTGGCCCCCTTAGGGTGTGGTGGTCCTTGGCTGGCCATTTTATAGATTTATGTCCACTGTTATTTCTTTTACTGCCCTCTAAACACTTATTTTTCCAGTGTCCCCTCTTTTTGGATTGTGCACATTGATCCCTATCTAGTCTCAGCTGACTTTTGAGTCTCTGCCCTGTTTGGCCCCTTCCACATCTGCATCTGTATCTGCGTCTGCTTGTGACGATAGCTTCCCTTTCCATGAGGGCTGCCGCTAGCAGATTGGCCCGCTTCCTGAGTCTCCAATCAGCCTCCCTTTGTGCCTCCTGGTCACAGTTAATGTACACCTTGGTGGCCACTTCTAAAAGCTGGGTTGCCTTTATGCTTGCAAAACCATCTAGCTTCAGCAGTTTTTACCTGATATCCCCCTGGGCTTGTCCTACAAATGCTGTGCTTACCATCTGCCGATTCTTAGTATCCTCAGTGTCGAAAGGAGTGTAAAGCCAGAATGCCTCACAGAGTTTCTAATAAAATTGGCTAGGGCTCTCATCAGTTTCTGGAAGCACTTTAGAGATTTTTCATATACTGACTGCTTGTTTTCTGCCTTCCTTCAGACTTTGCAGGAGGGCTCCTCAGTACCTCTGCAGGTGCTGAAACTGGGTCAAAGCATGTGAGTCCCAGTGGGGGTCTTCCTCTGGGAACTGGAACTGAGCGTATGCCTGGAATGGCACATTGGCTTCTAGCCAGTGGAGGGTTGACTGAGCCATCCATCGGTGCTCTTTAGTGTTGAACAGCAGCAACAGAAGCTGTTTACTATCTGGCCAAGTTGGATTATGTGTCTGGAAAATAGACTACATCAGATCTAAGAGGGCCTGGGGCTTCTCCATGTAGGAGGGAATATGGTATTTCCAGTTTAGGGGATCAGTGATTAAAATAGGCTGGCAGATGGAGGTCCATTGCCCCCCATTGAATATGGCCATGTTCATCATAGTAGAGGGGTCCCCAAGTCTCCCTGAGAGGCATCTGCAGAACCGGGGCATGGCCAGACCAGAGGCAGCTCTCTTGATTATTCTGACAGTCCTCCTTGACCTCCTGGGACAGGGGCTCTGATTTCTCCCTTTGGGGTGAAACCTGGGGTGTGTCACCTTCTGAATTGACTCCTCAGAGGCCGTTGGCCTCGGTAAAGGGAGGCAGATAGGGGTATAGGGAGGAGGGATTTCTGTCTCCTCTTGTGGTTTCTGTAAAGCCAGTTTTTCTTGCCCTTTTTGTGGCTTTTCCTTTCTCTCCATAGCTGGTGGTGAAGCTAATTCCTCTTGTACTTTAAGCTCGGCTCAAGCCACAAGTGTTTTGCAACAAGCCATCAGGTAGGACTGTAGCCATCCTGCTCAAGTTTGGAGGATATTTAGCCATGAGTGAAGATAAGAAAATTAGTCTAGATGCCCTGGCTGTCCTCTGACCCCAGTCACCACTTGATGTACATGGCCAATTGTTCCCCTATCTGTTGTTCTTTCAGCTGGCCACGTGACACTAAAAGAGGGACACTCCATTTCACAAACGGTCTTTTATCTCTGGGGAGTCAACTTGATCCTATAATTCCCTTCTTAAACTTTTTAACATACATTATAATGCGGTGGGTTTTGACGACTTCCCTCCCATTTCCTCACAGTTATGGCACCATGCACTTACACTTTTACTTTTGTGCTTCACACTGATTAGACAGCCTCCCTTGCAGGAGTATTTCAGATGCTGCTTAGCTTTAATGGAGGGTTTGTATAAACCCTGAACCCAGACCACCACAATCACTAAATTGTGGGGTGCCTCACTAAGCCATATGTGCTAGTTCCAGAGGACGTTTGCCCGTAGTCCTGGTCAGTCCCACACTTCACTCAGGATGTACGGTCTACGCTAAGAGGCCTGCAGCCCCACACACATCACCCTACTCTTGCACACACATTCACCCACTTCCCTACCCTCAGTTCCTCTTCATAGGTTGGGGTGTAGGTTTCATTTGAATTAGCGAGCAAATCTTGCGTCCTGGGTCGGATAACTAGGTACACCCTGGGAGGTGATCCGGCTCCCATTCCATCTTTATGGGATGGGTCCTTCCTTGGGCCCCGAACCTTCCCATGGTTCAGCAGCACGCTGTCCGTGGAATTGTTCTGTAACCCCTTAGGTTCCATCGTGCTGGAATAGCTTCATTATTCCTTCTAGAAGTGTTTTGTGGATTTGTGTGTTGGGAAGGTCATGCTCTCCTGGTATTTTGACTGGGAGAGAAGAGGATTTCCTCGAAGCCCTTTTTATCTGTGCCTATTGGAGATTCTCAACTAAAAGCTCTTACAGTCCATCATCTGGGATATTGTATGGAAGACCTAAAAGAATCCAATAAAGGTATCATACTATCACTCTTCAAGTCGTGAAGTCCCTAGAGAAACTGTCTTCCTCTTTCTAGATTTCAGAGACTTTGTTTTCTAACATTATGTCAGAAACACTGGCGTGCTGCATTGTAACTGGAAATTCTAAAAAGTGAAAGTTATAGAAAGGCTTTTAAAGTACCATGGAAAGGAAATCTCGTAATGCAAATCATGGGATGATATTATTACACAGAATGACATGATGTGATTTACCTACAATAAAATGATTGTATAAAATAAAGTCTTCACCAAAATTAAATGATCTCAAAGTCTTCATAATATATGTGAAACTGATTGATAGCATATAAATAATATAGATCAAGGAAGAAAAGATAGAATACCTGCCATACACTTGGGAAGATAATATAGTTGGCAATGCTTCCAGAAAATATAAGCAAAAATATGTCTTGCCACAATTGCTGAAAGGATATAGTAATAACACCTTTCTAAGAGGTTTTATTTGTTATGTAATGAGTGAATTAAAAGAAATCAAGCACTTATTTCTAGCTCTCGGGAGCAAAGTGAAAATTTGCAAAAGGAACTCTTATGAAAGCAAGAGATTATAAGTGTAAGACAAAATTATTTTAAAAATAAACTCAATATCAAGAAAGAAATCGTTTCTGTGGTTTGGACTCCAATAATATTCATTTGAGATCAACATTGGTAGTTTGTTGAAATAGTCAATTGAGGAGTAATGTTGGATATATTCCCAGGAAAGAGACCATTTCTTTGTTCAGTGGGGCTGGACACCCTTCCTAAATAATTGTTGAAAGTAGGTGTTGTTCAGACATTCAGTGGGAACATTTCAGTCAATACCAAAAGCCATGCCCACAGATACTAGGATCTAACACAAAATGAGATTTTCATTCAAATCCATGAAAGAAAGATTTATAACTCAACCTCTATCCTGTGGTATATTCAAGACTGAGGAGAGGATTTTCACAGTACCTAAAATATATAACTTCCTCGAAATCAGACTGGTATAAACTACTAGATATGAACAATTAAGTTCTTAAAAATCTGGAAAGATTAACGTAAAACTGCCCCCCAACAAGAATAACTTTGCATTCAAGAACTTAAGATTGCTTTACCACTTCAAAGGCAACATTGCTAATTCAATGGTGGACATTCCATGCCCTACGGGCTAGTCCAGGAAGACACTTAGGCGTCACACTCAAAAACAAAAAGTTAAATCACGAGTCTTCATAATAATTAGGCTTAGGTATTGTTTGAGATGAAGAAATAGAATCTAAAGGCAAAAACAGGTGAGTAGCAGGACACAAATAAATATTTTAAATAGACAATTATTCATCATTGAAAAATGAAGCACATGCTAAAGGAAATCAAAGAATTTTTTGTTTGTTTCTTATACAGTAGATTCAGTATAAATATAGCAAGAATAAGTAGTTTCCTAAGTAGATCTCAAAGTAAGGTTGCCACATGTAGGGAGAAAATACAGGAATTTAAATGTCACATTTTAATTTGAAATTTGACAATTTGTTGACAAAAAACAAATAATTATTTTTAGTATAAGTCTGTCCATGCAATAATGAGAATATTACTAAGTTACAAGAATATTGACAATTATACTAAAATGCTTTTTGTTGTTTATTTAAAATGAAAAGGTAACCGAGAAGCCTTCATTTTATCTGGTGACCATCTATGAAAGAGAAGTTATGAAAGTCAAGCTCAGAGTAGGAAGCTTTCATCTACATTCATGAAAAACACCGTAAGACAAAAATGTGTAGAAAGGGCAGCAGGCAGAATACAAAAATAATCTCTACACAGAATATGATTCCACATACACTGTTGGTATTTAAAACAAAGTTTCAACTCACAAAGATTATGCAAATATCAAAGACTTATCAAAAGACCAAGGAAAAGAAGAATAAAAGTTTCCTTCTTTCTTTTTACAGAATGAAGGAAAGTAAACCTCTAAATGAAGGAGGTATTACAAGAATTTTTTTTTATGGGGCTAATAAATGTTTTACTTTGTTAGAAAAAAGTTAACTAACTGGGTCCTACTGACTAACTACAGAAAGGGTAGAAATATCGTGATTAATGTCAAAAGCAGGAAAAGAAATAAATATGAGTAAGACAATTAAATCAACACAGTTAGGGAAAACATGTGGTGGGTGGGGAGAGGAAGAGAAAAACTAAGGCAAATGGGAGGCAAAGGCAGAGACAAAGAAAATCCAGGGTAGAACAACTGTCTAATCGGATATCGGTTATGGAGATAACAGAGTAACCATATTAGATATAAACTGTTTAAATTTCTGTGTTAAAATATAAAATACTCATATTAGATTGAGAGAAAAAATTGCTTTTACCTTGAAATAATGACACTGAAATATTGAAAATGAAGGTTTAGAGAAAATTAACAAGTATTTGTCAAAAAAGTAAGGCCACTGATACTATATGAGGCAAAGGAGATTTTTAAGAAAAATGCAAGCAATAAAGAGGGATAATAATATATAACTTGTAAGGTGACAGACAAAATAAGAAATATCAACATATGAACAAACTTTTAAAGATAATATAACAGTCAGGAATTTAAATGCCTCAGTAGCATTGACTCAATATACACTGGAGGCAAATTTTATAAATGTCTATTTAGGTAGACAAATCCCAGTTGTAGTGAGAGGTGTTTATTATATTACTCACCGAGACTGATGAGTACACAGACATTTAAGAGTTAATAGAAAGACTTTGCAATGTTTGTGTACTTACTTTTCTTCAGTTTTTTAATGTGAAGCCAAGTAGTAGAGCACACTTTTAGGATTCTACTAGCTCTGCTAGCAGAGCAAGTATTAATACAGAATAACCCTCTTCCCCTTTAACATCAAGTACGTCTCATCTAACTAGCACTTTGTTTTGCCTTCTCACATGCTCACTAGACATCATGCTCAACCTTCTCTTCCAGATCCACTTTCTCATGATACTGTTTTCTAACTGGTCTTACTTGGATGCCAGCAAAATGCAGGCTTACCAGGATATCAAAGCAAAGAAAGAACAGGAACTACAATATATCCAGTTTCAGTAAAAGAAGTAACTCAATTCTTACACACGAATGTTTGCCGGGGGGCTTTCAGTCAATGCATTTACAGCCCTGACAAATTATGAGACAGCTGCTCTGCATTACACATGAGTATTCCACCAAACTAATGTAGACATTCAAACACCTCACTTTCTCTCTCAAGCTGCTGGGATGCAGCGCCTGGAATACCTTGCAGTGAGGAAATCTTTTTCTTTAGAGCAAATATTGGAAGTTTCATGTTAGCCATTTTAAAAGGCAACACTTTGACAAAATGACCTTTCACTCTTTGGAAACTGGGGGCACATTCACATTTACTGCTAGAACATTTCTCCCAAAACACTCAGTGTAATATGTGGTACTCTTTGATATGGACTGGTGACATGCCGGCATCAAAAGATGAGACCATACATTTACATGTACGTCATTTATTCTCAGTTAAGTGTTATCTACATAGGAAATAAACTGAAATTGTTGTGCAGTTTCAATTCTGACTGCTGACATTTATTAAACTTTGGCTCAAAGGTAGTGTGATTCGTCTCATGATTGACTTTTTGTACTAGCTTTCTCTCCCAAGTCCGTGTTCCATTAATTTCCTCAGCCAATAAGAAAATATTTTTCAATAATGCTAAAATTAGCTCCATTTGCTGACCCTACTACTAAAGAATCTGGATTCGGATTCATTGACAAGAATTCCAGAGGCACTTTTATCATAAGTTTTATTTCAACAAAATACTGATCCAGTTTTTATTATCCTCAAGAGTTAAATGTCAGCTCTGCCTTAAGGAGTATTTGGTATATACATTTTTCAGAATTTGTATCATAACCAGAGATGCAAATATCTTTAATAGAATTTTGTTCTGTATATTTTTTTTTAATTAAGAATTGTTACCTTACTCAAACGACCACCTTTTTAAACCATTTTTCAGTGGTCTGTGTAAACAGTTTCATATCAATTATCTGAAACCTAATTTAAAATTGGCCACAGACATCTAACCTCCTACTGTTAACAGACTTGAAGATGTAGATAATTTAAATTAGGGTTGGCATTTCATTTTTTCTTACCTATATCTTAATTTCTTGGAATAATAAAGTTTGATGTTCCACAAGAAAACTACTTAAGTCATTTTCAAAAGAAACTTGCCATCTGCATTACTGTGTTCCAGACATTAGGTGACTATAGGTACTGGGTGTTAGCAATGGTAAACTCCGTGCAGTTCTTTATGAAATGCTATATGTAACTGTTGGGTACATCAGTGCTTTCCAAATGGGTTGCTTAATATAGGATCCACTATGTATGTTTATGTTAAATGGTAACTTGTGATTTGGCTGTTTCCTGGGTTTTAGAACACCACAATGCAGAAATATATTCAAAATTAACAAAAGTAAACTTTTATCTGGATGCTATTAAATTTGAACATCAGGTATCATACATCAGCAGATCTTTTTTTTTTTTTTCTTTTTCTTTTTGTTACTCCATAAAAACACCTGTTTGGGATTTTTTCTTTTAACTGGGAGAAGCGCTCTTCTGTACAGAATGGCTATTCTAAAAATAGCTACGTGTTTTATTTTCCTCTTGCATGACAGATTTAACTATTCTTTCCAGCAATGGTGGTGCCTTCAGAGTCCAGTACTCCAGAAGAGTTAGTGTCTTGAGCCTAATTTTACATTTCTAATTCTGGTAGCTATTATCAGAAACTTTTGAAAGTTTTGTTTATGTAGCCTAGTATTTTTAATGTAAAGAGAATTAAATTTTGCTATGTATAAATTTTTGTAACCTAACAGTGAATCCATACTTTCAATCAGTGTCAAAGGCTTCCTATAGTTCTACTCAAGTGTTACAATAAATAATTGTAGATAATAGTCAATATTTGTGTATGCTTAAAGATCTATATTGGTGAAAATAGTAGCGGATGTAGTAAGAGAAATGAAATAAAAGTATAGCTTCATTCACTTGCCTTTTTACCATATGTACATCCAATCTTTCTTTGTCCTCAGTGTGGTGTCACTTTGGAATAATGTGCATAGTAAAGATTGCACATTGGTGTGGAAATCAAGTCCGTGAGCGCTACTTTGTTTATTTCTGGCAAAAATCTCTTCAGCAATTTAAGAAAATATTATAGCCTATTGGGCTGTATTGGGCATAAAAGTGCCCCTAGCACTTCTGTGGTTTTCTGTAGAAAGTAATAGCTTTTCTGATTAGTTTTGAAATAAATAAATGCCACCTACCTACGAGATTAACAAGGCTTGAACTTTTGCAAATTACAAACGATCAAGGCCTGTGTGTAGTTGTTTATTTTTCAAATCAAAGGTATAAAAATGGAAAGATTTACTCAGAAATATATAGAAAACCAGTTCTGTCACTCTCTAGAGTTGCAGAGCTAAATATGTTACTCAGAATTTTATTATATAATCTGTTTGAACTCCTTATCTGTCAACATAATTCTGAATTTGGATTCTCTGCATCTGACCTTCCTTAGTGAGGCCTAGGATTTGTCACTACTGACACATGGCCACTCCTAATTGAGGTGCTGACTCTGGATCATCACCCTTTATTCTGGCATGACAGAAAAACCGTCAGCAGTTCAATTAGTGTGCTATCTGTCACACTGCTTACTGCCTATTGTTTAAGTAGCGTTTTGTGCAATTATTTGTCACATGAATAGATAGAGGAAACTGTAAATAATACACAGATGAGATCACAAGCACCTATAAATTATCCATAGTGATTCTGCCACAAAATCTAGGACACTCTAGAGGTCTGAGTAGAGATTTTTTCCAGTTCTATGTTGTAAAAGCTAACTTTTAAAAAATAAAAATGAGATCAATTGTAAAGGAGGAGCCCTGTTTTTAAAAACTAACGAAATACTTGAAGCCCATTCATTAAGTATGAGGACCAAAATTTCCACAATAAATATGCCATCTCAGTATGTTCCTGATGCTATAACACAGTACCTTGGACTGGGTAACTTATGAAACTGGAAAGAAATAAATTTCTTACAGTTTTAGACACTGGGAAGTCCAAGATCAAGGCACTAATAGGTCCAATGTCTGGTGAAGGTGGGTCTCTTCTTCCAAGATGGCACCTTGTTGCTGTGTTCTCCAGAGAGGACAAATACAGTGTCCTCTAATGGTGGAAGGGCTAAAAAGCCTAGCTACTTCCATTGAGTTCTTTTATAAGGTCTCTAATTGCACTCTTAACCTCCTCCCAAAGTCCCCACTTTTTAATTCTATCACACAGGGGCATTTAAATTCCAACATATAAATTCTGGAGCGACACATATATTCCAGCCACAGGTGTCAAATGGAAAGACCACAGGCAATATTGTACTATTTCTAATGCCTAGAAAAATGTGTATCTTAATGTTTAGGTAGAAAACAGAAATATGCTGGGAAAAACGACGTCTCGTTGTAAAGATCACAGCCCAACTCTTCGGAGGAAAAAACACAGCTTACCCTTCTCAAATGTAAGCCTAGATTTGAGGAATATAGTAGGTTATACTTATCTAAAAATTTAGTAGAAAAATAAGAAGGCTTTTTTAAAAGAACAGCTCCTTTTAGTATAATGAATGAGACATTTTATGACTGGAAAAGGGGGTTTCACTTGACTCGATTATTCTCGGTTCATACACTATAGTACCAAATACATTAGGAAAAACCAGTACACTGGATTACCCACCGGTTTCTATTCAGAGTTTTGTCTGATGACAGAGAAACCTTTACAAAGGAGTAAATGTTATGTAACTTCTCATCATATTGAAATTAGAAGCTGGGGAGCAAACCTGGTTACCAAGAGTCATCTGGTTCGTCATGAGAAAAGCCTGTTAAATTAACAAAGGAAAGAGAAAAATTAAAGGGTAAAAATTTTGAAAATTTGTGTCGGACTTTTCTGGTATCTTTATAATGGTTTCAACTTATATCCTGGGGAGTTTCTGGCCTAGCTTATAAATTACATTAGGAACAATTTCACACGTTAAAAATATCAATCCATTCTTTTTATAGTCAGTAATTCTGACTGATTCAATAACTTCTTACGGGCAACCTCAAATTTCTATCCATTTCTTTAGCTGACACAATGAGCGATTAGCTGTTCACATATAAAACACAGTGTTGGGAAACCAAGTCCATTTCAACTTTTTCCGTAGATTGAAGCATGTCTATAGGGAGCCTTCCTGAACCACCTTTCTTGAGCTCTGATTATGTGGCAGAAAGGGAAGATTTTTGAAATTTGGTATGTATTAATTTTATGATATAAGTTTCTCTAAGAACCATTTTTGAAACATATATGTCATTTAAAAGCCTAAAAACGTTGTGACTGATAAATACAAAATTTAGCAAGCACATCAAAATAAACGATCAGGTATGCATTTAACACCATGATACTTCAGACTTATATAAAATATTAATGTCAGTACATATGTACTTGTTATATGATAATAGTTGTTTTCTTTCTTGTTCCTAAAAAACATGAAAAACCCTACCTTTACAAACATTGATAAACCAAAACCTATTAAATACTTTGTCTTAAGAAAAAAAATCCATAATTTTTTTCAAAACAGCATTACCTTTAAATGACTCAAGGTTCCATGTGAAATTTAGATTTTTTATGCTTTCCACCTTTTTGTCTTCAATGGAGGAGAAAGATTACTCAGATGTGGATTCCTGTTCCAAGGAGTTAAAATAAACCACAGAAGCCCTGTGTGTCCCCCACCCACAGCATGTATGCTAGTGAAGTAAGTTTTTGTAATGAAAGTCATTGCTGTCATCATTGGAAAACAAATAGATCATCTAAATGCTGGGAGCGATGAATTTCCCTCAAGCGTCCTATGCTTTAGATCTGAATTAACCAGGAATCCAGGGAACATCCATGTGTTATGGTAATTCAAGCAAGACTTAACAACTGTGTTAAGTGGACAGAGTAATCCATCTGATAGGACAAGAATGAGAACCCAGAAGGGAAGAGAACCTGCGGAAAAAGGGAGGCACCAAATGCCCCTGGAAGCAGCCTTGGACTGGCGGCCATGTCCGCCCTTGGGGTCTTCTGATGCCAGCTAGCTGACATTGACAGCCTCTTCTTTAAAGTCTGTTTTCAAAGCAACATTCTGAAGCAAAGCACAGTCTACATTTTTTACAGACTTATTTAAGGATCAAATAGAATGCACAAAAATTACCTTCAAAAACAGTCATATACTATGAAACTCCTAAGCTCCATATTCTGTGCAGCCTTTCTTACTGCTTGTAAGACAAGAAGAGAACAGGGGTGCCTTTCAGGGCACATGCCACTCTTCTGACTTTGGACACTAATTGACTCCCTTCCCTGACCTCAACGTACTTATGAAAGCTGTACAATGCTGGAACTTGTACAGAGAAGCAACTCATTACCCTTTTGTGATCTAGATTTTCTAGCTCCCTTTGTTCCCTTGCTAAAATGTAGGTTACTCTGCCGTTTTTCTTCTCTGCCTTTGTTCTTTCACTTGCTGTTGCCATATTTTTTCTTCTTGCTTTTGTTCCTCAATTGGTTTCTGAACTATACCTAACAGTTCAGAAAATAAAGAGTAGCTGCCCGTATCAGATTGTTCAAATGAATGTGAGACCAGTCTGCAGGAGTCCTTGCCAAGACCCGGGGAGACTCTGCTTGGCTTTTGTTTGACACGTGACCTACTTCAAGTCGCTGTTCCATGTTCATCGACTTCAAGCCCCCAATCCCGCTCCTTGCCACTGCATCCCACTTCACTTGGCTGAGATGAGTTGTACTCATCCCAGGGTGACTTGTAGTCACCCTCATCATGACCGACTCCAAGTGACATATCCTCCCTCCATGTCGCAAGTTCTTGTCCTTTACACGGATCTCCTTCCCCTTTTTCAAAGCAAAGCCTACATTTCTGCCTCTGCCTTTGATTATAATCCCTCTCCTAACTTTAGGATCCTGACTGAGCCACTGATCCCTATTTCTGTACAGAGCAGTTTTATAACTCTTACTCTCATAAAGGTGCTCAAGTCTGTTCTCCCCTGAAAAAACAGAACAGACATCACACACCTGCACTCCCCCAGACATTCTAGCCAACTCACTTTTCATTCCCCACTTCCACCAAATGGACGGCAGTCCTTCCTGGGTTTTTCACGATTACTCAGATATGGATCCTTTCCGTATCTTTTCTTCTACTGCTGGTCTCTCTACCTGCCCTCACATCCACAGTTCTGACAGTTTCCTGCCATATACATGTGAAATCCTCACAGCACCAGCTTTGTCCTGGGTGGGATCATCCCAGTTTTTTTGTTTGTTTGTTTGTTTGTTTTTCTCATGCTCTTTCTATCCTCCATCCATCTAGCAACCAGTGCTGGCATGTTCACATTCCCTGTCATTCAGCTGCACCAGGGGCCTTTCTCACCATCTCCCTGGAATACTTAAAGAGCCCACCCAGTCAAGACTCTCCGTGAAGTCAGTCTCTGCCTTCTAGTAACTTGTGGTCATTTGCACCAGGAATTTCCTGAGGGGAAGGTGTGTATCTTCTGTGCAGTGTCTCTGCTCTGTTAGAGTTCAACACCATGGTAGTCTGGGCTCCAAAAATCTGCCTTTATCTTTCCATATTGATTTCCTATAACACCACCAGCTTTGACCTAGAAATATTTCATCTGTCTCAACCCACTCACTGGGGCCTGGCCATGGTTATGTCTTCCTTGCTTGGTATTCACCTTTACTGTCTCCTCGGCCTGCGGCCCTCCCACACTGTCATAAAGCCTGTTATGCTATTCAAAACCCAACTGAAATGCCATATCCTCCTTATTTCTGAAGGGACAAGTAACCAAACCACTCCAGCAGCTTACTTACACCATATCTTGCACCTGCTTGTTGAAAACCTACACATACTTGTTTTGTCCACTTCTATTTTTTTCCAGTGAAGCCCCATATTTTAGTAAATTGTCTGTTCTCTCTGCATCTTGGCACAGATCCCTACATCTCAAATGTTTCATTAGACATCATTCTCAGAAACAATTATGCTGACCTTTCTCTTACAGTTCTGACACATAACCGATGTTTTTAAAGCTAGAAATGCTAATACGAAGAAAAATTCATAGGTTTACCAGAGGACTCTGAACCTTCTTGCTCTGCCTTGTTTTAAACTCATCCGCAGTGACTGAGTTAATTTCATGAATAAGAGAGAAGCAACACAGTTTTTCCTCTCTCTCCACCCCCCATCTCTTCTCAATCCTTCTCATGAAATTAAAATACAAAAGAGGCGTTTGATAATTTCTGCAGGCAGAAAGGCAACTTTCTCTTTGCTAGAACAAGAAGTGAAAGTTACTCTAAGATGAGATTGTTTTCTTTTATGGAATAGTAATCTCAAAATAGGGATGTTGTTTAAGCACCTCTATATTTAGAAACAAAGAGGAAGAACAAACTGCTTTTCTGCTCTGGTGTATGTTTTGCACCTGCACGGTGGAATACAGAAACCTCTGTGGACACAAAGGCAAAGGAATAAAGTATGTTCATTGGGCACCTCATATCAGAGACACCAAATTGCAGCCTTTTCCATTCCATCTGTGCCCAGATGAAGAGGTGAAATGATGAATATAAAAATTTCTCAATAACAACAATGCTACTCACTATGCTCCTTAATAATTTTAAAGCTAGTATGATAATGTACATTCTCTCTCAGAGGCAGAACACCTCACTACTCAGTTGATTTTCTTTATTCTATCACATTATTTTCATTCCCTTGCTCAGGCCTGGGACAAACGGCTGCCTGTCAGAAACTCCTTCTTGGGGCCACCTTCCCTAATGATCAGCTGCAGCCCATTTCTTCTGCACTCCTGGGTAATGTCTTCCTGGCAATCTGCCTCAGTGACTAGAAATTCAGGAAGACAAGGGCTTGGTTGGGTTCACTGTTGTGCATTCAGCCCCAAGGAAAGTGCCAAGGAGAGATAGGCTTTAGATAAAATCTCTCTGAATGCTCTCCAAAGCAGATTTACTCTTGAATCAGCAAAGTCCAACTTCTCAAAACCCCTTGCCTCTTTAAGTAATTCTGTATGTTCTCGAGTGCCATGACTATAAGCAAGAAACTGCTAACAAGAGGTTTTGGAAATGTTTTGAAGATGATGCATTTTCAATATTTGTGGGGAAGAAAGTGTGGTTTAACTTGAGAAATTTTCTTTCGTGTTTGAGAATTAAACACTTTGATCCCAAAACAAAAGAGCCTGGCTGTTTGCTTAGCCCTAGAGCAAAGTGCAAAGCTCCCACAGCTCTCTTCCAGTCTCCCTGCACCTCCAGCAAGGAAAGTGGGTAATCTGAAAGAAGACTGGATTGAGAAAGTGGGCCAGACAAGAGAAGTCTGATGGCCAGTTTTTCTCCAGTGTTAAGTTAACTCAGCGTAACAGCTTTTCCAAAAATTAAAATACAAATATTTTCCCTAATTTCTTAAGACACGAAGGAAGCATATAGGTGGAAAAAGAAATAATATTTAAATGTTTCAATCACATAAAGTTCTCTAATGGGAGTTAACTATTATTTCAGTGTTTCATCATGATCTCTCAAGATGATAAGGCCTTCATGAAATAGTTTTTGCCAAAGAGTTTTGGGGAAAAGTCTACCTAGTATGCTAGACACTGAATAGTTAATGAAAACACTTTCAAGAAACTCATCTCGGAAGCCAAAATGAGAAGTCCTTCATTGCAACGTGTGCTTTCCTCAGCATGGTCTTTACAAGATAACACAGAAGTTACTTCAGAAACGTCATTAACGACATAACGACACTATAAACCCCACACCAATACTTTGACTAGATTACACCTACAAAAAGACCTTCAGTGATACATGAAATAATTCACAGAGTACACATTACACAGATGTGACCCTGCAGACTGTTAGTTAAAATAAATAACTTACTTGGGTATTGATATGAGATGGGCACAGCAGCTGCAGCAGCACCCACAAGAGGCATATCTCCAGATATGCGTACACATGAGACATATCTCCAGAAGAGAACTCATCCATTTCAAGATGCCCGGGCACGTTTCCTGCATCTGCATGAGGCACAAATGGTTTTCCCATGAGTCGTTCCTTAGCAATAACCTCCTTCAGAAATAAGGAGGATATGGCATTTCAGTTGGGTTTTGAATAGCATATCAGGCTTTATGACAGTGTGGGAGGGCCACAGTGCCATGTGGGGGCAACTGGCTGGAGCATGGGAACTGCAGCCAAAGTAACTAGGTGGACTTTTTCCTGAGCGGATTTTGTGAATTTCCAAACATAACCACTTGCCAATGTATTAGCTTGTCAGAGTCTTCTTGTACTTAAAAGAATTAACTTTGTTTACAAAACTAGATTTCCCAACAAGAAAGTCAACCCAGTGACAGTGAAGAATCCATATGGCTTGTTGACAATAATCTGAATTCTTTTGAAATGTCAGTGATTTCACCCAAATACTTTAACAGATATTCACGAAATTTACGGAGCCCTCTCATTGACTTTTCAAAATATTATACTTCCAGATTTGAAGATGACTTTTACAAGACTAACCAATGGGTTACATACAAATATAAAGATTTCTCAAGCTGGAAAGAACCACAGAGATGATATGCTCTACATGCTTATTTTACACTTACAAAGTGACTACAAAGTGAGACAGTCTAAGGCAGGGCCACAGCCAGAACACCAGTTTCTGGACTCTTAATATTCTTTTATCTCCACTCTTTCACTAAAAATGAGGTTTTCTGGATCTGAGGAAATCAACAGAATCAGTTAATTTAAAGAAAAATAACATCCTTGTATTCCATATAAAGGAAGAAATACATATTTTAAAATCACTTATTTTAAATCTTATAAGTTAATGTATTTATGAGCTTAGCTCAAACTTTAAAATTAGTCATGCTGAAATACTTTAAAAGTAAACAGACACAATCACAAAAACTTCATGATAGAAAAATGAGCTGATATAGCTGTATTTGTAGTTTTGTCACAGAATAAAAATGATCCAATTTCTAACTGCTGTTTTGTTTTTATATCAATAGATACGCTTCACCAAAATGAAACTTTCCAGATCTTCAACTTATGAAAACAGGTATTTATGTTGCAACTTACATTTAAAAGATGAGTCGAATTACTCATAATCCTTAGAAGTTAGCTTGTCCGCATCTGAAAATTCACTTTTACCTTGAAGTTCAATCTGTCTCTGGGAAAGACTAGATTGGAAGAATAAAATTCAAGAATGTGATGTTTTAGTAATGGAAAAGCCAAGAGCGTCAGGTGGCAAAAGTCCTTCTGTTACTCAAGAAAATGCTCTGAAAAATTCCTTTTCTCTTTTTTTTTTGTAAAGATTAACTCCACCTCACCACCACAATGAGGTATTTTTCTCAGCAATTGACACCTGTTTACTCAGTTACTCCCTGTAACTATGTTATGCTGTGAAGTAGGCAATACAGTTGTTAAAGAAGAATAATGTTGGACTCTGAATGTTATTCCGAGGAGTTTCATTTTTCAATAGTAATAAAACATTTCTAAAAAAATTCTGCATATTACCAGCATGAACCAGCTGAGGTGGCAATAGCAAAAACTTGAGTGATTAGAGTGCCCTACTCAGCATATGTGTATGTTTTATCCTTCCTTTTGGCTTATCACAAGTACAAAAAAAGAAAAAAAAAAAAACACCTGGCCATGTGTGGTGGATCATGTCTGTAATCCTAGCACTTTGGGAAGCTGAGGCTGGAAGATCACAAGGTGAGGAGCCTGAGACCATCCCGGCCAATATGGTGAAAACCCATCTCTACTAAAAATACAAAAATTAGCAGAGCATGGTGGTGCGTGTCTGTAGTCCCAGTTACTCATAGGGTGAGGCAGGAGAATTGCTTGAACCCAAGAGGCAGAGGCTGCAGTAAGGTGAGACTACACTCAAGCCAGGGTGACAGGGCAAGACTCTGTCTCAAAAAAAGAAAAAGCTTTGGAAACATGACTGGTGTTGCTGGAAACAGCAGACTAGAGAGGTTGATGTGGGGAAACTGGGGGATTTATTTATGTGCACCAGCTCAGCGAACTTATAACCAAAAAGGCTGAGTATTGAATAAAGACTGAGCAGGGCTCTTTATAAGCAAACTTTCAGAAGCAGAAGTAAAGCAGTTGATTATACAATGAAAGGTTATGTAATTTATAGCATAACTTTTGACTTTGCATAACATCTTGCCTTGCATAGCTGGGTTTTGCAGCTGTGTTGAAAGAAAAATGAACCTACAAATTTTACTAAATACAAGCATTGGTAAACATAGTCATAATTAATGCTTCAGAAGAAGGAGAGACAGTAAAGTAATTTGCTTTTAATTTCAACTTTGCTCCAGTAAGGGGTATTTGCAACCCATTCACTTGGCCTCAACTTTTTAGACACTGTTATTTTATGACTGTCCTTGAAGTGAGCTAGATAGATGGAGAAAATACTTGTTTTTTTTTTTCTTTGTCATACGTGTCTTGTCACATTTTTCTATTTTTTTTTGATACCATTTATAGGAGAAATTTAATAGAAGGCATTCGTATTATTTTATTCTTTATGGGAAAGCATGTTTTCTTCTTTGGTCAAAGGTTGATATTTAGTTAGGGCTATTAACTCAGTAGCAGTATGCCTGGTCATATTGTTTTTGGACTATGTAGTATGTGTAGAAGTTGGGAATCCTTTTATGGGTACTTTTTTTTTTTATCAAGGTTAAGTGGGGAAATAACAGCAAAGCAATGAGTAGCATATTTATGTTTAGTGTGGTTAGAAGAGATTCATACCCAGGGGAGGAGGTTGAGTATAGTGACAGAATAACAGTAAAATAATTAGTATTACAGTGAAAATTAGATTTAAGATTTTTAATTATATTTAACTTGCCTGATGAGTTTTTAAGTTTTGGCTGTGCGTAGACTAGTTATCTTCTGGAGTGTGATTAGAGCTGGGCTTGTTGTCCTCTTCTTCATCTTTAGTCTTGTGTGGATTCGTCGGCTTTTGGAGGGACCAGAGCAGGGCTGTTGTTCTCAGTGACAACTCTGTCTTGTTGCATGATTAGCTGCCTGTTTCAGCAAACCATGATGGATCGATTAAGGCATGATTCCTGCAATTTTAACAGCAGTGGGAGTGGATAAGATTACAAAATGGGACCCATCCCTTATGGGTTCTAGAGAAGTTGGGTTTCATTTTTTAACCCAAAGAGAGTAGTTAGGTTTAAAGAAGCATGCTGGGCCTGTCGGGCTAATACGCATTTCTTAATGTACCTGACGCTGAATACTTCACATGGCTATTTTTAAAACCTGCATTTGCTTTTTGAAGATTAATTTCCTTAGTTTGCAGAGATTACTTTTAATTTGACCTAAGATTTGGTGTGGCTGATTGAAAAAAATTTTATAGGGTGAATACCTAGTTTGTTTAGTGGGGGTGCACCTGACTCGGATGAACACCATGGGCAGGATTTGATTTTATTATAGTTGATTTTTGTGATAATTTCTTTTGGTAAGTGCTTCAGTGATTTGTTTATGCATTTGGTTTTCTTTTTTTTTAACTTTGTTGTTGGTAGGCTGTGTGTAACTTTCATTTTATTTTATGCAACTTTGCTAGATTTTAAATTATTTCAACTATAATTGCTAAACTCTTGTTTGACTTCAAAGTTAGAGGCAGTTTAAACCTGGGGATAATGTTTTTAAACAGTATTTTAACTACTTTTTTGCCTTTTCAGTCCTCATTGGAAAACCTTAACCTATGTTGAAAAGGTGTAAATAAGTGCTAGTATAAAACAATAGCACCTGACATGGGACAGTTTTGTGAAGTTTACAAGTAAGTTTTTACAAGGCATAGCTTTTATTTTTTAGATCCCTGGGGGCTGGGTAGGCCCTTGCCCTGGGTTGTTTTGAGCATAAGTTTGTTTCGGGAATTCAGGGACCCTGAATGGAGGGACTGGCTGGAGCTGCGACAGAAGAACATAAATTGTGAAGATTTCATCGACATTTATCAGTTCCCTAATAGTACTCTTATAATTCCTTACAGCTGTCTTACTTTAGTCTCTTAATCCTGTTTTCTTCGTAAGCTGAGAATGCATGTCACCTCAGGACCACTACTGTATAAATTGATTGTAACATATGTGTTTGAAAACGATGAAATCAGTGCACCTTGAAAACGAACCAAATAACAGCAGTTTTAGAGAACAAGGGAAGACAACCATAAAGACTGACTGCCTGTGGGCTTGGGCAAAAAGAGCCATATTTTTCTTCTTGCAGAGAGCCTATAAATGGACTATAAATGTGCAGGTATGACAGATATCACTAAATTCTTTTACTAGCAAGGAATATTGATAATTGATCCTCTGGGAAAATAATTGCATTCCTGGGGGGAGGTCTATAAATGGCCACTCTGGGAGTGTCTGTCTCATGCGGTTGAGATGAGGACTGAAATACGCCCTGGTCTCCTGCAGCAACCTCAGGCTCACTAGGGTGGGGAAAAACCCCACCCTGGTGAATTTGAGGTCAGACCATTTCTCTGCTCTTAAACCCTGTTTTCTGTTGTTTAAGATGTTTATCAAGACAATAAGTGCACAGCTGAACATAGACCCTCATCAGTAATTCTAATTTTTCCTTTTGCCTTGTAATCTTGCTTTGCCCTTTGCCTTGTGGTCTTTATTGGCCTCAGAAGAATGTGATCTTTGTTCTCCTATTGCTTTTTGAAGAGTGTGATCTTTGGGACCTACTCTCTGTTTGTACACCCGCCTCCCCTTGTGAAGTCCTTAGAAAAACCTGCTGGTTTTGTGGCTCAGGTGGGCATCAGGGTCCTACCTGTATGTGATGTTATCCCCAGTGGGCCAGCTGTAAAATTCCTCTCTTTGTACTCTTTCTCTTTATTTCTCAGGCTGGCCAACACTTAGAAATATAAAAAGAACCTATGTTGAAATATTGGGGGCAGGGTCCCCAGATATAAGTTAAGTTTGTTCACAAACACCTTGAATGATGGCAGTGAGTTCTGGCATGCAGAAGTGGCATTTCAGTAAGTTTTTAGTGCCATTTTTCACATATGAGTTTTTTGTATAATTTGCTTGAAAAATTATTTCCGCAATGGCTAATTTACTGTTATACAACTTTTATCAATTTTTGTTAATATATTTTCTAGTTTTTTTGATAAACGAGGCCCTCTCATTTGGAGTGTAACTTGGGATATTTTGGAGTGGAGGTTCTGGGATGAGAGGCATATTTAAGGTTCTTTTAAAAATTATGGCATAATTATTTCTTCCTGTTTTGCCTTCCTGTTAACTTTCCTATTTCCTTTGGCTTTTGATGTCCCTGCATTTTGGTGCCCCCAATAATGCATTATTACTACTTTTTCTGGAGCCTATACAGCTGTTAAGAGCTGTAGAATTTTTTCTTAGTACTTTATTTTTTTGCCTCCAGCTGTTAAGAGATTTTCTTTTTATACACATTTCTATGAACATGTAGTGTTGTAAAAGTATATTTAGAGTCTGTATAAATATTCAGCTTTTTGTCTTTTGGTAGCAAAAGGGCACTTGGTAGGGCTATTGATTTTGCCTTTTGGGCTCATGTTCCAGTAGGCAGAGATTGAGCTTCTACCATTGAGTTTAATGTTACCACTGCATACCCTGCTTGTTGGATATTTTTCTAGCTGAAAACTACTTTAATTTATGAAGTATTAAACATCTGAGTTTTTGAGGGGTTGATCTGTAAGGTCTCCTTTTCCAGAAAATATTTCATCCACTTTTTAGACACAGTTATGGAGGGGAGCTTCAGGTTCAACTAGGAGCAGCGTGGTTGGGCTTAAGGGGTTTACTGCTTTTTAAGTAATGTAAGGGTTTTCGTACAGAAGCCCTTGGTACTGCATTATTCTCAGAATTGATAACCAGTGGGACCTTCTTTGGCTCATTGATGTTTCGACTGAGTGTGGCACCTGGACGGTTAGCTGCTGTCTCAAATTAAGTTTGTTAGCCTCTTGTGTTAGCAAGGCAGTGGTGGCTAATGCCTTAAGGCAAGGAGGCCATCCTAGTGCCACAGAGTCTAATTGTTTAGTTAAGTATGCCGCTGGACAATGCTATAATTTTATAATTTGGGTTAAGAACACTGAAGCCATTTCTTTTCACTTATGGATGTATAGAAAGAAAGGCTTAGTTATGTTTGGCAGTCCAAACGCTGGGGCCTGAGTTAAGGCTTTTTTTTTTTTTTTAATTTGTTTAAATGCTTTTTGCTGTAGATCCTTTTCCAGAGGAGGGTTTCTTTATTTTCCCCCTTCATAATTTTATATGATGGCTTAGCCATCAGTGAGAAATTTGGGATTTAGATATGGTGGAATTTTTCTGCTTCTAAGAATTTGTTTTCTTTAATGCCTAGTGGTTGGGGTTGGGAGTGTACAAATGGCCTGCTTCCACTTATGGCCAAGGTGGCATTCCACGTGGCTTACAATGAAACCTATATATTTGAAATTTTTATGAAAAATTGGGCCATTTGTTGAGATAATTTGTAACCTGTTTTTCATAGGAGATAGAGGAGGTCTTGGGTTTCTTGATAACAGCCCTCCTGGATTGGTGCTACTAAAGAAAGATCATCTACATACTGCAACAAGGCACAGTTATCCTTTGGCAGGTTGTAGGCTTTAAGGTCAGTGCTTCCCTAAAGATTGGGGGTGAGTCTTTGAACTTGTGAGAGCCTGGTCCAGGTGAGTTGCATAGCTTTTTTGTTTGATTGAAAGGCAAATATAGGTTGATTAACTTGGGCTAAGCAGATATAACAGAAAACATTCTTTAAGTTTAGGACTGTAAATCAGGTAGCAATGCTGGAATGAGATTTATTAAAATACATGCATTTGGTACCACTGGATGGATGGTCACTGTGGCCCGGTTTGTGGCACACAGGTCGTACACTGGTCTATACTTATTAGACCCTGGTCCTGACAATGGTTTTCATATTGGCCAAAGTGGAGTGTTCTAGGGCAATTGACATCAAACAAAGATTTCATGTTGGTAAAGTGGGTTTAAATGTTTACAGACACCTTGAATAGCCTCTCGGGGGACTGGGTACTGTCAAACATAAGTCAGAGTTTCTTTTGGTTTTAACAGGACTACCACCTGTGCATGATTTACAGCTAACCCAGGTGGGGTGTCTTTAGCCCATACTCCAGGAGTGGTATTAAGTAACTGAGAGAATGGTTTTTTCATTGCACCTGCATGTCTAATCTGCTGCTTGCACTTGCTTTGTATAAAGTTTCCATTTCTTAGCCTGCAGGATGATAAATGTTAACACCAGGGTTTTTGGGTGAGTCAGATTTAACGTTATACTTTTTGCACATGAAAAGCAATTTGTGCTTGCAGTTTTTGGAGTAAATTTTTTTCTTAGCAAAGGAACTGGACAATTCAGGAGGTATAGGAATTCATGTTGGATTTCTTGGCCTTTTATAACACACCTCCTTGACTGACAGAACAGCTTTTTCTCTGTGACTCCCATGGCTTTTATAATAATTTTATTGCTTTTGGATAACGGCCCTATGGGTTGAGTGACTATTGAATGTGTACCCCTGGTGATTACCATAAAGTCCGTCAGCTGGCCTTCAACTTTTAATGTAACCATGGGCTCGTGGAAGTGTAGTAAGAAGGAGCCTGGTCTCTCCTAGTTGCTATATCCTTTAGTGCAAGCCAGCCTATTTAGATTAGTATTTGGTTTTACCACATTGAGGCAGCCTTTAGCTGGTGACTTTTTTATACAACAGTCCTTATTATATTTTTTACTCCCTTCTGGACATTTATTCTTTCAATATTTTTCTTTCCCATCGCACATATTGTTCTCTCTTTAGCCTCAACTGGCTTTTTGGACTAACTTGACCTCTTTCACATGCACATGCAAGTCCATGTCCTTGTATATACCTGGTCACTTTTTTTTTTTTTTTTTTTTTTTTTTAATGAAAGTGCTGCTAAGAGATTGGCCTCTCTTTTTTAGCCTGTGATTTACATTTTTTTTTTTTTTTTTTTTTTTTTTTTTTTTACTTCCTGGTAATAGTTAACATATATTTTGACAGCCATTCCTATAAACTGGGATGTATTCATGCCTGCAAAACCCTGTAGCATTTGCAGCTTTTGCTGGATGTCACCCTTGGCCTGTCTTATAAATGCTGTGTTTACCATGTGCTAATTTTCAGTAGCCTCAGTGTCAAATGGGGTTTAAAACCAGATTGTTTTACAAAGCTGTTTAAATAAAACTGGCTTGGTTTTTTATCTTTCTGAAGCATTTTGAATTTTTTTATATTAATTTCTTTTTTTTCCACAAGCTTTTGTCTCTGGCAAATGTGCCTCCCAGTACCTCTGCAGGCACTGATGCTGGCTTGCGTTATCTGGGTCTTAGTTGAGGCCTGCTTCTGGAAACTGATCCTGAGTATATGCCTGAGCATTTTCTGTGTTTGCTCATGCATTGGCTTCTAGCCAATGAAGGGCTGCCTGAGTTATCCCCTGGCATTCCTTTGTATTAAACAACATTAAGAGAAGTTGCCTGCAATTTAGCCAGGTTGGATTGTGTGATAGAAAGATGGACTGCAATAGGTTTATGAGAGCTTTGGGCTTTTCCCTGTAGGAGGGAGTGTGATGGTTTAAATTTAGTAGATTGGTGGTTGAAAAGGGCTGAGAGAGGAAGGCTTCTTGCCCCCCACAACCTGGATGTGGCGCTGGTCATTATAGTAGATGAGTCCTCATATTTCCCTGAGAGGCAGTTGCATAGCTTGAGGATGACCAGATTTGAGACAGCCTGGTTGACTATTGTGACTTCCTTCCCTGGCCTCTCAAGTCTCCGATTCTTCTCTCTGTGGTGAAACTTGGGGAATGCTGGCAATGGAACCAGGCTCCTGGGGGACTGTTGGCTTCAGCAAAGGGAGGTAGGCTGTGATATATGCAGGAGAAATTTATTTTCCTCTTCTGGCTTTTGTAAAACTGGTTTTTCTTGCTGTCCTGAGGACTTTTCCTTTAACTGAGTGTTTGCTGATGAAGCTGCTTTTATTTCACTTTTGGTTCAGCTAGCGCTATAAGTGTTTATCAGTAGGCAGCTAAACAGGGCTCGGTACATGCTGTTCCTGTTTGTATTATATGTAATTATGAGTAAATATAAGAAAATTGGCCTGGGTGCCCTGGCTGTCCTTGGACCCCTGTCATTACCTCAAACTCATTTCCAGTTGTTTCTCTGGGTAGTCTTTTTGGGTCATCTATTTAACGCCAAAAGAGGGCTATTTTAGGTTACAGAAAGTTTTTCACTTTTGGGGGGTTAGCTTAATTTTATAGTTCCCCGTAAAACCTTTCTCATTTTTTTTTTTTAGCATATATTTGAATGGTATATGTTTTGATGACTCTCTTCCCATTTTCTCCCAGTTATGATGCAGTACACTCGTGCTCACTTTTTACTTTTGTTTTGCACCAGCTAGACCTAGTCCTATTATGGGGGTTTTTAGATATCACTTAGATTTGGAGAGTTTCTTAAGCCCACCACAAGTGCTGTAGTTGTGAGGTAGCTTCCGTTAGCCATATGCGGATCACAACTAGTCTTAGTCAGCCACACATTTGGCTTGGAGTACAGTCTTCACTAAGAGACTTGTGGTTCCTCACTTCGTGGCTGATGAGCCTAGTTAGGCCTCTCCATTCACACACTTCCCCACACCATCCTGCTACCAGTTCCCATGTTCCCAGTTGGGGTGGTGAGCCACTTTCCCTACGTCCAGTTTCCTTCTGAGCTGACTTAGCAGGCTACTCTCACATGCTCTGTTGGTTGGGTTGTAAGTTTCTTCTGAATTAGTGAGACACTCTCGTTGTCTGCAGCCCTTCTTGGTCGGATTACCAGTTATGCCCTAGGAGGTGATTAGGCTCCTTTTCTGTCCTTATGGGACAGGTCATCCCTTGGGTCCCAATACCTTACTGTGGTTTCTGAAGTGAGCTGTTCCTGCAATCATCCTGTAGCCCATTAGATACCATTGCATTGCTGGGTAGGGGCACTGGGTCACAAATGGGCTGATCTCCCAACCAGGCTGAATTTCTCCCGATGGTGCTGCTGGGTCTCAGGACTCCTGAGACCCAGGGCTTAAGCTCCTAGAGGCAAAGGAGACAGTAAACCTGTCATCTCCTCTCCTAGCTGGCTGGTCAATAATGTTGCAAGAAGCAGAGGACCAAAGAGACCTATATGGGGAAAAAGGAAGATTTAATTAGGTGCCCTGGCTCAGTGGACTGATATCCCAAAAGGCTGATCATTGAACAAAGACTGAGTGGGGTATTTATAAGCAAAATTACAAAAGCAGAAGTAAAGAAGCCACTTAAACAATGATAGGTTACATAATTTATAGCATAAGATTTGACTTACCGTAACTTGTAGCCTTGCATAGCTTGTGGCCTTGCAGCTGTTAAAAAACTAACAAAAAAACAAAAAACAAAAAAAGGAAAAACAAAAAAGAGTAACTTTTAATTGTACTAAATACAAGCATTCGGAAACATAGTCAAAATTAATGGTCCAGAGAAGGAGAGAGAGCATTGGTATCCATTTTTCTTTTCAACTTTGCTCTGGAGTTGGCTGTTTGCAACCCATTCCTTTGGCCTTCTCTTTTGAAACAGTGTTATCTTATAACTCTTTTGAAACAGTGTTGTCTTATAACCTTCCTTGGAATCAGCTGGCTAAGCAGAAGACATTTTTTTTTTCCTTTTCTATTTAACCCTCGTCTTGCCACACTGGCACTTTTGGAAGAGAAACATATTCAACATGCAGACACTGAAGCTCCAGCCTGCAAGTATACAGTCAGTTCTCTGTGCTGTAGGGCTCAGGTATGGTTAGAAGTCTTCTCATGACTCAAATCACAGCCTGGGTAACCCACTGGTCTAGTTCCTAAAAACATTCACTTCTATTGTTTCAATAATCATGCTCCAGATCCCACTGCCACGTTTGAATTTATTGCAATGATATGGAAGTGAGAACCTTACCCAGCCCAGGCACTGTGGCTCATACCTGTAATCTCAGCATTTTAGGAGGCAGAGGTGGGCAGATTAACTGAGGTCAGGAGTTTGAGACAAGCCTGGACAACACAGTGAAGCCCCATTTCAACTAAATATACCAAAATTCACTGAGTGTGGTGGCCCACACCAGTAATCCAGACTACTTGGGAGGCTGAGGCAGGGGAAACACTTGAACTTGAGAGGCAGAGGTTTCAGGGAGTGAAGGTCATTCCACTGCATTCCAGCCTGGGTGACAGAGTGAGACTCTGCCCTCACTCACCAAAAAACAAAAACAAAAAACTTATCTGCTTATATTTCAATGCCAAAATATTTTTAAATGACTGTTTCTTGATGTGTATAATTGTTCCAACTTCCAACTGGAGAAATAACCTCCATTTGTTTACTTTCACAGATTGTGTACATTTGTGTTTGATCTTAATGAGCTGAGTCTATTCACAGAACTATGAAGATGCTTATTAAT
Source organism: Homo sapiens (assembly GCF_000001405.40). Classification (NCBI taxonomy): domain Eukaryota; kingdom Metazoa; phylum Chordata; class Mammalia; order Primates; family Hominidae; genus Homo; species Homo sapiens. The sequence goes on from NC_000024.10 coordinate 18,598,959, forward strand.
ACCGTATTGTATGTTCTATATGTCCAGTTTAGCAAATATGCCTTACCCACTTATTTGCTAAAAAAATCCTTTTTTTCTCCTCATAATTTAGATGATTCTCAAAGATGACACATCATTTTGCAATCTGATTCTAACTTCTATACTGCCAAATGGTCTGCAAAATTAATCTAAAAAAAAAAAAAAACGAACAAAATAAGTGAAGGCTGACAGAGTAAGTAACGTGATTCAGCTGAAGCTAGTCAATCAGGCAGTTGTGCTTACCACAACTTCTGGTCTGTAGGGATGGAGAGGTTGTGCCTTGATTCAGTGAGTGATTGCTGGGGCATTCTGTCAGAACAAGGCCTGGGGGAAGCACCATGTGATCTGCCCAGGCCTAAGGTTCAGAAGGAACCAAGGCAAGAATATTACCAATTGCATGAAGATACCAGCAGGTTTCTAAAGAGCTCTATTAGTTTGAAAATAAATTGTTATCCTTGCAGATAGCAAATAACGATGCATAAGATCCACAAAACTAATGATTCAAGCACCTAAGTTAATTGCAGTGGCAATAATAAAATGCGTGAAAGCAACAGGTAGCAAAGGAAAGGCAATTATTACTATTGAAACACCTCTGTGTGTTAAGAAAACACTGTATGTAGCCAGTCTATCCCGCTGACCCTCACAGCAACAATGTATCATGGGTAGGGGGAGGGGAGGGTAGCTATTCGTCTCCAGAGCAGCACACAAGGCTTTGTCCAGGTGGCTAAACTTCCAGATACATTTCTCTTTTAAGGTTTCTTTTTGCTTTTGGAAACGGTGTGGATTAGCGTTGTCTGGAGGAAGTGTGCCTGTGTAGCCTGGAGGCTGCACTACCTGTGAGTGCTTCCAAGGTGCCATTCCTTTATTCGTTAAGTGTTTGCACTTGAGGTTGCTCAGAGACAACTCTGTCCTCTGCAAATATATGTCTTTCTGGAGAACTGGAAGTAATGTTTTTGAAAGCTTTCAGCAAGTGCAGAGATGGTGAGCTCTTTGCTGGTAGTGGGCTTTTGGCAGTCATGTTAATGACTCTCTGATGGCAACTTCTGAAAGGCTCTTCCAAGTGTCTGGCCTCTTGCTTAAGCTCTTTGACTCTTGCTTAAGCTCTTTGACCCTTGCTTAGTATTAACTACAAACTCAAGGTCAGAACTGGAAGGACTACCTTCTACACCTCCATTTGGATAATTTGGGATCCTTGATGTAACCATACCTGCTAGAACTCTTTTCTGTCTAAAAGAATTGTTCAAGAAAGCCTGATGTATAACATCATTGCAGGGTACCATATTGCCACTTATTAATCCACTGACAGAATGATTGTTCAGAGACTGTTTTGGATTGGAGTATACTTTATTCTCTACGTCTGCAGAGTACAAAAAGGTAATTTCAGATGTCAGTGGACAAGGAAGAAAAGAAAATTCATATACTTGAGAATATCATTTTTTTTTTTTTTTTGAAAAATTGAAGAGAGCAATAATAAGGACAAACTTGCACATTAAACAGTTTCTGAAGCCATGGTAGTAACAACGACTAACACTTATTGAGGGCTTATTGTACCAACTACAGCTTCATATGTCTTTTGTAACCTGGTATAATTTCAGAATCCATTATGAACAATTGGCACATCACAAAAGCTCTGAAAACCAAAAATGTATTCATAACTCATGTGGTGGCAAAGCGTAGCCAGACTTGAACTCATTTGGTTGAAAAGTTTGACCTGGCCGGGCGTGATGGCTCATGCCTGTAATCCCAGCACTTTGGGAGGCCAAGGTGGATGGATCGCAAGGTCAGGAGGTCGAGACCATCCTGGCAAACACAGTGAAACCCTGTCTTCTACTAAAAATACAAAACATTAACCAGGCATGGTGGCAGGCACTTGTGGTCCCAGCTTCTTGGGAGGCTGAGGCAGGAGAATGGCATGAACCCAGGAGGCAGAGCTTTCAGTGAGCCAAGATAGCACCGTTGCACTCCAGCCTGGGTGAAAGAATGAGACTCCATCTCAAAAATCAAAAAAATAAAACAAAATGAAAAGTTTGACCTGAACTGATGTGAACCCATTTAGTATCCTTATTTATCCCAGCATGAATATTCATACAGTTGACTGGAAAATAATTAATGCATTTCACTACAGCAGGCGCTTCAGAACTTGCATGCTGTGGATTTCCTATGCTATGAAATCCACAGCATATGGAATGAGTTTCAGGCAAGGAGGTAAGAATCTGCCTCCACAACAACACTGTGTTCAGGGAACTCTCACAGCTCCCATTTCATAGATGGGATCTAAAGTTTACTGAGGCTGAGTTACACATTTAGCAGGTCCAATAGCTACTGGACTTCCCTAAGGCAAAGCCAGTACATGCATCTCACTCTCCTGCAATGCCTTCCTACGATGCTATTAGAAAGAAGCCTGCCCTCAGCAGTGCACATGCATGCAAACGTTGTATTCTCATTCAACTGCTTTTAACATGAGACTGTGGTTTCAGCTGTGAGAAGTTTCACAGACAGAACTGACAAAAAAATGAAGTACAGAAATGAGTAGAAATGAGTAAAGAGTTAAGAATCAGTCAAGCTCTTGCAGAAGAGAGCAAGGGACTTATGAGGAAAGATTGCAAATAGGAACAAGGAAGGCTCAGAATAAGTGTGAGAATACAGTTGAACTGGTAACACATACACACTTTCTTTGAGCTTGAAAGCAACTGAAGAAGAAAGCATCTAAGCTTCAACATCCTTCTTATGAAGTAGGAAGTGGCAGAGATGTATCCCCAGTGAAGACACAATAATAAAATCATAGCAAATCACCATTTATTGAGTATTTTCTTATGTCCCAGACACTGCATTGAAACCCACCTCATGTCATCATTTTCATTATGGCTCAATAGGCATAAATTTCCCCTTGCAAATGAGGAAACAGAGGCCCAAGGAAGTTAAGTTAACATGTCCAAGATCAAACAACTAACTTCAAAACTGGGGTCCAAAAGAAGAACAGTTCTCTGATTCTGAGGGCAACGTTCTCTTTGCTAAATAACCCTTCTCCTCCTATGAGTGCACATCTGTCTATGAAGGAATCTGTAAAACTACTGAACTGGTGTTAACATTGGGGTAACAAACAGAAAACAAAATTCTAAGATAAACTTGGAGACTTCTATATCACCACCACAGCTTTCCCATTAGGGACATGACGTTCTCCTGAGCCATGAGGCACCTATGAAACAAGTCACTTTTGTTGATGGTCCAGATGGTATTACCAAACTGGATAGGGAGTTTTACTTCTAAGATGACACATATTTCTGTGGCTTTTCCTCTAACAAAATAATTACTTAATGTTCAATAAATTGGGATCATTACATTTTCACAAGCATCAGAAGCTTTACAGAAAGAAAACATATTCATGGGTTTAAAATGTCTCTAACCCGTCTGAGTTTGCTTCAGTTGCAATTTTAAATCAGCCACATGAATAGTTAACTTTGTCATGGAAGCTTCGTAATCTAGTATCTGGGCCTTCAGCCAGGCAGAATGCACAATATGACAAGATTCAGAGTAGGAAAATAAATTATTTTAAAACAAATCACAGCTTGCTTCAAAAGGAAAAGTTTTCTCATCCTTTTGTAATCTTTATTTGGGAAGATTTATGCCAGTAAACAACAGGGTCCCTATTTTTAAAATGACAAACAGAACACAAATGAGGCGTGTTTCACAGGTTTCATCATCATTTTCGGTCATATCAAAAAATTCTAGAGCATGTGGACAGAAGACACAGTGAATGTTTGAAATCCTCAGGGTGAGAATCAAGGGAAAACAGTGGATACAATCAGGCACTCTGAAAATTTTACGTTTAGGTGTGTTTGCTTTCTTCTCCATGTTATTACTATTATGAATATAAGATCATATTATCACTAGAGAATTTTCTGAGATGACAAACAGTACCTTTGTTATATTTGGGGGAGTAATGTTTGATGTAAAAATAAATCTGATTTGCACAGGTGTGACTTGGGCCAAGTTTACATATTGATGAAGTGTACTGGTATCATAGTGGGACCGGCAAGGAGCAATACTCACTGCATGTTGCAGTTGTATTGCAGAGCTGGCCTGTGGTTCTTGAACTCCTCATGCTCAGCTATGATAGCATTTTCTGCTTTCTGCAGTTCTTTCTGAAATACCACAATTTCATGAGCCAGCTGATCTAGACCTAAGAAGTTCAAAAGAAATCCTAGTCATTATCTACCTTAAGTTTTCTTATTTCATTTAACAAAAACATTTAAAGGGGTTTTACATTGTTGTTTCTTTTCTTTGTACTCATGCAATAAATATAATATTAATTCTATTTAATGAGCTCAGCGTAATCCTGACACCCACATTTCAGAACAAAAGAATTTGGTGCATTTTAATGTAAACGTGATTACTCTTGGAGTCCTACTCCATGTAAAAGACCCTTTTCAAATCCTCAAATTAACCTAAAAGGTTGTTTCTCTCCTCTACCATGCACAGAAGGAGCTCTCTATCTGATCTCCCTGTTGATGACATCCCCAAGATTCAACATAATCTGTGCATCTGTCAGCAGCAGTTGGGATCCAGGCAGAAAGCAGATGGTTCCCACAGTCAAAGTCATCTAAGGATGCTTTAATAAAGGGTGACTTTTGCAGCATGCCCACAAATGATGGCAAAGCTCACTGAGATAGTAACAGGGCCACTGTATTAGCACTCCTTGTGCCTGGAGAATCAGAGGAGGGTGCAATTCTCAGCGCTGGAGGGAGAGAGGTGGTGCAGAACACTGGGAAGAGGTCATCACAGGCACCATGACCTCGCTTGGCTGTGAGGTACAATGGCCAGTCTTCGGCCAGTGTATGTGGAGTCTGTAGTCCTCACCGGCCAAACCCAATCAGCAAGCAGAGGGCAAGGGATACCTTGAAACCACCTACAGGCATGTTTGCAGAGTTTAATCCAAGGATCATAAATCCTTCAAATTTAACTTTCCCCTTACAAGTACAAAGCATAGTTTTATAATACTGCCTGAATATAAATTACTAAAACATGGAAATCAGGAAGAAAGATATATGGTTTAGGACATGCAAGTTTTCATTTCTACTCTCTTTTAAGTAGTGAATAATTACTCATCCTTTTAGCCTTTTCATTCAGCATAAGGTTTTGTTTTGTTATTGGCAAGACTGGGTTTTGACACACTCTAACTCAACCTGGAATTTAAAAAGGAATATTTACAATTGAATAATGACTTTACAGTGCTGCAAAATGAAAATCTGGTATGCTCCTTTAGGCATAGCGTCAAAATTTAATTAAGGTCACTAAAGAGATGTCTGAATGTCTGCAATAACTACGCTAACAAAAATTATCTTCTGCCCCAGAGTTGACACAGAGGAAACTTATAGAACATATCCCATGAATCAAGTCCTTCTAAGATTATCACCCCATTTTTCAGAGTCAACCAAGAAACCAGCAACAATCACACATTATAGCAATATATATTTTTTGAATATGAAAAGGTAAGGTAAAAATGGCCAGGCATGGTGGTCAACACCTGTAATCCAAGTGATTTCAGAGTCTGAGGTGGGAGAATTGGCTGAGCTCAGCAGTTTGAGATGAGCCTGGGCAACATGGCAAAGCCCCATCTCTACTGAAAAGATAGCCATGCCTGGTGGCTCGTGCCTGTAAATCCTGCACTTTGAGAGGCTGAGGCATGCAAATCACTTGAGGTCAGAAATTCGAGGGCATCTTGGACAACAACATGGTGAAATTCCATCTCTACTAAAAATACAAAAATTACCTGGGCATGGCCTCAGGCACCTGTGATCTCAGCTACTTGAGAGGCTGAATCAGGAGAATCACTTGAAACCAAAAGGCAGAGTTTGCAGTGAGCTGAGACCATGCCATTACACTCCAGCCTAGGTGACACAATGAAACTTCATCTCCAGGCAGGGTTGGGGGGAGTACAAAAATTACCTGGCGTCGTGACACACGACTGTAATCCAAGCTACTTGGGAGAATGAGACACAAGAATCGCTTGAAGCCAGGATGTGGAGGTTTCAGTGAGCTGAGATCATGCCAGTACACTCTAGCCTGGGTGACAGAATAACACTACCTTGTAAGAGAGAAAATAAAATAAAATCTGAACATGTGAAGTGCCTCCATTTTCTTAATATACTATAGCTCATATTTGAGTATGAAAGTCTACAAAGTTCTCACATATGTCAAAGTTGCAAAAATAAATTTTATATACAAAATATTTTGTAAGTACCTGATGTTCTAACTTCCAACAGCAAGCACACGATGAAGACAAAAGTAAAGAAGCAATGGCATGTGAAAAATGCCCCGTATTTTGTTTTAATCTGTAAGACAAAAATGTAATGACAGAATTTTTTCCTGTTGCTGATGGAAAGAGTGAACAGGCTGCGTGTAGAAAATAATAGTGTTGACCACCTGCTATGACCTAGGCATGTCAATTAGCTCACTACATTTCCTCAACAGCCCTAAAATTTGGAAAACTTCCTAGAGTTTACAGCTCAAGAATCTGAGTCACAGAATCTGCCCAAAAGCACACAAGCAACTAGACACACAAATAGGTTTGAAGCAGGACTTCAGGACCCAAGGCACTATCTGCATTTTTCTGTGTGACATTGATTGAAAATAAATATTACTTAATTTACTCCAGCCATCATCCTCTTAGCCATACAAATAGAAATCCAAGCGTCTCTAGCAGATGACCTAGGATAAATTATTTATCACTAAAATTTCATATATTGGTTAAATCTGTTTCAAAAAACAATAATTATTTCTTCCTTTCACCTTCAATTAGTCGATTAGTACTAATGATATAGTCATCCTTTAGCTCAAGTTGTCACCTGAGAATCCGAATGAGTTTCTCAGTTATCATTCTAGAAAGCCCACTATCAATGCAGGAGCTTATGCGTGGCACAGGTATATCTGAGAGCACTTAACCTGACACTGTGTAAACTTCAAAGTCCCTCATTACTAAAGCCATAGATAAAATGTCCACTAAAACCCCACCTCAATCCTATAAGACTCAAACACACAAAATAAAGGGTCGTGTTGTCACAAGGTTACTGAAGTAATCACTTTTCAGTTGGTCTCATCTGACACAAAAAGCAAAGAAAATTAAATTTACACGGCATACAATAGACTCAATTGTAAATGATAATTAGACAAACACTTCCAGTCCTCCTGTAATATCTGCACACCCTCAACCAATGTATGAATTTTTGTGCCAAGGGACTAAGAACAGTCCTGAGAGGCAAGTGTCAACAGCATCAAATCTGAATTAGCAACACCCAAAGACACACTTTTGCAGTTTCACTTCTCTTTCCCAGCTGTTACAATCTGCCCTTTTGGTTCCAAAAGGAAAAAGAAACATTCTTATGGGGATCAGCCTCCAAACTCTAACACTTGCCAAAATCATATGCAGATTCCTAAAGCCAGACAGACACCACACAGCCCGTGGAAGCTGTCACAATGCTACCAAATAGTTGACTAGCTCCATAACTACATAAAATTAACGCACATACTTTGGTTTATTTATTTCTAAATATGTGGTAACTACAGCAACTTCCACGTTATTTGTTCTAGCAGAGGAATTGACATAGAAGATGTGGGTAAAACGCCTCATTTAAAAATCGATTTTAAAAGCTGCTATATTTTTTAAAAATAGAATTTGTTTAAATAACAACCTCAAGAAACTTTTGCACCTACTATGTAATAAAATATCAATGTCAAATCATGAGGAAGGCAATAAAAACAGGCCAAATAAATGCCCCCAAAACCTTTGTTGCATCATTTCCTCGTGGCACATTTACAACAAATATTAACTGGGCACATTTTATGTGCCAGATCCTTTTCCACCCACTGAAACGTTACCACATGGGCACAATGTCTTACCCCTGTGATATTATCCACTGATACACAAAACTTAGTGCACAGAAAAGCCAAAGAATCTGTAACTGCTGTTATTCTCCTTTCCCTTTATCACATTTGCCTCACATAGTTAATTTTAGCCCTTTTATTTTCATTCCTGCTTTGCAGAATTGTGAAGGAATTAAAGGCACATGTTCACTGAAAAATACTGTGACCATTGATATAATTTCTATATTGTTAGATATCCATCTTTGTGGCAGTATGAGTGGAGTAGACAAAAAAAAAAGTCACTAAAAGTGATTATAAACCCAGTTTTACAGCTTATCGAGTAGGCAAGCTGAGCAAGTAACAAGGTACCCTGAAAATTATAGTAAATCACAGACCTCAATAAATGTTAGAGAAGCCATGAGTAAGAAAAGCAGAGGATTTGCTTCTTTGCACCTTATCTTTTAAAAGGTACCTTATCTCAAACACAGGTAATTATTGGGTATTGATGAAAATAAAATATGTATTTTTTTCAAACACTAAAGTTTGCATAGAATGTGATTCATAGACTACTTCCTCAGTTTTTGTTATGTTTACACTAACTTATTTTAAACATATTTCTTCTTCAAAACAGTCAAACATGTACTTCAGCAGTTTGGTCATAGGTCTCCTCAAGACTCCTTATATTCGCTCCTGCCTTCTAAGTGCCTCAGTCATGGTGTTATGTTTTTCTTCCTGGGGCTTCTGGGTTCTGAATATAGGAAAGGTATAAAAACTAAATAAGCTACAATAGCTGAGATAACAAATTTAGAAAAAAAATCCAGTGTTTTTGATTCAACAGACTAAAACTGCTACATGACTATTCCTGCTGGGAAGCAGAAGAAAGAGCTAGAAGTCCTCAGTGTATGAACTAATCTACTTACAGTGTATTGAAACTAGCAGAGCCACAGAGCTGTGGTATCTGACGGAGGGGAGTGTGATCTTCTCTAGTGGGAAGTGATTTCCTATAGAAGACAATTAAAACTTAAAACAATAGTTGTAGGTGAGTGATGGCCAAAGTCAATTGTGGGATGAAAGAATAATCCTATTAGTTACAAAGGGACAAAAGTGGATTCACCTGCTTGATTTCTTATAATGTTCTTTCTAACTGTGGGCTTTAATTAATTATCGCATAGATATTTCAGTGAGAATATTTACTTTTGTCATTTAATAATCTATCAGAGGTAGCCAAGTGTGGTGGCCAGCACCTAAAATCCCAGCTTTTCAGAAGGCTGAGGCAGGAGGGTCACTTGAGCCCAAGAATTTGAGACTAACCTGGACAACATAGCAAAGCCCTGTCTCTTAAAATCAAACAAACAAACAACAAAAACCTAGAAAACAAAAACTGTTGATTAAACGTGGGAAAAGTACCCAAAGAGAGGGCAAAAGATAGATGAATCAATATGGGCTTCCAAATACTTAAGAGTAGAACGGTCTTTATAGCGAGACATGAGATTAACCATAGCACCAATTCCCAAGCCAGGGAGGTGGGTTCACAGTGGTTGAGATGCAGCCATTCTGAGAAGTCCTACAAAACACTGACTGGTCTAAGGAAAGTTAAAGGCTCTAGGTATTAGCTCCCTCTGCTGGTAATCTGGAAAGCTGTGGAAAGGTAAAAACGACATTTATTTTGTATATATCCTGAGAGAGAGAAAACAGGAGTGGAGAAAATTGAGGTAGGGAAGTGATAAACTCTCTCTGCCAAAATGTTGTTCCTTATTTTTCTCTCTCTCTCTCTCGATTAGTTTACCTTTTCATTATTGCCAAAAGGAGACTAAGGCAGGCAGAGGTTGTCATCCAACAAATCAAATCTATAGAAGTGCAAAAACAACATTAAAGAAGATGGAGGCATATTCTTTAATGAAGTAAGATTCCTGGAGTATCTATGGGTGCCAATTAAGAAAACATTCCCAGTGGAAAATAAGGCTTATTGCACAAACTATAGACAGATGCGCTTGCTGTCAATCCCAGGTAAGATCTGAAGAATGAAATATTTGTCAGCACTTAGAACAAGTGAATAACACAAGAGAAACAGGTTCACCCAGTGCAGGTAAAGTCAGACTACCATACTTTCTCTGTTGAGCACAGAGCTGGTAAAAGCTGCAGGTGTAGAAATGTGGAACTCAGTTGCTCTACATAAACACATAAAACTATCAGACCTGAAGGACTGAAGTTAACAGCAAAATGTATGATCTGTTCAAGTATTAATAGCCTCTCCAAATATTCTGTCTGGTCTTACTGTAAGCTTGTGATAGAATCTCATTCTCTTTTTCATTTTAATGTTTAATATTTCAAAAGCAAAAGCCTAGTGTTTGTTCTTCTTAATTTCTACTTTCTAATTCTAGGTGCTATGACCTTTATAAACAAGAACTCTACTTGGCAATAAACACTAGAATATTTTGACATATAGAGTAATTTTTGTACTCTCATAATTCTGAATTTGAAAATTAAACATGCATACTTAAAATTCAAAAGCTTCAACCCTCTGCTTCATCACTGCTTCTCTTCCTCTTAGTAAATCCATGGCTTTTACTTAAATTTGCCTGTGGCCATAAATTCTCTTTATTTCAATCTACATAGAAAATCATTAACTTTTAGCAAGAAAACTGATGAAAGCCAAATGGGTGTAAACAAATATACTGTTTCATAAATTCCACAAAGCAACAATTTCAATTTCAAGAGAATCCAACTTGGCTGGTTACTGTGGCTCACAACTGTAATCTTAGCACTTTGCGAGGCCAATGCAGTCAGATCACCTGAGGTCAGGAGTTCAAGGTCAGCCTGGCTAACACTGTAAAACCACATCGGTAACAAAATGCAAAAATTGGCCTGGCATCATGAAGGGCACCTGTACTTTCTGCTACTCAGGAGGCTGAGACAGGAGAATCACCTGAACCTGGGAGGCAAAGGTTCTGGTGCTCTGATGATTACCACTGCAGTCCAGCCTCGGTAACAGAAAAAAAAAAAAAAAAAAAAAAAAATCCAACCTCAGAGTTTGAATCTTTTCAATCTGTTGGAAAGCAAAGTTTCAAAATTTAGTCAACTAGATGTTCTAGCTGCATATAAATTGACTCTCCTACTTTCTGTTAAACTGTACTTTCATATGTTCTTAACATCCCTTATGTAATATATGCTACTTAATGCTTTAACAATTCTCAGGCCTTTATAAAAAAAAAAATTGACAGTACCCTGTCCTGCGGCCTAGCCTTTAGTGCATCTGTGTGGTCTTGACTCACTGCAACCACTGCCTCCTGGGCTCAAGGTACCCTCCTATCTCAGCCTCCCAAGTAGCTGGGACTACAAGCACACACCAAGAAGTCCAGCTAATTTTTTTGCAGAGATGGGATTTTGTCATGCTGCCCAGATGGCTCTGAAACTCTGGATTCAAATGATATGCCCACCTTGGCCTGTCAAGTGCTGGGACTACAGGCATAAGCCACCATACCTCGCCCCATTAACTAAAACTTTCTAAGTTATTCAGGAAGAACCATTGAACAAAATGTGCAATCAGCAATAAAGCTCAAAGAGAATATAATTGCATAGTTTTTAGTGGCGGTGCTGTCTGAATGTTTCAGTTCATGGGACATTCTGACTCAGAGTTAGCAAGCTTATGTGAAGTCCTAAATGAATGCACTATCTTTCCATTTATGTTTTCACAGACCAAGAGTTTACTAACTACCTAACACATATCAAGCAGCATACAGGAAGATGGATATACAAATGTAGCCAGATACAGTCCCCATCTCTAAAGACCTCACAATTTAGTCAGGGAGAAACAATCACAATAAGACATGATTATTTCATAAGTGAGGTAAATAAACACTGCACGCAGGAATGAAATCCAAAAGATTCGCTCAGTGGGAGTCAGGGAAGGTATCAACGAAGTGACTGTCCAGCTGTGTCTTGAAAGACAGTATGCTTTCATCAATAAGAGAAAAGGATCGACATTCCAGGTGAGGAAATACAGCCATGGTGGTTTGTATGAGGATGACAATCTTCCTCAAAGCCTTCAGATACTCACAGTTAAATAAACAGGAATCTAGTCAGTCACCTATCTTGCAGATGAATTTATTAGTCTAAACACAATCCAAACATCTCAAAAAACTGTGCTTCCAAAACTCATTTTTATAGCTGGAGCAAGCCCAATTCCCAGGAATGTTATACAGATTTGTAGAGGGTGCGCCCTTGCATTAAATGACTAGGTCTCATTGAGAAGCCCCAAGCAAGACTTGATGCTAGGGTAAAGCCTTGCTACTTTTGACATCTGGGAGAAGCAGTTCACGATGTAGGCCAAAAATACTGCTGTAAATCCAGTGTGGTCTAAGACATACCCTCAGAAACAGAATATGCTTTCTTAAGAAAAAAAAGATTCACTCCCACTTGCCAACATAGAATCCCTGCCACTGCTCATCCTCACCTTCTCTTGTCCGTTTACTCCCGGGATGACCAGATCAAAAGGCCACATGGATGACAATTGCAGCCCTGATGACTCCTTTACCCCAGAGACCTTGAACTCTCCTCATTTCCATGGCTCCATCCAATGGCAGCACAGTGCATTTTGTTTCCAGTTTCCACCTGAAACCTAGTCCTGCAATTCTCTACTCTTGGACAATTGTTATAATTCCACCTGCCAGTCTCTTTGGATCTAGTTCTTGATCCCTGAGACAGCTACTTAACCCTCACTTTCTCCATGGTGTAGCAGTTACTTGCCCTCTCCTCTGCTTCCCTTCACCATGCAAGATAAGCCCAGAATCTGCAGTTAAATAGGCTGCCATTCTCACATCAAGTAAGTTAGGCTCTGCAAAGCTCCAGTCCTTCAACATCTCCATCTTTCCAGCCTCACTGAAAAGTGCAGAAGAGACAGATGCTTACAATTTCTCCCCAGACCTGCCAAAAAATAAAAATAAAAAATAAACTCACCTACAAGCACATGGTTTGGTCTCATTTAATTTCAGGCTCCCTCAACTACAGCTGGGCCCTCAATACAAGTGATCAGTCCTCTCTGTTTTAAAGAGCTGTTCTTCTGTTACTCCCATGAGCTACTCTGTACCTCTAAGCTGCTCCTAAAACCCATGATCTAATGCTCTAATCTGCCTGAGAAGATGGGAGCTTATTTAGGGTGTGTTTCTCTTAATCCCAACTTGACTGTTCACCTCTGACACTCTTCCTTTTCCACTTGTCCCAGAGGAAGCAAATCTGTGTACATATTTCAAGGGCCACCCTTCTTTTTCTTTGCACTCTTTACCACAATTCCTATTGCTTTTCTGGGACCTTGTTAGCTCAATTGTATCATCTCATTCCTGGATCTTGAACCAACCTACTAATAGCTGCAGGAAATAGTTACACAGTAAAATATTTGTAAATACCACCTCTTGGTGTTTTGAATTCTCTCAAGGATACTCTTTTCCCAAAAAATGATGGCTTCAGCCGCTGATTGACAAGCCTTCTCAAAATATTTCCTGAACACAGCTACATTCTTTCCATACTTTCTTTTTGCTCTATTTTAATTTTTGCTATCTCAGCAGCTTAACAAAAGTTTACCTGCAAATTGATCACAAAAATTTAAAAATTTTAACTATTACACTCCAATAAGTGTAACAAATACTCTCTTCACATCCAGGCTCAACATTAATGCTCTGTCCAAGTACATTACATTTACTTCATCTTTAGTTTTATCTCACTCACTGTATTTGTAGGACTCACTCAAAAGTCATAAACAAATGTCAACATAAATAAAAATAATGTGCAGAATGGTAGAGTATCCCATTATTAAAATTTCTAGGTTGTTTTTGATATACCAAAGATTAAGACTTTAGAAGACTGTTGGGGAAACCACCCCCACACCACCCAGCAGGTACCCTGAGTCTAGCGGCGACAAAGCTGATAGAAAGAGAGAGACCGAATAAGTGTTGAAAAGGCAGGTCCGGGGGACTGGAGTATTGGAGGCTTCCTCATGGCCCAGAAGTAGACGATAACATTGATAGTGTTTCTCCCTGGTAGGTATGACTTTAGACATATTTTTCCATCTACTTTTCTGTATTTTTCAAATGCTTTCCAATAAAGGACTCTCCAGCCACATGCAGCCATTGACACTGGAAAGGTGGTCAGTCTGAACTGAGATATGCCTTAAATGAAAAAAAACAAAGAGATTTCAAAACTAACTGAAAAAAAAAAAAAAAAAAAAAAGAAAGTGAATTATCTCATTCGTACTTTTTTTTATTAAACACATGTCGAAATCATATTTTAGATGTATGGGATTAAATATCTTAAAGCTAATTTTACCTACTTCTTTAAGTAAAGAAGGACTCTCCAGCCACATGCATCCATTGACAGTGGAAAGGTGACCAGTCTGAACTGAGATGTGCCTTAAATGAAAAAAAAAAAAAAAAAAAAACAAAGAGATTTCAAAACTAAGTGAAAAAAAAAAGGAAAGTGAATTATCTCATTCGTATTTTTTTTTTTTATTAAACACATGTTGAAATCATATTTTAGATGTATGGGATTAAATATCTTACAGCTAATTTTACCTAATTCTTTTTACTGTTTTCAGTGTGACTACTAGAAAACTGAACATTATATATATGGTTCAACTGTTGGACCGCACTGCTTCATAATTATCAGTAATATGTTTCTAATGGAATTAAACCCACACTTAATTTAAGGCCTAGTCATGTAATACAAATTTCAATTTATCTTCTAACATGTTACCATTACTATTTTAGAATAAGGAAGGTCAAACATTAATTAAGCACATCAGTTTAAACAACTTTCTCCCGTCTCTATTGAGCATGAAACCAAAAGGCAGGATGGTATTTTCGACCGGCCTTCTAGTACAAAAAGCTCTAGAGAATGGATGGTAGAAATTGGACTTCACTGGCTACTCTGAGGCAGACTGAATGTTTTCAATTTGCTCTCCCTCTGAGGACCTTGATTTCCTCAAGTAGAATATGAAGCAATGAGTCAATGACTTCTCTACTGCTCTGAAAAAAAATAGTCTATAATCTTGTACCTTGGTGGCTATAAAGTTAAAACAAGACATGAGGAAGGACCTTCCAGTTAAGAGAGGTAAAACTCAACAAACAGGGCCTTTGAATGGCTGCATGCTTTGGCCAATGTAGCCCTGGCATGCAAGAGGCCAGGAAATGACACTGGAGAGCACTTCCTGGCCTCCCAGGATGATTCCAGAAAAAGTAAATTCCCTTGTTGCTTGCAGGTTGCGTCCCCCTAGTTCAAGAAGGAACCACACAATTTGGTAAATCAGGTAACTTCCTTCATTCAAAATGAAAACAACAGAATTGAAATTAAGAAAGGAAGAGTATAATTACCTAGAGAATCTCTCATAAATGTCGAACTTGTCTGCATTTCCATGTTACAACTCTTCTTAGCTTGATGATAATCTGCCAATTTTTTACAACTATTTTTAACTTGATGATATTTTAGCTTGTTGATGATTTAGGTTTATAGAAACCTAAAAAAAAATGCATTCAGGTTTTTTTTTTCCTCAGAGCTTTCAGCCACTGTGCAGTCACTGTATACACAATCTTAGTTATATGAAAATATCATTTTATACATCATATATCGTTCCTTTTTGTAGAGACAGAATCTTGCTCTCTCACGAAGGCTGGAGTGCAGCGGTGTAATCATGGCTCATGAAAGCCTCAAACTGCTGAGCTCAAGCAATCCTCTCACTTCAGCCTTCCAAGTAGCTGGACTAGAGGCACCTACCACCACCCACCACATAAAGCTAATTTTAGTTTTTATAGAGACAGGGTCTTTCTATGTTGTGCAGGTTTGTCTCAAACGCATGACCTCAAGTGATGCTACTGCCTGGGCCTCACAAAATGCTGGGATCACAAGCATGAGCCACTGTGTCCAGTCATAGCTTCTAAGAATAAATCTGAGGAAAGGCCAGTCCAAATATGCTACAAAACATGACAGGAATAATCATAAGTATTTATCAATTTAACTATATAAAAGTTGAATATTTACATATGGTATAAAATTTAAAAATTCACTGCAATAATATGGAGTCATACGAGTTATTAAGAAATCATTTTAAGCAGATAGAGAAAACCTAGCATTCTTGGAACGTTTTTGTCTCATTTAAAGCAGCTCCAGAAAAGTTTCTTGTCTAGCAGCAAAGCCCTGGCTCTTGGAGTCTGGCAGGCAAAATTTGATATGCAATTGCCCGCCATTAGAAACTGGGTCCACCAAAACATGGCTTCCTACCCTCTTTCCTTGACTTACCCCCTCATGTGCCTGGCCACATGGCTGCCCCCACATATCCTCATGTATGCAGAACATCATGGCACCCTGCATCTTCATATTACAAATGTAATGTGGGAGGGCCAGTTTTTTAGGGGCTGTGTGAGTGACATTCCTGATCAAACCAATCCCCTGAGCCTATGCAAGTCAGGCACCACCTCCTCCAGTCTCCTCATGTAACTGGCTGGTTTCCTGCCTCACTTGGGGTTTCCTCTCTCAGCTGTATAGGGAAGCTTCTTCCTACTTTCTTCTTCCTTCTTTCTCGCCTATTAAACTCTCTGCTTCTTAAAACTATTCCAAGTGTGTCTGTGTTGTTTGACCCAATTAGCAGCATACAAAAGCCCTACTCTTTCTCCACTCATCAGAGCTGAATCATTTTGGTGCATTGGCCGGGAATCCAAGGTACAGTCTTTGTCCGGGTGGTGAGTATGCAAGCAAGATTAAAACCTGTTCTATCATTCTGAGGTTCTCTGAGCTTCTATATTAAAATAAATCCAATAAATCAATGGGAATCCATCAGCCTAGTACATACAGTTAGCGCTGACTGCCATAAAAAAAACTTGTATGTGAGACTTGCTGGAGAGAACATGCAGAAAAACTACATTACACATGGGCATTGAATTTCTGGCCAGGGCACACCCTGGCATAATTCAGAGGCCTATGGTCTGGATGCAGCCTCCAACAGCCCATTCAGGGTGTTTGCAGAGAATAATTAACTATCCTTTTGCAAAAGTCTTCTTCTCCATCTCCAGCCTCTCGCTCCTTCTCTGCATGAAATGGGCAGGGATTATTACAGCCTAGGAAAAGAGATTTCCCCTTTTCATCTGTGGTGAGATTACTTGCTACCACTTCTCTGGTGAGGACATAGCATTTCTAAGCCAACATTGCCACCTACTGAGAGTGGAAATCCTCTAAGAAGCACACTTTGTTCCTGTTTTTCCAATACATCTCCAAAGCTTTCTTTTACACTGTTAGCATTAAGTGCCCTCTTCTGAGATGGGCACTTTCTACCTTTAGCAATTAGGAGTAAGATGTTTTCTGAAGACCAATTTTAGTCTCTATAGTGTCCCACTGGCAGGAAAATAATCCTCAATTAGGTTTCTATATTCCTTTAAAGCATCTATTATCTCTCCTATTAAGATAGGATTTAATTAGTAAGAGGACTTTAAGTCCAGAAGTTAATGGGAACCATTTCACTATGGGTGAAAGCTTTAGTACTGGCCACAATAGCAGAATATAGAGTTCAATCTAGCAGACACATCTCTAAAGGGGTCTTGCCTAATTGCATGGTTTTTCCAGAAATCCATTTTTTAAGAAAGTCATACAGGCAACACCACTCTAAGAATTAAAAGGGAAATAAAAGACAGAGGAATACACTGCTGTGGACGGCATAAATAAGACATAAAATTTAGTTTCTCTGGTGCCATGGCTTAAAGTGTCATGACTGCAGTCATGGGTGTCACTTTTAAATGGGAGCTGAAATTCAGGAGCAAAGAAAGAAAAATAGTTACAGAATGCCCCCTACAATACTAGTCTCCATTCCGGATCATATACTGAAAAGAAGGAGACTAAAAGGATGTTTTTATCCTTATGTCTCTTTCTAGATTGCTAACAGATCATCTTTAGCATCCATTCCCTTGGAACATATATATATATATATATACATACACACACACACACACACACACACACTTTTATATATGTATAAATGTGTATATATAGATGTATAAATACATATAAGTATAAATATACATATTTTGTGTGTGTGTGTGTGTGTGTGTGTGTGTGTGTGTGGCAGAATCTCACTGTTTCACCCATGCTGGAGTGCATTGGTGAGATCTCAACTCACTGGAAATTCCACCTATTGAGGTCAAGTGATTCTTCTGCCTCAGCCTCATGAGAAGCTGGAACTACTGGCGCACACCACCACACCTGGCTAGTTTTAGTATTTTTAGTAGAGATGCAGTTTCACCATGTTGCTCAGTCTAGTCTCAAACTCCTGACCTCAAAATCTGCCCACCACAGCCTCCCAAAGTGCTGGGATTACGGGCGTGAACCACTGTACCTGGCTGGGAGTATTTTAAAGCAACTGGACTCATTCAGCCCTGAAACTTTGAAGGAAAATTTCTTATTTACTTTTGCACAATGGAATGGCCTTCTTACTACACCTTTGTAAGTGTTGCAAAATAACCAAGTCCATTTAGCGATCATATCAGGCAAGCCCAAAGAGAAAAATTTCTCAAAATTAGAGAAGCAAGTTTCAGGGGAACCATCTGAGTATTCCCTTATTTGGGGCCCCTTCAAGTTTTCTTCTCATTGGAGGAAATTTGGAAAGTAAAGGGAGGCTTACGCCAAATTTCTGATGATCCTGATAGGCATATAGAAGCTTTCCAAAATTTAACTTAGGTATTTGACCTCTTATGAAGGAATGTTTTTATCCTCCTAAGCTAAACCTTAACTTCAGCTAAAAGAGGCAGCTGTGCAAGCAAAAGAAAATTGTGGAAATGAGCAATATGTCTTCTATAGTAGGTGAAAAGGGAAAAGAGCAACTAGGGTAGGCAAATAAATAGGGGAAGTACTATTCCAAATAGGAAAAGGGGCAATACCTCTTGAAAAGCTTAACTGGAACTCCTTTCTATAGTGTTTTTCATTTTTTGTGTGTGTGATTTAAAATGGCATCTGTCTCTTTCATAATGTTTGTCCAACTTGGGAAAAGTTAATTTTCCAAACCTTAAAATGCTTGGCTGACAGTTGAGCTAGAAGAAAGGAAACTTAGAAGCCTGATATGCTGGCAAAAGGGAAAAATTTCTTACCCATTTGGCTTTTGGCTTCTCTCTCACTGAGCAAACTGGTAACAAAGAAAAAAGAGTATTATTGTTTATATTCTAGGTAAATTTATAAATAACAAAAAAAGATTTGTGAGTTTGGTCTTAAGTTGTAGACAATTTGTGTGCTTTGCGTGTCCTTCTGTACGGTTCTATCAATAAAAGGGTATCTTAAGTGGGGTGAAGGCCCAGGACCCCATGAGCCTGCTGTTCAAGCCAGACCAACTTAATGGCCAGTAACAAACTGGGCTACAGTCCTACATCTTGTTCCATGTCCTCGGGAACATAACCTGTAACCATGTGGCAATACTTTGTTTTAGTCTCTGCCATTTTAGAAAGGTGGTTTTTTCTTCCCATAAGTCAGTTCATAGAAGAGGGCCACAAAATCTGATAAGCCAGTTTTTCAATCCGGGTGGTCCCAGCCGATCTGTCAAACACAGGGTTTACAAAATATCTCAAGCACTGATGTTGAAAGCAGTTTAGGGAAGGTCAAAATCTTGTAGCCTCTGCCTCCCTGACACCTAAGCCATGGTCCCTAACCTTGTGGCTAGCTTATTGTTCTGGTTTCCAGGCAAGAGGAAAGTATATCTTGGGAAGCAGCTGTTATCCTCTTTGTTTTAGACTACAGACGGTATACAAGGCTCCTCCTAAAGTTGGCTCAGCCTAACCCAAAGATGGGCAAAGACAGCTTGAGGGTGGGAAGTGAAATAGATTTGTTTAGGTCAACTCTCTTTCACTGTCTCCCTCACAGTTTTGCAATGAAAGATTCAAAAGCTATCATTCCTCTGAAAATACCTTGGACACTTGCGGTTAAGTCATAGCCTAGATTGGTTTTATCTGTGAGGTTACATTTTCTAAAGTTCGAAAACCAAAAATCTTAACTACTTGACATGGCTAAAGTTAAGTAATAAGAAATTTTTTAAGAATTTTCTTAAAAATGTTCAGCTTAATTAAAAGTAGATATTCAAGTTATTGATACATTTAAAATTTTTTTCTGAAAAAAATGGTCTTTTCTTCTCAGTAGACTGAATTATTTTTCCCCATTTTTTGTCTTCACCCTCTTAATGCACGCCTGAGAGGCCCTAACGTAACTTCTGATAGCACGGGACTCCTGGGGAAAAACAGAGTAGGTGCCAAATTCTCCATATGAGAAAACACACACGCAAACAAAACAAAACCAAACACACATGTTTTGCTCATGAAACCCCCCAAATTGAAAGCAGATGTTTCCCTCCCAATACCAAAGGCTCCGTACTGTTATGCATTGTGTTATTTACCTTTGTGAGTATTGAGGATATCAAGTTCCTTCACATTATGAGACCTCTTTGGTGTGTAATAACTAGGTAGAAAATGCCCTGTATGAAATGGCTAATAGTAGTTATAAATCAGAGAAGCATGCTCTTGTCTACCTAAAACATAGAGAAACATCCTCACCCCCGCTCCCTCCACTAAGAAACAAGACTCCCAAAGGGGATGGATTAATTGCCTTCTGCTGTGTCTGCTTATTACTCCCTAAAAACTGCAAATTAATGATCCTATTCCTCCAAGGGCTACAACCTGAAGCCAGTAATCCAGTTAAGAAACTGGCACATAAAAAAAATCTCTGAATTTTCCGTTTGTGTCGCTATATATGTGGTGTGTGTAATGCCTATAAAAGCAAACTCTAATTAATTGTCTTAAAGAGAAGTAAGCACTTGAATATGTTTTAGTTCACGTGAGTTTAAGTAATATAGTCTTGAGAATTACTGGTAAGATGCAAGTGTTGTCAAAATGAAAATAGGTCATTTAAATGATTCAATTTAGACACCAGATTTGCTAAATGTTCCAAGGTTGTTTCTCACCTGCTTTACAGGTTGGTAAAACCTGGGATACATGGAGTGAGAGGCTGAAACCTCACACTTTATCTGCACTTCTGTCTGAGTTCTAGGATCCACACCATGTATGTAAGTAAAATGGCCTATTAACCAGGGTGTTCATCAAAAATGAAAGTTGCTAAATGTTCACAGTGAACATTAACTAAACTCAAAAGGTTATTGTATGGTCTTTTTTATAACCTTAGCATTGAAATAAAGGAATACCAATGAGATCTTAAGAAACGAATCTGCCATTTAGTAAAAGAGTTTTGAAAGGTTTGTAAATATTTCACCTCATGGTCAAATTGGTTGAGGTTAAATGAAAGGATCTATAAGATTTAATTTAAGCAAATTGAGGTTAACATTAACAAACTGATGAAAGGGTAAAATTTGGCTTTGAGCAGGATGTCATACTCAAATGACAAGTCACATCATAATAAACACTAATAAATGATTTTTACCCTTTGAGCCATCATTTTGGCAAAACAAGTAATTTGTGGAAATCTGGATTCCTATATAAAACCGAGTGTACTAAACCTCTAACATTTAACAGGCATCCTAAAACCATAATTCAAGTTGCAAAATTGTCCTTCCTAATGCCTGGCTTTCTGGGTGGTGAGAGGACTTCTGAAACATTAAGAAAAGACATATACAGGGCTTGTTTAGTCACATGGTATTGCCAAAATGATGTCCAATTTCCTTTAAGTTAAATTTTAGTGAATAATAGTAACAGATGTTCCAAAATTGTGTTGGATTTCTAAAATTCTAACGTCTAAGTGTACACTATGCACCATAATTAAGGGTAAATTTGTCGTAAACTATGGAAACAAGAAATTTCTAATTTCTTCCCATACTTTCTTTTTGCTTTATGTTATTTTTATTTTTTACTATCTCAGGAGCTTTACAAAACTTTACCTGCAAATTGATCACAAAAACTTAAAAATTTTAACTATTACGCTATAAGAAGAGCAACAAATACTCTCTTCACATCCAGTACATCATTTTTACAGCTGGAGCAAGGCCAATTCCCAGGAATGTTATATAAATTTGCAGAGGGTGTGCCCTTAGCATTAAACAACTGGGTATCATTGAGAAGCCCCAAGCAAGACTTGACGCTAGGGTAAAGCCTTGCTACTTTTAACATCTGGCAGCTGCAGTTTGCGATGCAGGCCAAAAATACTGCTGTAAATCCAGTGTGGTCTAAGACATGCCCTCAGAAACAGAATATGCTTTCTTAAGAAAAAAGAGATTCACTCCCACTTGCCAACATAGAATCCCTGCCACTGCTCATCCTCACCCTCTCTTGTCCGTTTACTCCCGGGATGACCAGCTCAAAAGACCACATGGATGACATTTGCAGCCCTGATGACTCCTTTACCCCAGAGACCTTGAACTCTCCTCATTTCCATGGCTCCATCCAATGACAGCACAGTGCATTTTTGTTTCCAGTTTCCACCTGAAACCTAATCCTGCAATTCTCTACTCTTGGACAATTGTTATAATTCCACCTGCCAGTCTCTTTGGATCTAGTCTTTGATCCCTGAGACGGCTACTTAACACTCACATTCCTCCTGGTGTAGCAGTCACTTGCCCTCTCCTCTGCTTCCCTTCACTATGCAAGATAAGCCCAGAATCTGCAGTTAAATGGGCTGCCATTCTCACATCAAATAAGTTAGGCTCTGCAAAGCTCCAGTCCTTCAACATCTCCATCTTTTCAACCTCACGGAAAAGTGCAGAAGAGACAGATGCTTACAATTCCTCCCCAGACCTGCCAAAAAATAAAAATAAAAAATAAACTCACCTACAAGCACATGGTTTGGTCTCATTTAATTTCAGCCTCCCCCAACTACAGCTGGGCCCTCAATACAAGTGATCAGTCCTGTCTGCTTTAAACAGCTGTTCTTCTGTTACTCCCATGAGCTACTCTGCACCTCTAAGCTGCTCCTAAAACCCATGATCTAATGCTCTAATCTGCCTGAGAAGATGGGAGCTTATTTAGGGTGTGTTTCTCTTAATCCCAACTTGACTGTTCACCTCTGACACTCTTCCTTTTCCACTTGTCCCAGAGGAAGCAAATCTGTGTATATATTTCAAGGGCCACCCTTCTTTTTCTTTGCACTCTTTACCACAATTCCTATTGCTCTCCTGGGACCTTGTCATCCCAATTGTGTGATCTCTTTCCTGGATCTTGAACCAACCTGCTAATAGCTGCAGGAAATAGTTACACAGTAAAATATTTGTAAATACCACTTCTTGATGCTTTTGAATTCTCTCAAGGATACTCTTTTCCCAAAAAATGATGGCTTCAGGCTCCGACTGACAAGCCTTCTCAAAATCTTTCCTGAACACAGTTAATTTTTCCCATACTTTCCTTTTGCTTTATTTTAATTTTTGCTATCTCAGCAGCTTAACAGAAGTTTATCTGCAAATTGATCACAAAAAAATTAAAAATTTTAACTATTATACTCTAAGAAGAGTAACAAATATTGTCTTCACATCCAGGCTCAACATTAATGCTCTGTCCAAATATATTACATTTAGTTCATCTTTAGTTTTATCTCACTCACTATATTTGTAGGATTCACTCAAAAGGCATAAACAAATGTCAACAGAAATAAAAGTAATGTGCACAATAGTGGAGTATCCCATTCTTTATTAAAATTCCTAGTTTTTTTTTTTTTCTATACCTTAGATTAAGACTTTAGAAGGCTGTTGAGACAACCAGCCCCACACCACCTAGCACGTACCCTGAGTCTGGTGGAGACAAAGGGTTAGAAAGAGATAGAATCAGTATTTAAAAGGCTGTTCCAGAGGACCAAAGCATCGGAGGCTTGCTCACCGTTCAGAGTTCCTGGGCTCCACCCAATTTGTTGGTTTACAAGCATTTTGATCTTAGGACAGATGGGAGCAGAAGGAAGGGATGAGGAAAAGGATTAATCAGTGTAGAGGAACTCGTGAGTCTTTCAATAAGCTACATAGTAGTGGCAGTTTCTGTGAATTTCCTTGAGCCAAAGGCATGTGTCTAAACTACTTAAGATCTTTAACTTATCAGAACTGAAATGGGTGAGAGCAGCTTTCAGGAGGAGCCAAGATGTTTGATTATACTCCACCGCTTCAAGGGAGTGTTATCTCCCTGAGCAACCTGAGGAATGCCGCTGAGTGCTTATGCTCTGGGGGCATAAAGACATGGAGGCAATAAGGAGACTTTTCTCCTCAGCAGCCACCCATGGCTCCCCATGGATGTCTCACATAGGGGAGAACAACTCAACTGGCACCACAGAAACTCTCCTTTCCACATGTCTCTCTTTTTTGTCTTTATTAATTTTTTGATTAATAACTGCCATTGCTATCATGGCTGGTGTCTGGCCTCTCACCCAAGGGGCTGTCTGCATCTGTTGACTAAAAACAAATAGCATAAGCAGACACAAACCAAAATAAAATTTGCAATTGTTGATCCACCTATGGTTTTAATCTACTTTAAAGGAATGGTATTAGAAAAGCCATCAGTGGCTCCAGCAAGAATATCAGCTCCAGGCAACAGGATAAGATGAGCCTGAGATGACTCAAAAACTTGTTTTTTCAGTTTGGCAATATCTAGTGTTAAACTATGTTCTTTTCCTTGTGGGTGATGTCTAATCATCTCTCAATGATGTTCAGTGACATTATAGGGCTAGGAGAAACACAAAAATCCAAAGTATTCCAATCACATTGCATTTGACTTCTACACTCCAAGCCAGTAGTCCAATCCCCCATCCAAATTACTGTCTGACAGAGATCATTAATTTGATTTGCCAATTTTTGATCTACTTGGCTTTGGGAATTCCAAAGCTTAGAAGAATTTTTCTGCCAACTATCCACAAAGCCCGCAGTTTGAATAGAAGAGTGCAAAGCAGCAACAGTGCAGAAGCAGTAGCTGTGACAGCTATAAGGCCCATGACCACAGCTATTAAAGTAAATATGAATCTCTTTGATCTATTAAATATTCCTTTTAGTACTTCAGTGATAATATGTATGGAGGGAGAGTCCTCCCAAGGTCTATTGAGGGAAACAAGTATCTGAATTCCTTCTCAGGCCCTAACCAGTAAAAATGCTATTATCTTTATTAAAGGTAGAATTAATGCAGGTAAAAAGGTGACAGTTAAGGCAGGGTATGGTTTCGGAGTCAGGTAGGAAATTAATTTTCCCGGCTGCCAACATAAAAGGAGGTTTAACAAAACTCTGCAATGGGACCGTCTGATTAGAGGTCATGGCTACAGCAAATGAAAGTTTTTTACTATGAGTCTCTGTTTTATATTCTCCTATCCAAATCCAAACTGGGGTTTGAGCCATCATTAATTTCCACAGTTCTGGATGTTCTGGTCTCATAACTGGATCGATCATTTTTGGGCTTGGAGGAGCCATACCATTCTCCTCCCACTTAATAGGGTAATTTGTTTCAATTCTTCTACATAATTTTGGTGCATTATCTGGGTAGTCATTTGCAGGAGTCCCTCTACAATCTTTGCGCTGGCCAGTAAAATTTACTGCAAAGTGTCCCCTAGGGACCCAATCAATGGCGATGTTATAGGAATTATTTTACAGTAGCGCAGCACTGTTTGCAATACAATCTTCCCAAGTTAGCACCTCTAACTTTTCAGGCCATTTAGTGGCCTGCCTAGGGCAGGGATTCATATTAGGTTTAAATTCAGTAATCTGGCAACGTGTCATAACATAGCCGTGCTCAAGTATTTAATAGTGTCCAAAGATTAAAATGTTGCTTCATTGATTGCATGAATAGAGGCTTTTGATGCATTTTGTGTAGGGACATTTATGTCCCACTTTATCATAATTTAAACATCCTGCTGCCAGCCCCAGGCAGATGGGAGGAAAGCGATAATCAATGGAAACATTCACCAACATTCCCGCCTGCTCTAGATGAGTAGGACCTTGCTTATCTGTTGGTCCATCCACCAGGAGGGTCTAACCACGCAACAGGCCTAATCAGTAGTGGGAATGGAATGTAGACCCAGTAAGTGTAATTTTGATCTGCCTCTCCCTTACTAAGTCTAATTGCTGCCTGACATTCTGTATTAGCATTTTCATAAGCAAGCAGCTGAATAATCACTTTCCTGGCATGAGAATCTGAAACAGTCTTTTGAGCCGCGTCTTGGAAACAGGCGATAAAATCTGGATAAGTCTCCCTTGGACACTGTTGAAATGAGTTAAAAGAAGGATAAGTAGTACCAGGGTCATGAATGTTTTCCCAGGTTCTTAGGCATAGAGTTCTGAACTGACCAACAGCCTCATCACCCATTACCATGGGTTCATTTACAGTACCCCATGCCTGTCCGATTCCAAGCAATTGATCAGATGTGATATCAATGGCAGGTTGAGCTTGAGCATTTCTGTGTGCCGTATTTGTTGCTTCATCCATCCACCAGGGTTTAAATTGGAGAGATTCCATAGGTTAAATGCCAGTTATAAGCCACAGATTGTAACAAGGAATGAACATAAGGAAAATTTGGCCCCTATTTTCCAATTGCTTGCTTTAAGTCTTCTAATATTTTAAAAGTAAATGGCTCCCAGAGTGCCTCAGGATGTTCTCCAGGCTCCTCAGCAGGAAAAATAATTACTGGATACGGCCAAGCATCCAAATCCCCCATTTCTCGTGCCTGGCGAGTAGATGCCTTGATTGTCTCTGTGCCATAATTTGTATTTGGGCTGGATGAAAGCATTCCTTTACCACAATTAACAGGTGGACAAGCCTGGATCATTCCCTCACTGTAACTGGCTGTTGGGTTAGCCTGAAGCTTCCTTTTGCCATAGTTAATGGCTGGGTGTGCAACAATGGGAGCGGCAAGCCAAGTCACAGGCTCCTTTAACAACAATTCATAAGGCTAAGGCGGAGCTGGCCGTTCCAGACGTTCCCATAAAGGCGCAGTAGTTGGCACTGTTTCTGCTGTAGGTGGAACTCTTTCTTTCATAAGTTTTTTGGGGGTTAGCATATAGAGCTTCTGGTTTCTTCCCCTTATTTAAAACTAGACTGTGATGGTTCACTTTGCTGATCGTCAGACTCATGGTTATTAAACTTTTCTATGTCACCCTGAAACTCCTCCTCATCCTCTGGGTGGAAGGGCTCCAGTGCAGTTTTAATTGCTGACCACACAGACCAAGCAGAGAAGGGAATATCATGGCCCTCTTGCTGTGCTTGTTTTAAGTCTCATCCAACTTTATCCCAATCTTCTACATTCATGGTTCCATATTCCAGGAACCAAGGAGAAAACTTTTCTAGGTTATGGAACAAAGAAGTGAGATTTTGGGTACTCACAATTATCCCTCTGAGGCACAATAACTGCTGCAGCAGGCTAAATAATTGGCAAACTTACTTTCAGTCTGACCTATATTTTCTTGAGGTTACCCTGGAATTCTCTGAGTGCCCTACTTACCCACGGAGCTTGAAGTGAAAATGTACTCGGGCCTCCTTCATCAGGCGTCCTCCACTTTCCACTCTCTGTCATTTCTTTACCAGATTATTTGTAGAGATTACTTGGAGCACTGTGTTGTGTGCCACATGGGGAAACCATCCCCTCACCACCCAGTGGGTCCCCTGAGTCCCGTGCAGACAAAGGAGTTAGAAAGAGATAGAATCAGTGTTTAAAAGGTGGGTTAAGGGAACTGCAGTGTCAAAGGCTTGTTCATGGCCCAGAGTTCTTAGGCTCCACCCAATTTGTTGGTTTACAAGCTCTTTGTTCTTATGTCAGATGGGAGGGGGGAGGAAGGGATGAAGAAAAGGATTAATCAATGAAGGAGAAGTCATGAGTCATTCAATAAGATGTGTAGCAGTGGCAGTTTCTGTGAATTTTCTTGAGTAAAGGTGTGTGTTTAAACTACTTAAGATATTTAACATATTGGGACTGAAGCAGGTGGGAGCAGGTTTCAGGAGGAGCCAAGACGTTTGATTACACTCCACTCTTTCCAGGGAGTGTTATCTCCCCGAGGAACCTGTAGAATGCCACTGAGTGGATATGCTCTCTGAGTGGTTACGCTCTCAGGGCATAAAGACATGAAGGCAATAAGGAGACTTTTCTCCTCAGAGGCCACTCATGGCTCGCCATGGGTGTCTCACACAGGGGAGACAAACTCAACTGGCAACCCAGATACACTTTTTCTCACAGAAGACAAACAAAAATGTCACTCTTGTTAACAATAACAAGGTAAAGCTTACATTTTGACACATTTCTGCCTGAACTTGCTCTTTTATTTCTCTCTCATATTCATTTAGCTTTATTTCTAAAGACTCACCCTTGATATGCTGAGAGTAAGCATCTGCAAACTGATCATCAATAAGCTGAAACTTCCCAGGTATTAAAAAATAACATGTCAAAAGAGGACATAGAAGCATGGTCAGGTGTGTAAGAGGCCAGTTTTCTTTTTCAAAGGTAAAGAGTATACTTAGGGGAAAGCATGGGTGTCTGCGATTTACTTCAAAATACACAAAAAAAGAAAGATGGATGTGTGGATAAACAGATAAAAGTAATGAAGCATATATAATGCCAATGTAATAATGGAATTTAGGTGGGAGGTTTATAAGTGTTTGATAGAATTCTTTCTACTTTTCTATATGTTTCAAAATGTTCATCATAAAATGTTGGAGGAAATAGAAATTGAAGAGTACAGTTAAAGTCAGAAAATACTGCTGTCTCTTCCTATTAACTAAATGCTAAGGAAGAGAGCTCTTTATCGGACTTTTGTTAAAATTGACTTCAGATTCAAAACAATAACTGTAAAGGAATCAAAGGTCATGTTACTTCAATGCCTCCACTTTGCAGATAAAGAACACATACCAATATAGCTGAAAAAGTGATTAAATAACAGCATAGCCAGGACTAAAATGAGACCGACTGACTCTTTCTTCCATTAGTCAAGTGGGCCTCAAACCAACTATGGACTAAAATCAACCACACAGCAGAGTGCAAATCTGAACCCAGGGTACAATCTTGAGCATGTGTAACACACCAAAAAAGTATGCCCAGTGGGAAAAAGGCTGGCAGAAGTAGACGATAACATTGATAGTGTTTGTCCCTGGTAGGCATGACTTTAGACATGTTTTTTCATCTACTTTTCTGTATTTTTCAAATGCTGTCCTACACAAGACCCTCCAGCCACATACAGCCATTGACACTGGAAAGGCGACCAGTCTGAACTGAGATGTGCCTTAAATGTAAAAAACACATGAGATTTCAAAACTTAGTGCAAAAACAAAGCAAAAAGAAAGTGAAATATCTCATTCATATTTTTATATTGAACACATGTTGAAATCATATTTTGGATGTATTGGATTAAATATATTGTTAAAGCTAATTTTATCTATTTCTTTTTACTGTTTTCAATGTGGCTACTAGAAAACTGAACATTATGTATGTGGCTCACCTATTGGACAGCACTGCTTGATAATTATCAAGTAAAATGTTTCTAATGGAATTAAACCTACACTTAATTAAAGGCATAGTCAGATAATACAAATTTTGAATTTATCTTCTAACATGTTATTGTTACTATTTAAGAATAAGGAAGGCCCAAAAATCCATTAAGCACATCATTTTAAACAGCTGTCTCCCATCTCTACTGAGTGCAAAACTGAAGGGCAAGATGGTATTGTCGACCCGCTGCGTAGTACACAAAATCTAGATCATGGATGGGAGAATTCGGACATCACTAGCTGCTCTGAGGCAGATTGAACGTTTTCAATTTGCCCTCCCTCTGAGGACCTCGATTTCCTCCACTGTAAATTGAAGCGATGAGCCAATTACTTCTCTAGTTCTCTGCAAAACAAATAGTCCATAATCTTCTACCTTGGTTGCTGTAAACTTAAGACAAGACACGAGGAAGGACCTCCCAGTTAAGAGAGGTAAAACTCAACAAACAGGGAAGATTTTGGGCCTTTGAATCCTTGCATGCTTTGGCCAATGTAGCCCTGGCATGCATGAGGCCAGGAAATGACATTGGAGAGCACTTGCTGGGCCCCCAGGATGATTCCAGAAAAAGTAAATTCCCCTTTTCCCTGCAGGCTGCATCCCTCTTGTTCAAGAAGCAACCACACAACTTGGTAAATCAGGTAGCTTCCTTCATTCAAAATGGAAACAACAGAATTGAAATTAAGAAAGAAGACTGTAATTACCTAGAGAATCTCTGATAAATGGCAAAGTTGTCTGTGTTTCCATGTTACAACTCTTTTTAGCTTGATGATATTCTGCTAATTATTTTAATAAATGCATACAAAAACCTAAAAAAAAATGCATTCAGTTTTTTTTCCTCAGAGCTTTCAGCCACTGCTCAGACACTGTTTACACAATCTTCGTTTTATGACAGTATCATTTTATACATCGTGTATGTTTCTTTTTTGTAGAGACAGAATCTTGCTCTGTCACAAATGCTGGAGTGCAGCGGTGTAATCATGGCTCGCTACAGCCTCGAACTCCTGAGCTCAAGCAGTCCTCGCACTTTAGCCTCCCAAGTAACTGTGACTAGAGGCAACTACCACCACCTGCCACGTAAAGCTAATTTTAATTTTTTGTGCAGACAGGGTCTTCCTATGTTGCGCAGGCTGCTCTCAAACCCATGACCTCAAGCGATCCTACTGCCTGGGCCTCGTAAAGTGCTGAGATCACAAGCATGAGCCACTGTGCCCAGTCACAGCTTCTAAGAATAAATCTGAGGAAAGACCTTTCCAAGCATGCTACAAAATGTGGCATAAATAATGATAAATATTTATGAATTTAATGACTTAAAACTTGAAAAATTTACATATGATATAAAATAAACAAAGCACACTGCAATAATATGGAGTCATAAGTGTATAGGAGTTATTAAGAAATCATTTTAAGCAGATAGAGAAAACCTGGTGTCCTTGGAACGTTTTTGTCTCATTTAAAGCAGCTCCAGAAAAGTTTCCTGTCTAGCCGGAAAGGCCTGGCTCTTGGAGTCGGGCAGGCAAATTTTGATATGCAAATGTCCGCCGTCAGAAACTGAGTCCACCCAAACATGGCTTCCTGCTCTCTTCTCCTTGACCTTGCCCCCACAAATGCCTGGCCACATGGCCTCCCCCACATATCCCCAGGTATGCAGAACATCCTGGTACCCTGCATCTGCATTCTAAAAGTCTGGGCGGAGCGGGGGGAGGGCCAGTATTTTAGGGGCTACATGAGTGAGGAGACTGGTCAAACCAATCCCCTGAGCCTATAGAAATCAGGCACCACCTCCTCCAGCCTCCTTATGCAGCTGGCTGGTTTCTGCCTCACTTAGGCTTTCCTTTCTCGGGTTTGGAGCCCCTCCTTCCCTCTCTCTTTGTACAGAGAGGCTTCTTCCTTCTTTCTTCTTCCTTCTTTCTGCCTATTAAATGCTCTGCTCCTTAAAACCACTTCACGTGTGTCTGTGTTATTCTACCCAATTAGCAGGATACAAAAGCCCTAGTGTTTCTCCACTCGTCAGAGCTGAGTCATTTTGGTGCATTGCATGGGAATCCAAGGTACAGTCTTCCTCAGAGTGGTGAGTATGGAAGCAAGCTTAAAACCTGTTCTATCACTCTGAGGTGCAGTTAGCCTCTATATTAAAATAAATCCAATAAATCAATGGAAATCCATCAGCCTAGTACCTACTGTTAGCGTTAACTGCCGTAATAAAAACATGGATGTGAGGCTAGCTGGGGAGA
This sequence comes from Homo sapiens, assembly GCF_000001405.40. Lineage (NCBI taxonomy): Eukaryota > Metazoa > Chordata > Mammalia > Primates > Hominidae > Homo > Homo sapiens. Next base: position 18,630,503 of record NC_000024.10, read on the forward strand.
ACATGGAGAACACCACATTACAAATGGGTATTGAATTTCTGACCGGGGCACATGCTGGCATGATTCAGAGGCCAATGACCTGGACGCAGCCTCCGACAGCCCATTTAGGGTGTTTGCAGAGAATCCTTAACTATCCTTTTGCAAAACTCTTCTTCTCCATCTCCAGCCTCTTAATCCTTCTCTGCATGAAATGGGCAGGGATTGTTACAGTCTAGGAACAGAGTTTTCCCCTTTTCCTCTGTGGTGAGTTTACTTGTTGCCACTTCTCTGGTGAGCACATAGCATTTCTCAGCCAACACCACCACCTAGTGAAAATGGAAATCCTCTAAGAAGCACACTTTGTTCCTGTTTTTTTCAGTGCAAGTCCAAAGCTTTCTTTCACACTGTTAGAAATCAGGCTCTAGGCCTCTTCTGAGATCGACAGTTTCTGCCTTTAGCAATTAGGAGTAAGATGTTTTCTGTAGACAAATTTTAGCCTCCATAGTGTCCCACTGGCAGGAAAATAATCCTCCATTTGGTTCCTATGTTCCTTTAAAGCTTCTATTATCTCTCCTATTAAGACGGTATTTAATTAGTAAGAGGACTTTAAGTCCAGAAGTTAATGGGAACCATTTCACTATGGGTACATGCTTTACTACTGGCCACAATGGCAGAACATAGAGTTCAATCTAGCAGACACTTCTCTTAAAGGGGTCTTGCCTAATTGCATTGTTTTTCCTGAAATCCATTTTTTAAGAAAGGCATGCAGGCAACACAAGTCTAAGAAATAAAAGGAAAATAAAGGAAAGAGGAATAAGACTGCTTGTGGAAGGCAATACCATTACCCAAAAGTTTAGTTTCTCTGGTAACATGGCTTAAAATGTCATGACTGCAGTCATGGGTGTCACATTTAAATGGGAGCTGAATTTCAGGAGCAAAGAAAAACTACAGTTACAGAACACCCCCTAATGTACTAATCTCCTTTCGGAATCACATACTGAAAGGAAGGAGAGTAAAAAGGTGCTTTTATTCTTACCTCTCTTTCTAGATTGGTAACAGATAGTCTTTAACATCCATTCCCTTGGAATATATATATATATATATATATATACATATTCGTATATGCATATATGTATATATGTATATATACGTATACACACACACACACACCACACACACACACACACACACATATGTATATTTATTTATATGCCTGTGTGTGAGACAGAATCTTACTCTGTCACCCATGCTGGAGTGCATTGGTGAGGTCTTGGCTCACTGGAAACTCTGCCTCTTGGGGTCAAGGGATTCTTGTGCCTCAGCCTCATGAGCAGCTGGAACTACTGGCACGCACCAACACACCTGGCTAGTTTTAGTATTTTTAGTAGCGATGCGGTTTCACCATGTTGGTCAGCCTAGTCTCAAACTCCTGACCTCATAATCTGCACGCCACAGCCTCCCAGAGTGCTGGGATTACAGGCGTGAACCACCGCACCTGGCTGAGTGTATTTTAAAGTGCTTGGATTCCTTCAACCCTGAAACTTTGAAGAAATAGTTTATTTACTTTTGCACAATGGCATGGCCTTCTTACTACAGCTTTGTAAGTGTTGCAGAATAACCCAGCGCATTTAGCAATCCTATCAGGCAGTCCCAAAGAGAAAAATTACCCAAAATTAGAGAAGCAAGTTTCAGGGGAACCATCTGAGGATTCCCTTATTTGGGGCCCCTTCAAGTTCTCTCTTCTCATTGGAGGAACTTTGGAAAATAAAGGGAGGTCATGCCAAATTTCTGATGATCCTGATAGACACATAGGCGCTTTCCAAAATTTAACTTAGGTATTTCATCTCTTTTGAAGGAATGTTTTTCTGCTCCTAAGCCAAAGTCTAACTTCAGCTAAAAGAGGCAGCTCTGCAAGCAAAAGAAAATTGTGGAGATGAGCAACATGTCTTCTATAGTAGGCTAAAAGGGAAAAGAGAAACTTTCCCTAGGTAAAGAAATAGGGGAAATACCATTCCCTATAGGAAAAGGGGCAATACCTCTTGAAAATTTTAACTGGAACTTCTTTCTATAGTGTTTTTCATTTTTTTTTTTTTTGTGATTTAATATGGCTTCTATATCTTTCATACTGTTCATCCAATCTTGGAAAAGTTAATTTCCAAACCTTAAAATGCTTGGCTTAGAGTTGAGCTAGAAGAAAGGAAATGTAGAAGCCTGATATGCTGGCAAAAGGGTAAAAATTTCTTACCAGTTGGTCTTTGGCTTCTCTCTCCCTTAGTAAATGGGTAAAAAAGAAAATAAGGATTATTGTTTATATTCTAGGTAAATTTATAAATAACGAAAAAAGATTTATGAGGTTGATCTTAAGTTGTAGACTATTTGTGTGCTTTGCATGTCCTTCTGTATCTTTCTGTCAACAAAAGGGTATCTTAAGTCAGGGTGAAGGCCCAAGACCCCATAAGCCTTCTGTGCAAGCCAGAGCAACTAAATGGTCAGTAACAAACTGGGTTACAGTCCTACATCTTGTTCCATGTCCTTGGGAACATAACCTGTAACTATGTGGCAATAATTGGTTTTAGTCTCTGCCATTTTACAAAGGTGGCTTTCTTCTTCTGCTAAGTCAGTTCATGGGTGAGGGCCACAAAATCCGATAAGCCAGTTTTTCAATCTGGGTGGTCCCAGCTGATCCACCAAGGGCAGGGTTTATACAATATCTTAAGCACTGATCTTGAAAGCAGTTTAGGGAAGGTCAAAACCTTGTAGCCTCCACCTCCCTGACACCTAAGCCATGGCCCCTAACCTTGTGGTTAGCTTCTCATTCTGGGCTCCAGTCAAGAGGAAAGGATATCTTGGGAAGCAGCTGTTATCATCTTTGTTTTAGACTGTAGACTGTAAACCAGGCTCCTCCTAAAGTTGGCTCAGCCTAAGCCCAGGGATTGGCAAAGACAGCTTGAGGGCAACAAATGAAACAGATTTGTTTAGGTCAATGCTCTTTCACTGTCTCCATCAAAATTTTGCAATGAAAGATTCAAAAGCTGACTATTATTCCTCTGAAAATACCTTGGACACTAGCTTTTAAGTCATAACATGAGTTGGTTTTATCTATGAGATTATATTTTGTAAAGTTCAAAAGCCAAAATTCTTAACTGCTTGGCAGGGCTAAAGTCAAGTAATAAAAAATTTTTTAAAGAATTTTCTTAAAACGTGTTCAGGTTAATTAAAAGTAGGTGTTCTAGTTGTTGATATATTTAAAAAATTTTGGGGGGCCGGGCGCAGTGGCTCATGCCTGTAATCCCAGCACTTTGGGAGGCCGAGGTGGGCAAATCATGAGGTCAGGAGATCGAGACCATACTGGCTAACATGGTGAAATCCTGTCTCTACTAAAAATACAAAAAATTAGCTGGGCGTGGTGGCAGGTGCCTGTAGTCCCAGCTACTCAGGAGGTTGTGGCAGGAGAATGGTGTGAACCCAGGAGGCGGGGCTTGCAGTGGGTCGAGATATCACCACTGCACTCCAGCCTGGGCAAAACAGTGAGAATCTGTTTAAAAAAAAAAAAAAAAAAATTGAAAAAAAAGGCTCTTTTGTTCTCAGTCGACTGAATTATTTTTCTCCATCATTTTCTGTCTTACCACTCTTATTGCATGCCTGAAAGGTCCTAATAAGGTACCTTCTGATAGCATAAGACTCCTGGGGAAAAACAGAGTAGGTACCAAAATCCCCATATGGGGAAACACACACACACACACAGATAGCAAAACAAAACACCCATGTTTTCCTCATGAAACCCCCAAAATTGAAAGCAGATAGTTTCCTCTGAAAAGCAAAGCCTCTGTATTCTTATGTATTGTGTTATTTACCCTTTGTGGCTCTTGCTGATATCAAGTTACTTCACATTATGGGAGAGCTTTGGTGTGTAATAACTAGGTAGAAAATGCACTGTATGAAATGGCTAGTAGTAGTTATAAATTAGTGAAGCATGCTCTTGTCTGCCTAAAACATAGAGAAACATCCTGACCCCCCACTCCTCCACGAAGAAAAAGAGTACCAAGGGGGATGGGCTAATTGCCTTCAGCTGCATCTACTTACTAGACCCTAAAAATGTATGCTAATGACACTGTTTCTCCAAGGGCTACAACTTGAAACCAATAATCCAATTAAGAAACTGGCACACAAAATAACTCTGAATCTTCTGTTTGTGTTGTTATATATGTGGTGTGTGTAATATCTATAAAAACAAGCTCTAATTAATTGTCTTAAAGAGAAGTAAGCACTTAAATCAAATTTTTTTTTTAGTTCCTGTGAGTTTAAGAAATGTAGTCTTAAGGATTATTGGGAAAATGTAAGTGTTGTGAGAATGAAAATAGGTCATCTGAATCATACAATTTGGACACCAGGTTTGCTAAACATTCCAAGGTTTTTTTCCTGCCTGCTTTACAGGTTTGTAAAACCTTGGATACATGGAGATAGAAGCTGAAAACTCACACTTTATCTGCACTTCTGTCTGGGTGCTAGGATCCACACCTTGTATATAGTAAAGTTGCTTATTAACCAGGGTTTTCACTGAAAAAGAAAGTTGCTAAATGTCAACAGTGAACATTAAATTCAAAAAGTTACTGTATTTTTTAAATAACTTGAGTACTGAAATAAAAGCACACCAAGGAGTTCTTAAGAAACTAATCTGCCCTTTGGTAAAAGCGTTTTAAAAGGTTTGTAAATATTTCACGTCATGGTCAAATTGGTTGAGATTAAGTGAAATGATCCATAAGGTTTTATTTAATCAAATTGGGGTTGACATTAACAAATTAATACAAGGGTAAAATTTGGCTTTGAACAGGATCTCAGAGCCAAATGACGTGTCATGTAATAATAAAAACTAATAAAAATGGTTTTTGCCTTTTGAGCCATCCTTTCGGCAAAACAAGTAATTTATAGCAATCTGGATTGCTATTTCATAAAATCGAGTGTTCCAAACCTCTAAAATGTAACAGGCATCCTAAAAGCATAATTCAAGTTTCAAAATTGTCCTTCCTAATGCCTGGCTTTCTGAGTCGTTTAGAGGGCTTCCAAAACATTCAGAAAAGACATATACAGACACATTTAGTCACAAGAGATTGCCAAAATGATGTCCAATTTTCTTTAAGTTATAATTTGGTGAATAATACTAATAGATTTTCCAAAATTTTGTGGCATTTCTAAGTTCTAAGGTCTGAGTATATGCTCTCAATCATAATTAAGGGAAAAGTTCTTATAAACCATGGAGACAAATAAACTTCTCTCTCAGTCATAGTTTTAACTGTAACTATCCTGGAAATTTTGTCATTTGCAGACAATGGTCTTGTTTAGGGTTCCTTCTGAAAAGAGGGTTTTTAATCATGCTATATTAAAGACTTTAATAGGTGTTCTCAAATGCAGGTTTTTAATAGTTTTGATGACTGTAACGTTGGGATAAAGACAGAATGTACGACACTCATAAAGGTCTGACATGTTCACAAATATCAAGCGAAAGAAGAGTTAACTAACTGCACTGCGCTCAGAAAGTTAAAGCAGCATTTTTAACTTAGTTTGGAATATTAATGATCCTTGTTTTGATTTTCAGAGTCAAGAAAACTTACTTTGAAGTATTTGCAGCCCTTGCAAATTCAGTAAGACATTCTCCTGTCAACAAAATTTGGACCATGTTTGTTTTAAACTGTAAGTACTCTTAACTTATGGCAAGACTGTTGTCTCCATGAGTGCAATAAGAATCATTTACTTTTTTAAAGAACACAGTTGGAAAAACTGGTTAATTGACCAAGGCATTGACCGAAAGAATGTGTTTCCTTTTAAGGAATCAAGCTTGGCACTCAGAGCTGATAAAAGCCCATTAGGGAGAACTGGCCTCATACCTTGTCAAGCCAGTCCCTGCACAGTGTTCCTCACCTGTGGTCAGTAAAGAATTGCACTTTCTACAAGACCTTGGAGCTCCAAATTTATCTGGGACCTCAAGAACAGAGGATCACCCAACTTACCAAATTACAGGCATTTGAGAATAGGAACCATGGCTAGTCTCAGCTTTAAAAGTTTTATCTCAAATTCTTTCCAGAGCAGAGTTTCATCAAAGCTAATCCAATAGGCTGATATAAAAAATAACCATTCTAGCTGCACTTAATGCAATTATCAGTCCAAGTATAAGACTAAAGTTTATTCTACAAAAAAGACACAGGGTTCTATAATTTGCCTTTTTTTAAACAAAAAATGAGGCCTGAAGAAATTGTGCTCCAAAGCTTATCATACACTTGTCATTAAATCTTAGTCCACTTAATAGATTGTAAGCCTTTTGTCTACCTTTTAGACTAAGCGTGCTTAATCCTGAGAGTCAAGTGGTAATCTCCTACAGCTTGGGAGGAAAAAAAAAAAAAGGATAGGTAGTGTAAATATCTGGATCTATTTCTGGGACATTATCCTGCAAATTCTGCCAGGTAATAAAATTGAGTGCAATGCCCATAACTCAGAGCTTTCTTTGTTTGGGAAAATAAAAGTAAATAACTTCATAGATCCCAAAAGGGAGATTCTGTATCTTAGATAAACACCTCTACTCAAGCAGAGAAAAATCTACGGGCAATTAAAAATCAAATTAAAATTATTGACAAGCTCAGGAAAAATGCAACTTTCAGCCCCTGGTAGCTACAGTCCCTCTTTAATGAATTCCAGTATTCTTTATAAAATTGGCTAATCCCTGTAATAAGCCCTCTCTTGCTTATATGTCTTGTGCTAATATTTGAATTTTGTATACTCAAAACTGTAACTCAATTTTTTTTTCTCCTGTCGAAGCCATCAAACCTACATAGTGCTGCAAACTGAACCACACATGGACACACTGCTCTTCTGAGGACCCCTAGGTGAACCCCAGAAGGAACCCTCCCTGCTGTTCCCCATTTGCTGTGCCCTTTTAGCATGAAGCATCCAGAAAGAGTCATCGCCCCAAACCCTCTAACATCAGTTAAGGTGACTTCTGCAGACGGGGAGAGATGGAATGTTAAAGGAGTTATTAAGAAATTATTTTAAGCAGATAGAGAAGAAAAGAGGCCCTTGGAAATTTTTTCTCTTTTAAAGCAGCTCCAGAAATGTTTCTTGTTTCACAGGAAAGCCCCAGATCTTAGATCCAGAAAGCAAACTTTGATATGCAAATGCTGGCCAGAAGAAAATGGGCCCACCCAAGCGTCGCAATTCCTGCCTTCTTCTCTTTAACCTTGCCTTCACATGTCCCTGGCAGCATGGCCACCCTCATACATCCCCACATGTGTAGAATGGTGCCCTGCATTTTCATATTGAAAGGCTAGGGTGGGAGAGCCAGGTTTTTCAGAGGCTATGTGAGTGACATGCCTGGTCAAACCATTCCCCTGAGACTAGGCAAATCAGACATCGTCTCCTCCAGCCTTCTCCTATAACTGGTTGATTTCCCCAGCACTTGCAGTTTCCTCAGTCAGCTTTGGAGTCCCTCTCCCTTTGTCTCAGTACAAGGGAGCTTCTTCCTTCTTTATTGTCTATTATGCTCTCTTCCTTAAAACTCCACGTGTGTTCATGTCATTTTTTCCAATTCGCATGAGACAAAAGCCATGGTGTTCCTCCATTCTTCAGAGCCATATCATAATCAATACTAAAGTAAAGACATTTTCATAATTTCAACGAGCCCTTAAAAATCAGGTAAAAAAAGAAAAAATGGGAAAAAAATAGATAGTTTGCAGCAAAAAACAAAATGTCAAACAAAGATGAACAAAATGTTAAACAAAGATGAACAAAATTTTTATATGCTGAATAAACAAGAACAAAATTATAAATGCAAATTAATACAGCAGTGAAGCCATTCTTTCCCCTATAACACCACTAGATTAAAGCTTTGATAATGCTAATGTTGTCAAGGGAGTGGCTGTATGGGTACACTCATTTACTTTGGAAAGAAATTTGTCAATGCTTATATATATTCAACGTGCAGGTGCCCTTTAATGCGCTCATTCCACTTCTAGAAATTTACACAGCTGTACTTTCACAAGGTCACAAAGGGTGCACACTGCACGAAGGTTGCTTCTAATGGCCAAAAGCAAACAATGAAACACCTAACTCTCCATCAATAGGGGGTTAAATACGTTCTTTTAAAAATAATCATGAACTCCTTTCAGTGAGGGGATTACAGTTAGATTGTTCTATCACAGTCTGCATTTCCTCCTGGGATCACTTGACCTAAATTTGCAAACATTAACGTTCACTCTTGGTGATGTAAACTCTATGGGCTTTGACATTGGGTGTTTTCATTCTCTTAACAGTGTCTTCCACAGAAATGTTTTTAATTGCAATAAAGTCTAACTCATCTACTTTTTCATTTGATATGTCTCGCTTTTGGTGTTACAGCTCATCATGAAACCCAAGATCACATAGACTTTCTCCTGTTTTCATCTGGGTGTTTTATAGTTTTGCATTTCACATTTAGATCTAGAGTTCATTTCTGCGCACATGATTATCCAATTGTTCCAGCACCACTTGTTGAAAAGACTATCTTTCCTTTATTGAAATCCTTTTGCAACTTGGTAGAAAACAAGAAATCAATTGACCATATTTTTATTAATCAATTTCTGAACTTTCTAAGTCTGGCCCCATTGATGTATGTGCCTATTTGTTTGCAAAATGCAGATAAGAATATGAGCTTCCAAAAAGCAAAAGACCAATGTCCAAATTTTCTTCCCTAATTCAAGTTCTGTGTGCATCATTTTCTCAAGTATCCTTATCTCTAAAAGCAATTATTAGGAGTAGAAAAAATAGGTGACTAGAATCTAGGGGGAAATGTACCCTGGACATTCAACAACTTAGAAGCACCTGAGCATAGATATAGTCAGATACGATAAGAACATAGGTTTCTGAGTCAGGGTTACAGACAACAGTTAGGTACAACATAACTTCCTACAGATTCTCTGTTGGTTAATTGGAAGCCAACAATTTTTAAAATAATTTTATTTTGCCAGGAGCTATTTTATTGTGAGCTAAAGTTCTACCCAAATTTTGTCACTGTGCTATCTGCCATGCCCGCTACTCAATGTTCTCTCACTTCTAGAAACTTTATTGGGATGCTAGGTAAAGCTGGTAAGGGCTGCTGACCAGATTTCTTTCTGAAATGGCGGCATTTAAAAAAACTGTAAAGGTAATAAAAATATTTTAAAAAATAATCTATCTATTCCAATTACATAGTCCTCCTTTCTTTTTCTCTTTCTTTCTTTCTTTCTTTCTTTCTTTCTTTCTTTCTTTCTTTCCCTTCCTTCCTTCCTTCCTTCCTTTCTTTCTCTTTCCTCTTTCTCTTTCTTCTCTTTCTTTCTTTTTCTCTTTTTCTCTTTCTTTCTTTTTTACTTTCTTTCTCCTTCCTTCCTTCCTTTCTGAATTTCATTTCTTTTCTTTGTTGTTGTTTGGCATGGTGTCTAGCTCTGTCACCCATGCTGGATTGCAGTGCCATCATTTCAGTTCATGACACCCTTTACATTTCAGGTTCAAACAATTACCCTGCCTCAGCCTCCCAAGTAGCTGGGATTACATGCACTTGTCAACAGACCTGGCAAGTTTTTGTATTTTTAGTAAATAAAGGTTTTCATTATGTTGTCCAGGCTGATCTCAAACTCCTTATCTTAAGTGATATACCCACTTTAGCCTTCCAAATTGCTGGGATTACTGGCAAGGACCATCATGCGTGGCCCGTAGATTGTTTCTTAATATCCCTTCAAGCCAGAAATTTCCTTTGGTAGTAAGAGTTAAGCAACAGATACCAGCCATGTACCTTAGAATTATGCTACCCTGTATGGTAGTCATTATGCACATGTAGTTTATTAAGCATAGATTAAAAATTCAGTTATTCAGTCACACTAGCGATAGTTTTAAGGAAAGAAATAAAGGGAAATTGCATTCCTAGTCTCTGACAAAACAGATTTAAAATATTTTTACTTAGCCTTCCTAAGCCTCCTGACTGTGTAATTTTACCATCAGCTTTCACTGAAGGTAATTATTGCTTGATGAAGACTTAGTAGTGCCACTTTGTAAATTGTGCCTTGTTGTGATTTCTGATCACTTTTTTTTCTTTTCCTTCTCTCTTATTTAACTTTGCATTTGTGTGTTTGATGTTTTCCTGTAGTGGTATTTGCTAAACCATTTATATTTTCTGTGTAGTCGAAGTTCATGTAAAAACGTTTGAGGCACTATGTGGTGGTTGTAAGTTGATAATAACATCACTGAAATTGATTGCATGTATATATATGCATGTATATAATATATATATAATATTTATATTTAATATTTGTGTGTAGATGTATATAATAATTTTATATAGTATATATCTGTACATATATGTTATATATACCTGCATACTATATATACATTTTATATAGTATATGTGTGTATATATACCATAATATATATCATATATGTGTATGAATAATATATAAAATATGTAATACATAATACAATAAATAGATATAGGTATGAATGTGTGTATATATGTTATATATAGTACATATTTGTTAATATAAAATATAACATATCATATATAACATTGCATATAATATATACTGTATAACATTTAACATTTATAATATATAACATACAAAATATATATGTATTAAATATAACATACATAATATATTTAAGCAATGAAAAGTGTATGTGTATATACCTATATATTATATAGCTTATATAATATATATTTCATATTATATATTAGATATTATATATATGCATACATAAGATATATATACACACATCTATACAGATATTTATTTATTTATTTTAAAATATGTAATTTTGTAATATGTATTCCTTGTCAAATTAAAGCAGCCATTATTGTTTGCAATCATTTTATCTCTTCACCTTCACATTAAAGATACACATTATTAACACACCTCCATTACAGTATCAAAATGTTCTTTATTTTACTGAGCGCTTTTATCAGAGCTTTATCCTTTCTTATGTTTTCATGTACTCATTTGTGTTTTTGTCTTCCAGCATGAACTCCTCCCTTATCATGGTTTATAAGATAGGTCTTATGGCAATAAAATTCCTCCGATTTTGCTTATTTGGTAAACTTCATCTTTCCTTTATTTTGGAGAAAACTTGTCCTGGGTGCATTACTCTTATAGGCAGGATTTTTTTCTTCATATTACTATTAATATTTAAATGTTATCTCACTCACACATTAATTGCAGTGTCTCTTCTGACAAATCTGCTAGCTGTTGACGAATGTCATGTAGGTGATTTTATTTTTTGTGATGTGTGTGTGTGTGTGTGTGTGTTTCTGCTTTCAAGACTGGCTCTTGTGTTTGTTTGTTTGTTTTTAATTTTGAAAGCTTCACTACAAAATATTTTAGTGTCATTTTGTACAAGTCAGTCTGGTTGGAAAAGTCTGACCTTTGTATGTCTAAATACTTACATGTTTATTCCGGTTTGGAAAGCCCTCTGCTATCATTTAAAAACTGTTATTTCTACCTTTTTTTTTCTTGTTTTGTTATTCTGGTGATGAGCAACATTACTGTCTTTATGCTGTTTCATAAGCTCTCTTTTTCTTCTTTTATACTACAGTTTTCTGCTGAGACTCTGTATTTTGAAATGACTTGTGGTTTACTTCCCAGAATGTTTTGTGTGTGTGTGTGTGTGTGTGTGTGTGTGTGTGTGTGCGCCAGATCAAATTTGTCATTGATGCTCTTTTTTATTTTAATATTTGTAAAATATATTTTAGCTTCTGTTTTTTGTTTGTTTGTTTTTTCATCATTATTATGCCAGGGTAGGTCTGGCATCTTTCAGTAGAGGTACCAGTCTGCAGGCCTAGCCCCTGAGAGCCTTCTCGGTGCTCTGTGGTATGCCGATGTTAGGATTTAAGGAAAGTTTGGTTATCATTTTCGTCTCCTCCAATCAGTCATTTTCTCTCTCTGCACTTTGCTAACAGGTTATTGGAAGGATGACATGCCTAGTATAAAACTCCCATTGCTCTCCTTTTTAATAATGTCTTTTCTTACTGTGTTACCATCCGGTACTGCTATCACCCATCTGGTTTCAGTCTTATGTATGAGCATATGTTTTCAATTGTGGGTATTTGTTCATATTGATTATTCTATCAGTGGGTGGTGATTACTGAAGTTTTGCATTTCCCATTCCTTCTCCTTGCCTCTCCTCAACCTTTTACTTCATGTTGAAATTATACATGTGTTTATCAATTTATAAATCTTGATACCGTTCTTTTCTTATGATGGTTGTAAATTTTCTAGTTCTGTAATATCTGTGCTCCTCAATATTTTGTTATGAATATAGTTTTCTGACAGAATACAGCCTGACAGCCATTATTATTAGAGAAAGTTATGAAATGCCCAGCTGCGTAAATATTGTACAATGTGTCCCTTAGTGTGGATGGAGATTTGGTTACTGCATTAATCTTATATGTATTATTATTATAATATGCTTGTGACCTTTTAGGCTTTATAAATTCTGTTTTTTATGTGTGTGTGTGTGTGTGTGTGTGTGTGTATATATATATATATATATATATATATATACAATTTCAAGTTGTATAAATCTTAAATGCTACTCAATATGAACTTATTGGTGAGGAGTGCCTATGTTGTGCAGTTTTCCTGAAGACTAATGCATATTCTTATTGTCAGCCCACCTATATTGTACATGTACAGAAATTAGTTGGCAGTATACTACCTATGTATTTTTTATACCTTAAAACTTGCATGTATCAACTTTACCTTTCCCTTTTTTTGTGAGATGCAAGCATCTAGGATTTATAAAAATATATTCTCTTCCATTGTAAGAAAATTTATGTGATCAACCTAGTTCTCATTCTCACCTAGAATTTAATGGAACTAGAGACTTACAAACCTTTTTTTTCCCCATATGATTACATTGTTTTTGCTGCCAATGTGAATGCATATATTATTGAATATATATATTAGCTGACAATTCACATTAGTAATTTTTTTGTTCTGGAGTATAAAATGCAAACTCTGAACTGCAAGATCTGTGCTAATTTTCTTTGCTGGGTATGAATGCATTGTGGCCTGGTTTGAAAACTCCCAAAATTTCCCTCTTTGACCATGGATGTATTTATTCCACTATGATAAAACTCTTTAGAAGTTTAGCTTGTAAGGAAATCCTTTTGAGTAAATACATTTATATATGTTGATGGGTTTTTTGGCTGTATTAATATGGGATGGCGTTTAACATTGGATAAAAATAAATTTCTGAGATATCAATTTTTTCTTGTTTGAATGTATATATATATAATGCATATATGCATACATATTTGAAAATGTATATAAAGAAAAGTAACAGCACACACACACACAAACACAATCTCCTTTCCTTGACCATGGAAACCATGTGCTCACTATGTCAAACCAGTCTCTTTCTTGGATATGGGTGTGCATTTCACATAAAAATTTTCCAGCCTGTTTAAATTTACGTGTAAATGCAGCATGTCTACATTCTTTTTTTGTTCTTTCTTAACATTTTTATTTTCTTTTCAATACCAATATCACATGTCGTTGTTTGTTACATGGAATTATTGCGTGATAGTGGGTTATGCAGTGTGGATTTCATCACCCAGCTAGTGAGCATGGTATCCAATAGGTAGCTTTTTAGCTCACTTCATTTTTTTTATTCTGTACATTTCCATAGTGTCTGCTGTTTCCATATTTATATGAATGTGTTTCAATTCTCATCTTCTGCTTATAAATGAAAACGTGGTATTTTTTTCTTTTCCTGTAATAAATATGGCCTCTGTCTGCATCCATGTTGCTATAAATGTAATCATTTCATTCTGTTTTATTGCTGCATAGTATTCCTTTGTGCATAGATACATTTTTTACATCCCATCTACCACTGATGAACTGAATACTAGTTTTCTTTATCCACTCCACCTAGGTTGACTCCATGTTTTTGCAAATTTGTGGAGTGCTGCATTAAAGGTTTGAAAGCATTTGTGTTTTTGTTGGGATAATGTATTTTTCATTTCTGGACATATATCAATGATAGAATTTCTGTGTGGAATGTTAGCTTCATTTTAAGTTATTTGATAAATCTTCATCATGCTTTTTTAAGTAGCTGAACTCTTCTGCATTCTCATCAGCAATGGAGAAGCATTTTTAATTCTCTGCAGCTTCATTAGCACCTGTGTTTTGTAAAATTTTTTGACTCTTAAATAACAGGCATTCTGACTGTTGTGAGATGGAATATAATTGTGGTTTGGATTTGCATTCATGAATAAATTAATCATCTGCATTCATGAATAAATAAATCAATATTTTATCAGATATTTATTAGCCATTTTCATGTTGTTTAGAGAAAGGTCTGTTCATTAATTTAAGTACTTTTAATAGTTATTTGTTTTTTGCTTGTTGATGTGTTAGTTTCCTGTAGATGCTGAATTTTAGACTCTGTTGGTGCAGCTGGGAAATATCTTCTCTTGTTCTTAGGTTTTCTGTTTGCTCCACACTAATCTTGATGATAATTGGCTCAATTTTACAATACCTTCCTAAAAAAAATAGAGCATTCTGTGCTTGTCAGGCCTCTGAGCCCAAGCCAAGCCATGCATCCCCTGTGACCTGCACGTATACGCCCAGATGGCCTGAAGTAAGTAACTGAAGAATCACAAAAGAAGTGAATATGTTCTGCCCCACCTTAACTGATGACATTCCACCACAAAAGAAGTGTAAATGGCTGGTCCTTGCCGTAACTGATGACATTACCTTGTGAAAGTCCTTTTCCTGGCTCATTCTGGCTCAAAAAGCACGCCCACCGAGCACCTTGCGACCCCTACTCCTGCCCGCCAGAGAACAAACCCCTTTGACTGTAATTTTCCTTTACCTACACAAATCGTATAAAACGGTCCCACCCTTATCTCCCTTGGCTGACTCTCTTTTTGGACTCAGCCCACCTGCACCCAGGCGATTAAAAGCTTTATTGCTCACACAAAGCCTGTTTGGTGGTCTCTTCACACGGATGCACATGAAAGTGCTCATTTTACAAAGATAATGGATTCGCTCCTGTAACATGCCTGGCTTCTCTGTAAATTGATAAAAGCTTATATTTATATCCATATAGGCCTTTTCTTCCACATTGGACAGAGATGTCCTTGCTCACTTTGTAAATTCTGTGCTACACATGCATAGGTATTACCATAAGCCTGTAGGTTGCATAAATCCTGGTTGCTCAGTTTTATTATGATTATGATTATTCTTCTTTAACAAGGATGCATAGTGTCAGGTAATTCAAACCTAGCTTTGTTCTAACTTTGATGTAAATCAAAGTTTCTCGATTGTATACAGTTAGGAAGAATATTTCCAATGTCTGCAAGAATACTCACATACCTTGGTTATTTTGCACACAAAGTAACCCGTGTGTTACAGAAACATTGGCCACTTGTTTCTTTATAAAACTGTACATCTCTCCTAAAAGAATATTGAAAGCTGCTTGAAGGGAAATGCATTCTTTTTACCTTTATACCTGCTGTCTTTGACCGTCACTGAAAATCAACACAAGCTTCCTGGCTGTATGCAAACTGAACTCTTTATTTCCTTGTCCTAGATTTAGAACTTTCTGATAAGTTCTGGGTTAATCCTACCAGGTCACTAATGTGAGCTTCTTGTTTGTGAATGAACAGACACATATACACACATTTGAATTTTTAAAATTTTTGCATATGAATAAGAAAGCTTAGGAGCGATCTTCTGAATTCTAGTTTTTTGGAACTGAGATGCTAAATTTAAATTTGTATGAACAATGGCCTTTCCTTTCTCTCAGATAGATGAAAGCTTTTGAGACATTTTTTGAGACATTTATCCCTCTCCAACATATACATATATATATTTTTTGAGGCAGGGTCCCATTTTGTTACCCACTATATAAGTTCATGTCAATATAAAAATCCAAGTAGGTCAGTGTTCCTATATTATATTTATGTATACATATATACATATGTGTCTGTGTGTACTTATGTATGTATGCAATGTAAAGAAGAATACTTACAGCTAACTTTACACACTATATTCAATGTAGACATGCTAGGCTTTATAAATCACATAGATAAATGCTATATTCTTGGAATGAAAAGTGTGGTGTTTGTACCTACCAGTCATTTTCATTACAAGTAGGAACACTTTCATAAGGCTAGGGCTTAATAGAACAAAAAAATTCATATTTAGGAATGAGAAGAAATGGTGCCAGAAAACAAAAATGGTACTCACTATGGAAAAAGTATAATCAGCTGCACTGAAAAACCTCAAACACAAACAAAGAATTACAAAAATACATCAAAATATCAAAGAGGTAAGCTCATTTATCTTGCTCTTTTGGGACAGGGCAAGCTCATTTGTATTCAGGACAGTAGGACACAGGCTTTATGCAGTAAGGATCTTACACCCATGGCAACTAAAAAATTCACAGAAGAGCATACGGGTCTACAGCCAGAGCTCATATATATGTAACAATACTTTTTCAAACAAAGGATTGGATGTTTACTACAGAAATAAGATGTCAAAATTCAGTTTTTGCTACATAATTACTGATTACTTGACCTGATATGAGCATGCCCCATGCCTGTGTAAACTCTGCCTTCCACTTGTCATTAAGGTAAGTAAGCTGTAGCTTTCAAAGCTCAGACCTTCTTTGTATATGAGTGACATGCTTCAAACAACCCAAACACTCTTAACTTAATCAAAATCAAAAACAAAAACAACAACAAAAAAATTCTCCAGGTTTATATTTGAGAGTTTTTAACCTTAAAAATAAAAGTTAGTTCAGGTAATATGTCAGCAAGAAGGTCTTATTTATATCCCTACTCTCCTGTTATGAATTATAATTGGCTGACCAAGTGGGCGAAGGATATGAACAGACACTTCTCAAAAGAAGACATTTATGCAGCCAAAAGACACATGAAAAAATGCTCATCATCACTGGCCCTCAGAGAAATGCAAATACAAACCACAATGAGATACCATCTCATACCAGTTAGAATGGTGATCATTAAAAAGTCAGGAAACAACAGGTGCTGGAGAGGATGTGGAGTAATAGGAACACTTTTACAGTGTTGGTGGGACTGTAACCTAGTTCCAACATTGTGGAAGTCAGTGTGGTGATTCTTCGGGGATCTAGAATTAGAAACACCATTTGACCCAGCAATCATATTACTGGGTATATACCCAAAGGATTATAAATCATGCTTGTATAAGGAAACATGCACATGTATGTTTATTGTGGCACTATTCACAATAGGAAAGACTTGGAACCAACCCAAATGTCAAACAATGGTAGACTGGATGAAGAAAATGTGGCACATATACACCATGGAATACTATGCAGCTGTAAAAAATGATGAGTTCATGTCCTTTGTAGGGACATGGATGAAGCTGGAAACCATAATTCTCAGCAAACTATCACAAGGACAAAAACCACACACTGCATGTTCTCACTCATAGGCGGGAATTGAACAATGAGAACAAATGGACACAGGAAGGGGAACTTCACATACCGGGGCCTGTTGTGGGGTTGGGAGAGTGGGAAGGGATAGCATTTGGAGATATACCTAATGTTAAATGATGAGTTACTGGGTTCAGCACACCAACGTGGCACATGTATACATATGTAACTAACCTGCATGTTGTGCACATGTACCCTAAAACTTAAAGTATAATAATAAAAAAATTGCTGACCTCATAATTGAAAAAGAATCTTTTGTTGAATACCTAGTGAGATCTCTGATTATGTAATCTTAGCTGTATTTCTGGCATTTTTGATAACTTTCTCATGCTAAATACCTGGCTTTTAAAATTTCAAACTTCATCAACTTAGATAGGGATAAGAACTTCCTGGCTTTACATAAGCTTGATGGCTTTCTTGGGGTGGATCTGTGGTCATGGGCTGTATGTGGTCTTCCTGGCTTTGCCAATCTTCACACTTCTCCTTGATTTAAAAGATAACTGTCAGAGCTGTACAAACAATAGACTGCTATTTTATTGAATATTGAATTCTACTTTCTGATTGAGAAACCCTGGACCCTCTATTTTAAAGATATAAATATAACAATTGAGATTTATAAATTATAGACTAGCTTTTTGGATAGGAGCATGTCTATGCTTTTATCTCTTTCCTGTGGACATAGATTGACCATTTAAATACAACCCAAACTCTTCCTTTTTGATAAAGAAGTATTATCTGTAAATATACAGAAAGTGCAGTTCTGGACTATGGATGCAACTTCCGATCTGTGTAAACCATAAACTTTCTCTGTCTATTGAGATCTAAAGTTTACACTTGGGTAAGCTATGACAGTCTTTTTTTTTTTTTTTTACCTTTTGGGATAGAGTCTTGCGCTGTCACCTTGCTGGAGTGCAGCAGTGCAATCACGGCTCACTGTGACCTCTGTCTCCTGGGTTCAAGCAATTCTCCTGCCTCAGCCTTCTGAGTAGCTGAGATTACAGGCACCCACCACAATGCCCAGGTCACTTTTCTGTTTGTATGTATTTTTAGTAGAAGTGGGCTTTCTCAGCATATTGGTCAGGCTGGTCTTGAACTCCTGACCTCAACTGATCCACCCACCTATGCCTCCCAAATTGTTTGGATTACAAACATGAGCCACTTTACCCAGTCTGTAACAGCCTATTATAAAATGTGGTGTTGGGTTTATCCAAAGCTGTGTGTTCTTTTTGGCCTGGATATAGCTACAACATTTCCAGCTCTCTAAACTCTAACCTCCCTTACATGCTCTTTAAAGTATAAATATTGCTATATCAGAAGCAGGCAAACTGTGATCTCTTAACCGTCTTTAACCAACTGTGGTGGGGGCTTACTATGAGCAGAGAGAGACTTATCATAGAGTAACAGTTCAGAGCAAGAGCTTTGGCGTCAGACTTGGGCTTGAGTGCAAGCTTCACAGTCAACTGTAACCTGAGAAGGGAGAAGAGTGAGCCCTTCCCAGTTGTTTTAGATGATATTGCTAGTATGGTAGCCTGCATATGGCTAAATGCTCAGCCATGTAAACAAAAGTCTTATTATTAAGTTTTCCCTGGGGCTATATATTTTACTTCAGCTAAATGCTGATATTCATAGAATCGTGTAGAAGAATAGGTAGGTATAAAGAAATGCAATGGTGCATTTATATTTTACAGAGTTCTTGAGGCTCTTGAGATTAATGGTGGCAGTAAATTCATCACTTTTTAAAGTAATTCTCCTTGGAGATGGTGAATTGGGAGGTGAAGTTGGGAGAAATTCACTTATAAATAGATTTTTAACTAATAAGTTTGATATAGAGCTATTTAAGACAATAGATGTGAAATTTTTAAATAAGATTTGGAAGTGGATAAACATTTTGGTGCCACGCAGATTTGGGACATGTCAGGTCAGGAGTGATTCTAAAGCCTGAGGACATCATTTTACAGAGATTCTGTCTGCCGCCTGCTTACTTTTGTTATCGATGATTCACAAAGCTTCCAGAACTTTAGTAACTGGAAGAAAGAATTCATATATTATACAAATGTGGAAGAACAAGAGAGCTTTCCTTCTGTGGTTCTGAATAACAAGACTGACATAAACAAACAGCAGGTGTCTGCAAAATAAACCCAAGCTTGTGCATGGATGACGGCTATTATTTTTACTTTGAAACAAGTGCAAAAGGTGCCACAAGTGCAGCAGCAGCCTTTGAGGAGGCGGTTTGAAGAGTTCCTGTGAACAAGGTTTGTTGGATCAGTTGACACACACAGACACAGTCAATCTTCATTGAAAGCCCAGGACTAGCTCATCTTGCCGTGAATTTTTAGAGGTTGTTGATGCATTCTAATCAACTCACAGGTATACACAAAATCACCACGGGGATAAAAAAAGAATTAGCGTTTGCAGCAGTGTATCATCTACTAATAAAATTCAAAGAATAGATTGTCCTTCTATATTAGCTGGTGGGAGAAGGGACACAGCCACTCATGGAAGAACATATTTTCTCAATAATGACACTTTACATCTATAAAGTTGTATTAAAATTGTAATGTTTTCAAGAACATTTCTTTGATTTACATATATAGATTACAGATCTCAGAAATGAGATAACCAAGACTAATTATAATTAAAATAAGAAACTTGACTACTCTAGAAGTTATACCTGAATTTTTTTCTTGGGAAAATGTAGTACTACTTTTTACATATACAAGATTTTATGCAATTAGCATTGCATTCTTGGTTCAAGGAAATAATTTCCTAAAGCAAAAATGTTAGATATTGAAGACTAAAATCTAATGTATTTTCAGTAGATTGTTACTTCATTTACTTCATCACTCTCTTCAAAATTACTTAACCTTCCCTATTTTTATTCTACATTTCATTAGAATTACTCTCACTAGTAATTACGTAACACTTCTGTGCCATGAATGCACCTCTACCCCCATAGATCATGTTCCACAGCTCCAGGAGAAGGGTGGGCCCCCAGTGTACAAGAGTTGCTTCATACATTTAGTCATACATCCAGCTAAACTTGGGCTATCCATGAGTGGAAATCATTTCCATAGACACAGTTCAGTTTTAAGAAAAAAGCTAACTACTGAACTTAGAGAACAGACAAGCGTGCATTTGATAACTGATGTACCAATTACAATGTGCTGTGTGGAGGATACAAAATTACACTTCCACTAATGGACTAGTTAATATTTATGTTGCTTTCTTTAACCTTAGGGAAAGCCTCCTAGTTGCAGTTAAACTATTGTTTTTTAACATAAGACACAGGCTAACCTTATGTCTCCCGAGAAAATACTAAGGATTGTACTTTGTCAGAAGGTACATAAAGACAACTTTATTCAGCTGTGTATTTACTTAGTATCTTATCTATCACTGAACATTGTTTAGTTATTTATCTCAGGAATTTTTGTTGTTGTTGTTCTTCCAAAGAGACTCGCTCCAATGATCATACTTGTTGAAGCAAATTGTGGTCTTTCATAGATGAAGTTCATATGCTGTGCAGTTGGTGACTCTCTGATTCTACGGAGGCTAACTGAAGCCTAGCCTAAGTGTGAATGAGACCCTCAACTGGGGAATGATGGGGATATCAAAGAACACTCTGGGTGAGGGCAGCTGGCTGTCATATAGGGAAAGGGTTTTTAAAAAATTACATTGAAACATTTCTCTTCTTGGCTCCACCCACTGGGAATCAATGTAAAAACATTCTGGTAAGCTAAGTTTTTTAAAGTCTAATATCCTAAAATAAGGGTCGAATTTGCCATCTGAAAACATTTTATGGAAAATACAATAGAAGTTTGCTGGAGAACAAAGCAGGCGGTGAGTGTGCAGCTGGAGTGGAGATAAGCTGCTGCAGAGCCTCTCTAGACAAAAGAGCCATAGATTGTCCTCCATACTTTGATGAAAGGGTGGAGCCCTGTGATACAGGAGTTGCTCCATACGGTCTGTCATACATCCAGCGAGGTTCGAGCTATGAATGAAAGCTTTTCCCTTGAGAGAGATTAGGATTTTTTTTTAAGGCTAACTACTGAACTTTGAGAACAGACAAATGAGCTTTGCATTATTGATGCAACGTGCTGTTCAGAGGGTACAAAATTCCAAATTCATTAATGGACTAAATATTTTTGTTACTTTTCTTCCTTAGGGAGAGATTCCTAGTTGAAGTTAAAACATTCCTACTCTTTCTTGTCTTAGAGAAAACCTTCTTATGTTTCTGTACAAACTAAATTTTCACTTTCATATTATGACAACACCATGTTAGTTGTGTCACAGTATCCATGTATTGCAGAGTAGTAAAGTGTTAAGCAGAAAAATGCACCAGTGTGGTACCCACAGAAAGATGGTGTCTGGACACTCGGTAGTTTCTGGAACTCAGAACTGACAGACAGGGAATGCTGAAGTGACTGAAAGTTTGAAGAGTGCAGGGACAGCATGGGCAGAACAGAAATTGATAGTGTCTATGTCCACGCCAAAGAAGTATTCTAGGAATTTTCCAGCTATAGCAAGAGCACAAACCTCGATGTGTGCATATTATCTGGATTATTTTTGGAGCAGGAAAGTAGATAACCAACTTAGTGCTAACATAGATGTGCTCAGGGGAACCAAATTACAAAACTGATCTCACCCTATTCCTCTTGCATTAAATAACCTTCCAGAGATATCACTTACAAGATCCAAGCTTTTTCAACTTATCTTTCTTCATAATCTTCTCCTATCTATCAGCTCTCAGTTCTACACTTGTGCCCCAGTGCCCTTCTTCATGCCAGCACACCCGCAATGCTTTCCTCTGCAGCCCACGTTGGAAGTCCCACTCAATGCTCCACTTCCCTTCCAGCTCCTTCAAAGTACCAGTCACACAGAAAAATTGGCATTTAACTTTAATAATATACACATAGGAAGTGTATTACTAGTTTCTACGTCACATTCACCATCTTGAAGAAAAGGTTATTTTCAGCGTACCACTGTTGTTCAGCTGAGCCATGACTTCCCACTGTCAGTCATCCTACTGCTCTTGGCTGGCTTGCATCACAGCCCTCTGAATTATATGTTCACAGAGGCCAGAACCAACAATATTAAAAAATACATGTTTGCTGAAATTACTCTCAGATTTGTAGATGAGTATGTACCTTTTTCTGCTCCCAAAGCTCCGACATTTAGTGTGAGTTAAGCTGAGTGCTGTATAACAGGTTAGGATATCATACAAATTTGCACACTACCAATAGAGAAAACAGGACAAAAACAGTTGTAGTGGGCAGCACTTTAAATAGTAGGTTGGAGGGCTGTTCGTGGGGGCTTATGCCAGTAATTGCAGGACTTTCAGAGGCCAAAGTGAGTAGATCATGAGGATAGGAGTTCCAGAACTGCCTGGGAAATGTGGTGAAACCATGTCTCTACTAAACACAAAAATTAGTCAGGCATTGTGGTGGGTACTTGTAACCCCAGCTACTTGGGAGCCTGAGGCAGAGAATTGCTTGGTCCCAGGAGGTGGAGGTTAAAGTGAGCCAAGATCACGCCACTGCACTCCAGCCTGGATGACAGAGAATAGATCATATATATATATATATATATATATATATATATATATATATATATACACATACATACACACACACACACACACACACACTATATATACATAGATACATACATATACACACATTATGTTATATATTGTGTATATCTATATGGGGCACACACACACACATATATATAAACACACATACATACACACAAACACATATATTAGACCGAATGCAGTGGCTCACACCTGTAATCCCAGGGGTCTGGGAGGCCAAAACTGGTGGACCACAAGGCCAAGAGTTCAATATCGGCCTGGACAATATGGTGAAACATTGTGTCTACTATAAAATGAAAGTTAGCCAGGTTTGGTGGCAGGCACCCATATTTTAAGCTACTTGGGAGTCTGAAGCAGGAGAATCACTTTTACTTGGGAGTCGGAGATTGCAGTGAGCTAAGATCATGACACTGCACTTCAGCCTGTGTGACAGAGTAAGACTCCATTACAAAACAAACAAGAAGGACAAAACAAAACAAAAAAGAAGGACATCAAACTACCACAATCTTGAACAAACGTCTTTATTGAAGAAATCTAATAAATAAAGTAAAAATGATGGTAACAATTTAACACAAGGACACAAGAAAAAGCTTAGAATTATTTACTGAAAGGCAATTAAGATTGGAACTAAATCATTGAAGTTCTCATCAGTATCACAGATGGTATTACCTGCTTTTCAATGAACATTAATGAATTTATACTAAGATCTTATCCTGGGAAAAAAGAAATCATTCTCACCCTTTTCTGTTTTATTGTCTTATCCTCTCAAAGTGCTGACATTACAAGCATGCCCAGGCATATTCCAAATGTTTTATAAAACTTCTGCCACTTCCTCCACCTTTTCTTCACCAAAAAAACAAGTATTACTTAGAATTTCAATATATAATACAAATAATACAACTGTCATAACTGAAGCACCTGTGTTGATATCAGTACGTACTCATGGTCTGGATTTTTTCAAAGATACTAAGCACTGAAGAAGTGTCTTTTTGGCTTCTTGAGTACTGCTGTGTATACTACTATACATTTTTATAGTATCTCTGCATGCATAAACATGTTAATATGAATATACATGCTATCATATTTTCTTCCCCACTGCAGAATAGTATTGTTTTGAATCTGTCTACCAAATCTACACTGACATTTATTTTTGGGTAGTTACATAAAGATAAACCTATCTGGGATAGGCATGGTGGCTCATGTTTGTACTTCCAGAACTTTGGGAGGCTGAGGTAACTGAATCACTTGAGATCAGGAGTTGCAGACAAGCCTGACAGACTTGTAATAGATGTAGTAGGCTTAGGTCTCTAATAAAAATATAACAAAGTACAAAACTACCTGCCTACTAAAAATACAAAAATTAACCAGGAATGATGTTGGGCACTTGCAGTGCCAGCAAATCAGGAGACTGAGTTGGGAGAGTCTCAATGGTTGCAGTGAGCCAAGATTACAACCTTGAGCCTATGCGACAGATTGGAGACTCCGTCTCAAAAAAAAAAAAAAAAAAAAAAGGAGTGGACCATCCGTCTTTAGTGACTATTTGGTCACAGAAAAATCAATTCCTGCCAGTTTATGATCTTTGTTAACAGAACATTAACTTATTTGTAAAGTAGATGGAAACATCTTAGATTCAATTATGAAGTAGTTTTCCCTGATATAGGCTGCTTCCTTGGCCTCTTTAGGGTTCCCTAATAGTGTCAGCAATGAACACCAAAAGGGGAAGAATGAAAACAATTTATTTTCACAACCATTCATAATAACTACCATGAGTTGTGTTTCTAAATACCTATTCAACTGTCTGTGAAGACTCACTTGCCATAAGAGTTGCCAGAGATACCTCTGATATGGAAAAGTTTGTCTGAAAGGTAAACATACAGCCAAAGGAAATTATGTTGATAGGCCAGTTTCCTGACAAAGATCAAATTCATTTTGTAATTGTCAGATTTAAAAAATTATAGTAAATATCATACTTTTATATGTAAATGATAAACACCAGCAAAGAAGTGCTTTATTTCATCTTCTTGCCTTATGTCATGAAGCATAATAAATCTCATATGTAACATAATTAAGGCAAAATCTTTCACAAAAATAAAAAACAAAAAGAAATCAGTTCCTTGATGCAATAGTCTTCAAATTAGAAACACACAATATATTAGTGATGAAAGAATTGAATACAAAACTGGGTTTAAAATTAGCTTAGTTTTATCGTAAAGAGAAAATAAACTTTCAAAGTCAGAAAATAACTATAAAATAAAGTTAAATAACTTGTGATATGATTCAGATAAACTTTTTTGTGGTATGAAACTTAGTTTTATAACTAGCTGTTTTACAATATGTCCCGTTCCCCAGTAAAATAAATGTAGCACCATAAATGATAACTTTTACTTTTATACCTGACTGCGAAGTCTGCAGACTTGGAGCATGGCATCTCTGTTCCATGTTCTTCTAGTTTGTGAACCCAAACTTTAGTTATCTTTACTAAAAATGTCAGGATATGTCCTGCAGTGTTGAATGCTGACACAAATCCCTCATTGATCTTGTCCACAGTTTTCAAGTACATGTTGCTCAACAGCCACATGTTCTCATCTATGAGGTTGACAGCAGCATGAACTACGAACTCGTTCAGATCATGATTATTGTCCTAGATGACAGTGTGAGAAACAATGGTTTAACATTTTCATATGGCATGAAGAATGCTGACATTACATTCTGTAAAGTGTGTAGGTTCTTTCTTTGTGGAGGAAAAAAACTGTTTGCTTTTTGTTTGTTGTTGTTTCAAGAGAAATATAAGAGATCTGTTTTCATGTTCTATTTTATTTTTAAATTTGATATCTAAATCTCAAAGAACAGAAACAGTCAACTAATAAACAAAACGTGTGTATAAGTATATATCCTGTGAAGAAAAGGTGCCATTTACAGCAGGTCTCAACATCTAGGAGGAAGCTAAGAAAGCCAGGCCTTTTGCAAAGTAGCACCATGTAAGCAGTAGAGACAGTTGAAATGGCACTTGTAATGGCTACAAGAAGCTTCTTTCCAGTGCATGGAGCTTACATGCAAGTGGGTCCTGGGAGTAGCTGGAGATGATGCTAAGCCACAGCTGCAAGCAGTTGTGTTTGTCAACAGCAGGACACAGTTCTGTCAGAGCTGCTAGTGTCCTTTACCTTTGCTGAAATGGCTAAACTGAACAGAAGGTGGGACTGTCTGATTATCATGAAAAGAGGGTATTCACCACCTGGAACGCAATCTTACTCCAATGTAAGACTGAAATAAGAGTTTTTGAAGGACACCTCACTTATGGCTTGAAGTTTATCCTCTCAAAATGTTTTTGGTGAAGTCTTCAGTGACAGTACCTCAGAATGTGACCTCATTTGGAAAAAGGGTTGTTGTAGATGTGGTTACTGTGTTTACATTGCAGTAGGGTGAGTCTCTAATCCAACCACTGCTGTATTTAAAAAAGGGAAAATTTAGAGATGCACACAAGAAGAAAAATGCCACATGAAGACTGGAGTTACATTGCCACAAGCCAAGGAACTTCCAAAAGCTGGGAGAGAGGCCAAACAGATCCCGGTCTTGCTGCATGCATAGGGAACAGGGCTCCACTGACACCTTGATTTCAGACAGCGGCCCTCAGAAGTGAGATAACCAATTTCTGCTGTCCAAAGCCATTCCGTTGCTGGTACTGAGTTACAGAAGCCACAGGAAACCGGGACAGGCTCTTTGCTGAAGAGGTTGTTCCCATTCCTGGGGTGGATGAAGGTGGCTTGTTGCATTGAAATCCCCTGCACTATAAAATCATGTTTTACTTCACTCATGTTGCCATGAAAAAGCTAAGGGGATCCTTAAAAGAATGCATTTTTCTCTTTCTGGCTCACAGCAGTGTTTTTCTTTACAATGATCATCAATCCTGAAGGATTAGGAGAAAACTGTGAAAATGCCTTAACAAGATGAGCTGTAGCAGGAGAAAGAACTAAAATCAACTTATGCAACAAAGTATTTTTATGTGTGCTCCTTGTCCATCACAAGGCCAGTGGAGTGCACAGAAGCTATATATAAATAATGGCATCCCAGAAAGCAATACTACTACAAGTATTCAAAACGAGTTTTAATGATTAGTGTCCTCAACTTAGGAGAAAATAATGTTGCAACAACATCTGGCAGATAATCCCAACTATCATATTTTGGTGACAAGACCTAAAGAGTTGAAAAGTATGACACAGTGAACATTATACATTACAATTAACTTAAACCATTAACTCCTTGAAAGACATCAAAGAAAATTTGGGGCATTGATAGAAACAGACCAACCGAGCCCACAAATTATTAGAAACATAAATAGGAAATGACTGCGTACTTCTCATGTGAAAACTCTAAAGTCTGTTTATTCTGAATGGCAACATGGTCTCTGACCAAGCCTGGTTTTTGAACCATTCTTGATGAGAAAGGTGAGTGTCATCACCTCTGGTGCTGCTTTTGAGCTTCCTGTGCATTGCCATGGTGTCGCTAGGGAGGGAAGCATGCATGCACAACCCATCCCGGAAGTGCTGCTGAAGGTAACTAAGGGTCTTTTTTTTTTTTTTTTTTTTTACCCAGTATTTCCTCATGAAAGACATATTCATGAAAACTGCCCGGACTTTCATGGCTGGCATTTCAAGGTAGCAACCCACTACAGGTGAACTACATGTTTGAGTGCGTAAGCAGCAGCAATTCATAGTGTGTGACATATGAACTGAATATCATAGGAATGCCAGAGGTCATGCTAGTCTATGCTGAATTGAAGGATAAATAAAACAACTCCAAAGGTATTCCCTGGCTGGCTTCTATCCATCTGTGTGTGCTATAAATATAAATTTTTACAAATGCAAGAGACTATGATATGCCTCTTGAAACACCAATTTATAGACAGGAAGTTTTGTATTCTGGAAAAGATGGAAGAAATAATCCATAAGGAAATACAATCTGAGGCACTGGAGATTTTGCAATGAAGTTTAACAGATTGGGCCAGGTGTAGTGGCTCATGCCTGTAATAGCAGTGCTTTGAAGGGTGAGGCATATGGGCTGCCTTAGCCCAGGAGTTTGAGACCAGCCCAGACAGCAGGATGAAACAAGGAATACACCTATACAAAAAATACAAAAATTAGCAGAGCATGGTGGTATGTGCCTGTAGTCCCAGCTACTCTGGAGGCTGATGGCAGAGGATCCCCTGAGGCCAGTGGGGGTCCAGGTGGCAGTAAGCTCAGACACAACCACTGCACTCTGTCCTAAGGGACAGAATGAGACCCTGTCTTGAAAAAAAATTCTAAAGACTGGCAAAAGAAATAGAACTATAAGAAACTGGGGAAAAATATAAGGTATTTCATGGTTTCTAGAACCGATAGTAACTGAAATAGAGATGAATCATGGATGGGTAGGAGTGTGGATGGATATAGACCATGGTAACCCCAAAGTGTGTATTTTAACACAGGGGTTTTGTAGTCAAACAACGTTAAGTTTAAGTCTAGCTCCTATACTTACTGGCAATTTGAGCACAAGCAGCCCTCAAACTCCTAATGTTGGTTTTCTCCTCTGTAAAATAGTGGTAACTTTGTAGCCCCTCATGGTGCATTTATGAAGGTTACACAATCTAATGTACATAAAGTAGATGACACAATTTCTGACTCAAAGTATGTGCTCAATTAATGTTATCTAGAATAACCTGGAAGGCCATATGCACACTGGGATGTGGTGACTACTAACTTCTGAACATGGGGTGGAAACCGAATAAACCAGGACTTAGTCAATATCCTGCAACTTACAATTGAGGTGTCTTAGAAGCCTAGACTCATCAAGATTCACTGGGCCTTCTCCTGATTCACATACACACAATGAAATCAGAAGAAACCTGATACGTACTTGCTAATGAATGGCATATAATAATGTTATGAAAGAAATCAAGACACTGCTGGCACTTTTCACTTTAGAATTGGAAGGCTATACATGTGGAAGGAAAGGCAGATAGAAGAGTCTTGGTATGGTGAGGTAGGCTTAAAATACTATTTGAGGTGGGGGAATGTAGCCTTACACACTTTATTGCTACCATCTAAGGCTGCTTTCATTCTTCAATGGCGGAGTTAAGCACCTGCAACAGAGACCAGTTGTCCCACAAAGCCAACAATATTCACTATCTGATTCTCAAAAGAAAATATGTGAGGCTGTTTCAGGAGAAAATTGAGAAAGAAATTAAGATAGAAAACGTGGTTAACAAAGATGAGCAGAAATGACACAAAAGCTTTGCAAAACTAGATGAACTGGCCATAATTCTCCAGAGAAGGTAATGGAAGAAAGTATGGGGAGTTGAAATTTGAATAAAGTAGACAATGATATCATGAATTTTTGCTGCATTAGATTTCAAAAATGAGGTGGTCAACAGAAGGGCTTGTTATTTTCTTCAACATTTAAGCAGCAGCAGCAAGAAAAAAAGCAAAAAGAAATGTGTGTGTGTCTCAGTTTCAGTGTGTGTGTGTTTGAGTGTGTGTGTGTGTGTGTGTGTGTGTGTGTGTTTACATTTAAGGGAGATAACATGCATCTCTACACTCACTTCTATAGGGAAAGCCACAAATGGGTGAGAAGCATGATGCTAAGTCAGCAGGAAGACAGACAGAAAGGGAACCAAAAGGCTAATTGAGGGGGCTATTACCAACTACCCAGATGGCAGAAGATAAGACAGCACTTTGTTTATATACATCCTGTGCTTGAGTTGAGCTGCCAATTTGGTTTTGGTTTTGTAAACAGCTGAAGAAGCAAGAAGGGCTGTAATTTTTCATTTACTTCCACCAAGGAAAAACTGACACAGTGAGAGAATTGAAAACTCTAAGAGAAAAGGACCCAGTTGCCTTGGGAAGGGAATAGCTGCAATCATGTACCAAATACTTGAAGGTGTCCGGAAAAGGTAAGACATACACTAGGATTCTGCACTGTCCAATCTGTGAGACTTTCTGCAAGGATGCAAATGTTCTACACTTGTGCTGACCAATATGGGAGCCAGTGAGCATTATAAATGGGGCTAGTGTGACTGTAAAACTATTTTTTAATTTAATTTTAAATGAACAATAATAGCCACATATGGCTAGTAGTTATGGTACTAGACATCACAGTTCTAGATCAGTGATTCCAAGATGGTGGTATGATCTTTGCTTACTGCAACCTATACCCACTGGGTTCAGGAAATTATCCTGCCTCACCCTCCTGAGTAGCTGAAATTATAGGCATGCACCAAGAGGCAAGGCTATGTTTTGTATTTTCAGTAGAGACAGATTTCAAACTCCTGGCCTCAAGTGATCTGCAGAACTCAGCCTCCCAAAATGCTGAGATTACAGGCCTGAGCCACCGGGCCAAGCCCAATTCCAAACATTTTATAAAGTTCTGTGACTTCCTCCACCTTCTTTTCACCCACAAAGCAAGTACTACTTAGAATACCAATATATAATACAAACAAAGCAATTGCCATGACCCAAGTACCTGCATTGGCATGAGTGCATATTCATGGTCTGCTTGATTTTCCCATTGCCTTAAATAAGAGCATTTGAAGCCTCTCCAAGGAAGGGTTGGCCCAGAGATGTTGAGGAGAAAGCTACAGAGAATTTGAGAATAGGTTAATTTGAAAAATTGTGGACAAGAGAGGGGTCTAGGATAATTTCCAAATGCCTATCTGAAGGGAACAAACAGAATAGTGGTCCTTCTTCTAAGACATCCTCATCCAAATCTATGGAACTTGTGAGTATGTAAGGGCTCATGGCAAAGAGGAATTAAAGTTGGTCAACAGCTGACCTTAAGATAGGAAGATTGCCCTGGACCATCCAGGTGGACCCAATGCTATTACAAAGGCCTTAAAAAAGAAGATGAAAGCAAAAAAAAGGAATGTCAGAGGAAAGTGATGGAAGAATGGTCAAAGCAATGTGATGTTGAAGGGTTTGAAAATGGACAAAGGGAGCACAACGAATGAATGCAGGAGCCCCCTAGAAACTGGAAAGCACAAAGAAACAGATTCTTCCCAAGAGCCTCCAAGGGGAACTCAGTGCTTTGGACACTTTGAATTTAGCCTATAAAAGGCCAGCATTGGATTCTTATGCTACAAAATTGTAAGATGATACGTTTTTCTTGTATTAAGCTACTGAATTTATAATAATTTGTTACAAGGGCAGTAGAAATCTAACATAGGACAAAGCACACACACAAGAAAACACACAGATATGGGAGAGAAGGAAGGAAATTTAAGGAAGCTTCAGCAAATGAGTAGAAGGCACATTCCATGAAGAGACTGGATACAAAGGGAATTCATCTGCTGGGGCAATGGGTTTCAAGGCACTGTGGAAAAGGTGTGGTACAGAGTCAATAATGCATCAAGGTGAAAACATTTGGAGAAATTTGGGGATGAGAGTGTGAGAAAGAACATGGGCTGGGTCTTCTCCACTTCTCCACCTTCCAACCTCTAACACAGAAACTGATACACAGTAGGTGCTCAGTGCTTGCAGAATAGAACTGGAGTGTGGGGGAAGGGGCTTCAGGTTAGACAGTGTTGTCAGAGTATCCTGAAATTCAAGAGTGACAGACATGGGGGGATTTCAGTGTTAAGTAGCCTCAACAGTGCAAAGAACCTTCTGAAAGTTTCAGTGCTGAGGCCTCAGTGGTTTCAAAGGCTCCATGATGAAGTCTTGTTCAGGTGGTCAACATCACCTTTGTGAAAACATAATCGAGATTTTTTTAAGGTACTCATGAAGAAATCTTCCACGACAAGAAATTCATCTTGGTGACTGATTAGAGGGAGCCAGGAATCTCACTTACGGTGAAAAGAGCAACTCTCCGGTTGATTAGGGCAACCTCGTCTTTTAAGAGGGAAAATGCTAAAAAAATCCAGTTGGTGATAAAGAGAGCTCTCTGACTACCATAAATTTGAAGAGTCCACATACAAGATGTCAGAAGTAGGAAACTAGCTAATAATGAACATAAGCATAGGACCAGAAATCAGTGTGCCTATCATCAGAAAGGCAGAGACCTACAATGAGCTGAAGTGTGGTGTGTGTGTGTGTGTGTGTGTATATATATATCCATATATACCCATATGTGTATATATATCCATATTATCCATATATATATCGATATATATGCATATATATCCATATCTATCTATCTATATATATATATGTAAAAAAGAGGCTTCTTAGGCTATGATAGGGAAAAATAAGAGCCAAGGATCAACTGCTTTGAGCACCTGGTACACACTGAAATAATAGAGGCTACCAATCTGCTTGATTTCTTCTTTCTCTGCTAGAAAATAAATAAAATAAAATAAAATAAAATAAAATGAATAAAAAATCAATATTTTTTTGTTCTGTATTGCATTAGTAATCTAGGTACACACAAAAAAATGAAGTTACAGCATTTTGAATTTTATTAGTAGCCATAAATATTGAACTATATATGGAGAAACGAGTGATATATTTTTTAAAACACACTTGGGAGCCTTTAACATGTTTTTGTTCTTATTTTACTTAGAGTCCTGGGATACATGTGCCGAATGTCCAGTTTTGTTACATAGTAATACCTGTGCCATGGTGGTTTGCTGCACCTATGAACCCATCATCTATATT
Source organism: Homo sapiens (assembly GCF_000001405.40). NCBI lineage: Eukaryota > Metazoa > Chordata > Mammalia > Primates > Hominidae > Homo > Homo sapiens. Next base: position 18,663,173 of record NC_000024.10, read on the forward strand.
TTAATCCCCACATGCATTAGGTATTTATCCTAATGTTCTCCTTTCCCTTGCCTTCCACACCATGACAGGCCTCAGTGTGTGATGCTCCCCTCCCTGTGTCCATACGTTCTTATTGTTCAACTCCCACTTACTGGTGAAAACATAGAGTGTTTGGCTTACTGTTTCTGTGGTAGTTTGCTGAGGATTATGGTTTCCATCTTTATCCATGCTCCTGCAAAGGACCTGAACTAATCCTTTTTATTGGTGCCTAGTATTCCATGGCATATATGTGTCATGTTTTCTTTATCTAGTCTATCATTGATGGGTATTTGGGTTGATTTCAGTCTTTGTTATTTTAAATACTGCTGCAGAAAGTATCATAATGGTGCACAGGCAACCTACAGAAAGGGAGAAAAAATTTGCAATCTATCCATCTGACAAAGGTCAGGATATACAAGGAATCTATCCAGAATCGACAAGGAACTTAAATTTACAAGGAAAAAGCAAACAGCCCCATCACAAAGTGGGCAAAGGATATGAACAGACACTTCTCAACAAAAGACATTTATGCTGCCAACAAACACGAGAAGCAGCTCATCATCACTGGCCAATAGAGAAATGCACATCAAAACCACAATGAAATACCATCTTAGCTCAGTTAGAATGGCAACCATTAAAAAGTCAGAAAACAACAGATGCTGGCAAGGATGTGTAGAAATAGGAAGGCTTTGACACTGTTGATGGCAGTGCAAAGTTTCTCAATCATTGTGGAAGAGAGTGTGGTGCTTGCTGAAAGATGTAGAACCAGAAATACCATTTGACACAGCAATGTCATTACTGAGTATACGCCCAAAGGATAATAATTGACTTTTCAAACAGCAAACATGGAAGAAACAAGGTCAAGCTGTCTGTGAACCTTGGGATATAGGTATATTAAAATATTTCAATAGACATTTAAATAAATCCATGGTGTCAGGTCCTGGTAAATCATATATTTTGGATGAACAAATGGGATTGCCTAACTTTGGGTCAGTGCTGTTTTAAAAATTGCAAGAAAACTGCCATATTATCTGCTAGGTTGAAAGCATTTCCTATTTTCAGAAAGAGGAAAAAACGCACATCTCCTTGGCTACAACAGGGTACAATCAGAGTGACCCAAAACAACAAGAGAAACATGTATTAAATGCCTCTTTTCAGTCATATCCCATGCACTTTTATTATACACTGACTAATTTAATGTGAATCCTAAGATAAGAACAGATTATTATTCTTTCACATACTCCTGGTTATACTGAGAACAAGAACAAGTCATGCCAAACTTACCGCTTGTTTTTTCTTTCTTTTCTTTTTTCTTTCTTTCTTTTTTTTTTTTTTTTTGAAGGGAGGTGTTGTAGGTAAACTGAAAAACCGAAATTCATTTTAAGAAATAGTTAGGTATCCTCCTATGGACAAACAGGAGACCTGGAGCCTCAGTGAAAATTCAAAATATTGCTAGCATGATGTCTTCTGTTAGAGCAGATAAACCATTGGTGTCATTCACTGTGGTATCTCTACAGCTATAAGACTGACAGAAACTGAAAAATTACTCATAATTGCTGAATGAGTAATTGCTCATAGCTGACTTCAGGGTCAATACTCAGAGAACATTGGGTGTTCCATGTCACTGTATGGCACAGAGTTCCTAGGAAGGCTTTGAGGTTGAGCTTAACCCAATCTAGATCGCATTTAAATTAACTTGAAAGAAGACAAATTACAATATTCAAAGATAATACCAAGGGCTGCTAATTTATTAGAAGGCAGAAATTGGATTCAAAGTGATCTCCATGGCACAGAGACTTAGGTGACTCTAACAAGATTGAAGTTAGGAGAATAAGAAATGAAACCCTGGGCTTAAAATCAACCTTTCAACAATAGGACAAAGGAAACCTAGATTAGATACAGTTTATCTGTATCAACACAAAAGTGTGAACTTAATGCAAGCTCAGTAGAGCTAAAAGTCTGGTAGGTTTTTCAAGTAAGCTAATGCAATTCTGTTTGGTTTTAAGAGGAAAATCAAGGAGAATGGTGATTTTCTTTTTGAGGAGATCAATAAGTCTTTCCTGTGTGTGTTAAAGGGAAGAGGTGGGCAGCACTGAGGCTAGGGAATGCTATGCAAAAAAGACAAGAGCAACTGAAGGGACTGAGGGTGTTTAAGTGTTTTTTGGGGACCTTTTTGTGGTGGAAAGGGAGTAGGGTACAGCACAGTACTTTCATTAAATACAATAAGCTGTCTAATGGGAAAAAAAAGAGAGAGATTTAGCTCAGGATGACAAATAAATTTCCTTCATGAGTGAATCCTAATCAACTGGTAGTGACTGCCAGGAACTGGTGCTCAGAAAGATTCCAAAACTAAGTGGGATTGGTAGGAAAAAATGCTGTGATCAATTATCTATGTCTGCTATGAATCTGGGGAAGTGTAGTGCCTACATGAGGGCCAAGTATTTGCTGACACTGAAGTAGAGAGACTTGTTCCAAACTGTTACATAGGTTAAGCCAAGGGCTGCTCATGTGGACTCACTGAAAACTATAATCTAAGGGGTGGCTGGAACACCACCAGTGCCAGAGTGAGGGGATGCTGAATGACCATGGAAGTCACTGTTATTATTTTAAGTTTCAGGTAAATGCACAATAAAACTCATGGATTCCAGTGCCAAAGACATCCCTTTTTTGTAACAAGCCTCTTTGCAGCCTCTATAGGAGAGATTCTAGAAAAACTGCCCGGTGCTCCTGACAGCAGTAGTTTCAGTCGTTCCATAGACCTGGTTTCATGAGTCTAAACATGGTATAGCATGGGACACGTCTATTGCAAGGAGGAGGGGCAGGTTGACCTCTATTGATAGGTCTCTAATGCAACATTTTCCTATTAATATTATAAGCAATTCTCCCATTTTTAGAAGTTGTGCTAGTGTTTAGACAAAACTTTCTCTAATTATATTTCTGTATTCAACTGTGGGATACAAAGTGTGGGGGAGGACAGGAGTGAGAGGGTTTTCAGTCACAGATTTATTTTTTGTTTTTAAATGGTGGACTGTTGATTCTATCTAACACATTTACAACCTATAAACCTATTTTTAGAACACTGTTTTCATCATTTCATCATTCCACTCAAAAATATGGATGTGTGTCAGGTACAGGATCATGTATTGGTATTCAAAATGGACTCCCAAATTGAAAACACATTTTTTTCTTCAGCCCTATTATTCCATCTCTGCTAGAGTTGAGTTGTTTACTTATATTTTCCCCCAAGTTTATGTTAGTTGTATCCACTTCAGGGCTACTGTGGGAAAGAGAGTTTCTGGTATGCCAGATAAGTTAGTCTCCCCTGTGTGAGATGCCCATAGGGAGCCATGGGTGACCTCTGAGGAGAAAAGTCTCCTTATTGCCTTCACGTCTTTATGTCCCAAGACCATAACAGTTCAGCGGCATGCCACAGGTTGCTTGGGGAACTAATACTCCCTTGAACAGTGGAGTACAGTCAAACATCTTGGCTTCTCCTGAAAACCACTCCCACCCATTTCAGATCTTCAGTTAAAGATCTTAAGTAGTTTAGAAACACACCTTTGCTCAAGGAAATTCACAGAAACTACCAGTGCTATACATCTTATTGGATGACTCACACATTCTCCTTCACCAATCAATCCTTTTCCTCATGTCTTCCTACCCCTCGCATCTTTCCTAAGAACAAAGAACTTGTAAACAAATAAGTTGGGAGGAGGCCAAGAGCTTGAGGTCACGAGCAAGCCTCCCAGGCTCCAGTCCCATCGATCCACCTTTTAAGCTATGATTCTGTCTCTTTCTAATTCCTTTGTCTCCTCTAGACTCAGGATATTTGCCAGATGGTGTGGGGATGGTTTCCCTATCATCTGGCACCTAACACGGGGCTCCCTCTAATCTCTACAAATAATCCAGTGAAGGAATGCCAGAATGTGGAAAGTGGAGGAGACTGACAAAGGAAGCCTGAGTACATTTTCACTTCAAGCTCTACAGGTAAGGAGGGAGCCCAGAGAAATCCAGAGTAACCTCAGGAAAATGTGGGTCAGGCTGAGACTAAGTTTGCTAATTACTTAAGCCCAGTACGGCAGTTATTGCACTATGGAGGGTTAATTGTGAGTACCCGAAATCTCATGTCTTTGTTCCATCTCATAGAAAAGTGTTCTCCTTGGTTCCCAGAATATGGAACCATGAATGTAAAAGATTCAGACAAGGTTGGATCAGACTTGAGCACAACTAGAGGGCCATGATATTCCCTTCCCCACTTGATCTGTGTGGTCAACAATTAAAACAGCACTGGAGCCTTTCCACACTGAGGAGCAGGAGAAGTTTCAGGATGACATAGGAAAGTTTAATAATCAGGAGTCTGATGATCAGCAAGTTGAACCATCACAGTCCAGTTTTAAAAAGGGGGATAAAAGGGAAGGTATATATGCTAACCTCCAAAAACTTATGAAAGAAACTGTTCCACCTAATGCAGAAACAGGGACACCTACTGCACCTTTAGGGTAAGTTTGGAATGGCCACGCCCACCTCAGCCTTCTGAATGTTTGGAACAGGACCCTGAGCCGTGGCTTGCCACTCCCATTGTTGCACGCCCCACCATTAACTATGGCGAAGGGAAATTCAGGCTCGCCCAACAGCCAATTACAGTGAGGGAGTGATCCAGGTTGGTCTGTCTGTTAATTATGGTAGAGGAATGCTGCCTGCCAGCCCAAATACAAATTATGGCATAGGGATGATCCAGGCATCCATTTGCCAGGCATGAGAAATGGAGGATTTGGATGCATGGCAGTTTCCGGTAATTATTTTGCCAGCTGAGGAGCCCAGAGAACATGCTGAAGCACGCTGAGAGCCATTTCCTTTTAAAATATTGAAAGACTTAAAGTAAGCAATTGGACAATATGGGCCAGATTCTCCTCATGTTCATTCCTTGTTAAAATCTGTGGCTTATAACCGGTGTTTAATACCTATGGATTGGGAATCATTAGCCCAGTTCACCCTGTCCTTGTCTGAATTTCTCCAATTTAAAACTTGGTGGACTGGTGAAGAAACAAATCAGGCATGCAGAAATGCTCAACACCAACCTCCCGTTAATATCACATCTGATCAATTGCTTGGAATTGGAGAGACATGGGGAACTATAAATCAACAGATGGTAATGGGTCGATGAGGCTGTTGATCAGCTCAGAACTATATCCCTAAGAGCCTGGAAAAAAAATTCATGATCCTGGTACCACTTATCCTTCTTTTAACTCAGTTTGACAGGGTCCAAGGCAGTCTTATCCAGATATTATCTCCCATTTGCAAGATACTGCTCAAAAGGGTATTTCAGATTCTCATGGCAGGAAACTGCTCGTTCAGCTGCTTGCTTATGAAAATGCTAATACAGAATGTCAGGCAGCACTTAGATCTATTAAGGGAAAGGCAGATCTAAATGAGGAAATATCTGCAAATGAATGCATTAAAGCCTGTGATGGCATTGGGGGGCACTTACATAAGGCAAGCCTCCTTGTCCAGACAATTGCTGGGCTAAGAGTAACAAAAAACACACAAATGTTCCCTGGATCTTGGTATAATTTTGGACAGATAGGCCTATACAAAAAGAGAGTGTACAAAGAGCCAAATAAGACAAAACTCAGTACCAGGCCCTGATTCAAAATGGGGCATTCCCAATTTAGAATGGGACATCCCCAACTCCAAATGGAGTGTTCCCAGCCCAGTCTATCCCTGTACAAATGTATAGCAATTGTCCCCCTCCACAGCTAAAAGTGGGGCAGTAGATTTATGCTGTACAAAAGCTGTATCCCTCCTTCCTGGGGAGCCTCCTAGGAAGGTCCCAATGGGAGATTACAGTCCATTGCCAAACGGCACGGTGGGACTTATACAGGGAAGGTCCAGCTTAAAACTAAAGGGAATTCAAGTACATACTGAAGTAGTGGACTCTGATTGCCAGGGAGAAATTCAAATAGTTATCTCCCCCACTGTTCCCTGGAGTGCTAATCCAGGTGACAGAATAGCTCAACTGTTGCTTTTACTGTATGTTAAGCTAGGAGAAAGCTCAGAAAAAAGAACAGGAGGATTTGGAAGCACAAATACAGCAGGCAAGGCTGCCTATTGGGTAAATCAAGTCTCTGACAACAGACCTATTTTTACGGTCACTATGCAAGGAAAACAATTTGAGGGTCTGGCTGACACAGGAGCAGATGTGTCGATAATAGTTCTTTATCAATGGGTGAAAACTGGCTCAAACAAAAGGCCCCAGTGGATCTTGTTGGGGTCAGGACTGCTTCAGAAGTTTTCCAGAGTACTATTATGGTACCATGTCTTGGTCCAGAAGAACAGGAAGGCACAATACAACCTCTAATTATACACACTCCTGTTAACTTATTGGGGAGAGGTCTGCTTCAACAATGGGGCACAGAAATTTCAATCCCTCCTCAACGGTATGGTCAAGCTAGTCAAAAAATAATGTCAAACATGGGCTATGTTCACATAAAAGGCCTAGAAAAGGAGAAGGGCATTACTGAATCCATACACGTTACTGTAAAAAGTGACCGAAAAGGATTAGGTTACCATTTTTAGGGGCAGTCACTGTTGAGCCTCCAAGCCCTATTCCCTTAAAATGGAAGGCCCAAATTCCTGTTTGGGTCAAACAGCGCCTGTTTTTTCAGGAATAAAATGGGGACCATACAGGAATTAGTCAAAGAGCAATTAAACAAAGGAAATATTGAGCCCACATTTTCTCCACGTAATTTGCCAGTGTTTGTAATAAAGAAAAAATCCGGCAGATGGCGCATGCTAACCGACTTATGAGCAGTCAGTGCAGTCATCCAGCCAATGAGGGTCCTGAAGCCAGGGCTTCCATCCCCAACCATGATTCCTAGAGTGTCTGTTAATAATTACAGATTTGAAGGATTGCTTTTTAAATATTCCTCTAGTGGAGTCTGATTTTGAGAAATTTGCTTTTACTACTCATGCTATGAACAACAGGAACCAGCGGCCAGATATCATTGGAAAGTCCTGTCACAGGATATGTTGAATAGTCCTATTATTGGTAAAATTTCTGTGAGGGAGGCTATTCAGCCTGTGAGAGATCAGTTTCCAGGTTCGTATATCATTTATTGTACAGATGATATACTGTGTGCGGCCGAAAATCGAGACCGACTTATCCATTGTTATTTATATATACAGGAGGTGATATATACAGGAGGTGGTAACCAATGCTGGATTGCTCATAGCACCAGATAAAATTCAAATGACTACTCCTTTCCAATATTTGGGAATGCAGGTTCAGGAAAGGGCAATTAAACCCCAAAAGGTTCAATTTTGAAAAGACTCTCTGGAAACTTTAAATGATTTTCAAGAAGTATTAGGGGATGTCAATTGGATTCTACCTACTTTGGGAATCCCTACCTATACTCTGTCTAATCTGTTCTCTATTTTAAGAGGAGACCCTGCTCTCAATAGTAAATGAGAACTGACTCCTGAGGCTGACAAAGATGATCGATCCAATTATAAGTCCAGAACACCCAGAATTGTGGAAATTAATGATGGCTCAAACCCCATTTCGGGTTTGGAAAGGATAATATAAAACAGACCCATAGTACAAAATTTTGATTTGTTGCAGCCATGACCTGTAATCGGATGGTCCCACTGCAGAGTTGTGTTAAATCTTTTATATTGGAAGTGAGAAAAATTAATATCCTACCTGACTCTCAAACCATATCATGCCTTAACTGTCACCTTTTTACCTGCATTATTTCTACCTTTAATAAAGATAACAGCATTTTTACTGGTTAGGGCCCAAGAAGGAGTTTGGATACTTGTTTCCCTCAATAGACCTTGGAAGGCCTCTCCCTCCATACATATTACCACCATTTAGTAGAAGTACTAAAAAGAATACTTAATAGATCAAGCAGATTCATATTTACTTTAATAGCTGTGCTCATGGGCCTTACAGTTGTCACAGCTACTGCTGCTGTTGCTGCTGGTGTTGCCTCCCAGACTTCTATTCCACCTGCGGGCTTTCTGGCAGAAAAATACTTCTTAGCTTTGGAATTCCCAAAGCCAAATACATCAAAAATTGGCAAATTAAGTTAATAATCTCCATCAAACAGTAATTTGGATGGGACATCAGATTATGAGTTTGGAGCACAGAATTCAAATGCAATGTGAATGGAATATTTCTGATTTTTTTTATTACTCCTGGCTCTTATAATGCCACCGAACACCACTGGGACTTGATTATATGTCACCTACAAGGAAAAGAAGATAATTTAACATTAGATATTGCTAAACTGAAAAAAAAAAAACCCAAAAACTATTTGAGGCATCTCAGGCTCATCTCAGCCTGTTGCCTGGAGCTGATATTCTTGCTGGAGACGTTGATGGCCTTTCTAATATCAACCACTTAAGGTGGATTAAAATCATAGGTGGATCAATAGTTGCAAATTTTATTTTGGTTTGTGTCTGTTTATGCTGTTTGTTTTTAGTTTACAGATGTAGATGGCACCTTGGGAGAGAAGCCAGACACTGTGAACTAGCTATGATAGCAATGGTGGTTATTAATAAAAAAAAAATTAATAGAGACCAAAAGGGGGACATGTGGGAAAGAGAGTTTCTGGGATGCCAGATGAGCTGGTCTCCCCTATGTGAGACACCCATGGGGAGCCATGGACAGCCTCTGAGGAGAAAAGTCTCCTTATTGCCTTCATGTCCTTATGCCCCCTGAGCACAACAGCTCAGCAGCATGCCACAAGTTGCTTGGGGAAATAACACTCCCTTGAAGCAGTGGAGTATAATCAGAGATCTTGGCTTCTCCTGAAACCCACTCCCACCCATTTCAGTCCCAACAAGTTAAAGATCTTAAGTAGTTTAGACACATGCCTTTGCTCAAGGAAATTCACAGAATCCACCACTGCTATACATATTATTGAATGACTCACAACTTCTCCTTCACTGATTAATACTTTCCCTCATGCTTCCTATGCCTCCCATCTGCCCTAAGAACAAAGAACTTGCAAACCAATAAATTAGGTTGAGATCGAGAGCTCAGGGCTGTGAGCAAGCCTCCAATGGCTCTGGTCCCCTGGACCTGCCTTTTAAACTCTTATTTTGTCTCTTTCTAATTCCTTTGTCTCCGCTGAACTCGGGATAGCCTCCGGGTGAGGTGGGGCTGGTTTCTCCAACAGCTACTATTATTTTTCTCATCATTACTGGAATGTTCTCCCTGATTCTGCCTGCAACACCTCCTTATCCTTTAAAATCCAACTAGGTCTATCCTCCTTCTCAACTATTTCCAACAAAAACCTGTAGGTTCTCCACTTTCTAAGAAGCCCTATCACTCTTACTGCCTCTTAAAGAGTTTTTCACAGACACAGATTAAAACTCATTGTACACTTCTACAATGCTGTGTACAAAGCTGACACTGATCCAATCTGTCCTCACAGGACTTAGATACTTTATCAGGCTTACTTCCCAGCACACAACACTGGACTCAGGGTAGATGCCTCACTGCCCCCAAGAAGGTTCTGAATTTTTGTTTGTTTTTTATTCCTTTGCTCATTTTCCCCTTCCAACAATGGTCTCCTTTTTGCCCACCACCCAAATCCTACCCAAGGCCTTGATGGAGTCACATATATTCCAAGAGATGATCTAGATCACTTCCATCTTCCACCACCTCCCCTTTACACTCCTTACTTAGTTTACCATGTTATTTTAATTCCTGCTCAATTCCCTGGCTGTAATATTTTCATTATCGATTCTGAGAGATTTGGTTTTTCTTCATTCTAATTATATTTAAGCATCATGAGGAAATGCTCACCTTCCCTCACAACACACAAGGGGTGGTACTCAAAAACGTTTACTTCTGTGGGTCTCAATCCAGATCCACCTTGCTTCCAAGAAAACATACGGCAATGTTTGGAGACATTTTTGGTTGTCACCATTGGGGTCGAAGATGCTACCGACAAAATAGCGACCAAGGATACAGCTAAATCTACAATGCACACGACAGCCTCCCTAAAGAATCTTCTGGCTCCAAAAGGCAAAAGTGGCGCCGTTAAAATACCACGGATTAGCGGAATGACCCAGTAAACCATGAAAGCAAAGCCCCCCAGAGGGCAGACACTTGCAGGTGGAAGTGCTGGCTGCATAATGAGCCGGTCAGGACCTCGCAGGTTACCCGGCTACCCCTGGGAGGGGTGGAGATACAGAACCAAACTCTTCCCTCACATAGGGCCTGAAAAGTCCCACAGGGACTCAAAACAGCTGCTCCCGACTCTTTCCATTCCCTACCTGCAGCGAGAGGCTGACAACGTATCAGTCCCGCCGCAGAGACTGAGCTCAGCAGCTTTACCGTTAATGCCCGCCCCAGGACGCACCACCCTGCCCCCCCCCACCCCCGCGCAGTTCTCCCAATACCCTGCAGACGTGCACTTGCGAGATGTGGGTGGAGCTTCCGGCGTGTGCTCAGCAACCAAGTACATTTGCCTTGTCTCTGCAGATCTGGAAGGCTGTACTTAGTAGGTCTCCAGGAGGGGCACGATGGGATGTGAGGGTAATCAACTTCTAGTCCTGCCTCGCCTACTTCCATCTCTAGTCTCCGCGTCCTCGCCCTCCAGCAGCCTTTCAGCTGTGGCTGGAAGAGAGCAAGCTCACGTGTTTGGTAGAAAACCTAGTTGAAAGTGCAAGGCAGATAGCGTTCAGCACTCTTGTTCATCCCTCAGAACAGAGGCAGGGCTCTGAGAGCAGCAATGAGCCCTCATGTTGGTTCTGCAGCCCAGGTTGGGCACTCAACTTGGGACACAGGGGGGCAAGCGAGGCAGCTCGGGAGGAAGCTCAGGCTTGATGGTGGCTCAGGAAGACACACCTGCCCCTCCTTGGGGACAGGCAGAAATGAAGTTTGGTTGATGTCCCCTCAAACCCCTTTCCTGTTAGGCCTCTTAGGGCTTCCCAGGAGGCCACTGATCTGTTTTCAGTCATTCATGTTCTCTCTGCCCCCCAGGTAACCTGTAGCCATTTTGTCTTCTAGTCCAACATGCTTCCTCTGTCTGACGTGTTCAGTCAATGTGAGCTACGCAAAAAGCTACACAAGACCTTGAAGAGTCGGGGTGTACTGGACACATTCAAGGTATGGGATTTAGGCATATTTGTGTCATAACTTTTACAAGTGCAACCTGTAACACGTAATTCACATTTAAATTCATCCAAAGTTTGGGTTTTAATAATAGTATGATATGTAGATTGTGTTTGTGAATTACATTTATATATTCCTGAATAACTCTGTCCTGAAAAACTACAGTCTCTTGAAAATACTTGAGAAAATGTTGAGTTTGAGTCAACTGAAAGGGGCATGTTCAAATAATTAATTAAAGTACCATTTTAGTAAGGTTAGGCTTGTTTTATAATTCTGGCTTACAGGTTCCTAAACATCATATAGAAAATACTAGTGTACTATTTAATGATAGTTTCGGGAATGAACAATTTTATCCTTAAACCATATTGAAATGTCTGAATATTTAATTTGGGCAGCAAATATCTACTAATATACTTTGTATGTGAATTAACAGCCAGATATAGGTTTAGCTCAACTTCTTTTTATTGCAATATGCATTTCAAAAGCATATTTTACATTTAAAATATGTAGATATATCCTGTGTATGTATCATTTTTTAATTTGAGTTATATTGAGTGAGCATTACCCTGTTTCCTTAAAGCTTTCTTGTAATCCTCATTTTCACTTTCAACAGGCTTAAGTTTGGATATTTTTGTAATATACGTGGCAGTCCCTTGTTTTTGAATATTTTGATTACATTCTCCAACAATCCTGTGATAAACTGGTAGAACTTTTTATATACTTCATATCCCAATCGTAAGCTGCTGAAATGGACTTCTAGGGAATTGAAATTAAGACTCTGCAAGTCGGTCTGACTAACCACCAGTTTCACTTTGATTGTGCGGAAAGCCAGCTTTTTGCCAGAACCCACTGGACTGCTTCTCTCGTGGGATGAGACATGTGCAGGAGAAGTGTTCTAACTTCTGGTCATGGATCTACAACAGTTATGAAAATAAAAGGAAGGTTTCCAATGAATGTAGCATATCTGTCTGTATCTCTACTCAGAAAATCCTGCTGAAATTTCATCCCCTTATCTTTGTATCTTTCTTTTCTCTTCTTTCTTTGTTAGACACAACTTCAAAACCAGCTAATTCATGTGTTGATGCACCCTGTATTGAATGGAGAACTGCATCCTCAGTTTATGTCAGTGGAAGGGAGCTACCTCCTACGAGGCACCTCTAACTCTTCAGTGGCTGATCACTCACAGAGATAGGGCTATGACTATCCACTTTTACTTCTTTTTTTCCAGAAAGTAGCTGAGCCAAAGAAAGGGTAAAGTATTTTCTTATCTTTTTTTGGATTATTTATTAAGAGTTTCTTCCTCCACTGACTGTAAAATGCTGAATTATAGTTAAGTGTTTATAGATTAGGTCTGTTTCTCCCTCTTTGAATTCATATTGTACCTGCACTAAATATATTTGTTATATACCAAGTGGGTACTAAATTTGAAAAAAAAAATTTGGCTTCTCATTTAGTCTTTTGTAAAATTGTGATATAGAATCTCGAACTGTTTCAGAGCAAAAATTGATCTATCTATCCTTTATGTTGTCTAATAAGACTCTGTCAGTCAGGAACTAGAGTCTGGAGCAGTGAATCAAGTAACTTTTAAGTGACAATGCAGGGCAATAAACCTAGTTTTCTAAAACGTGCTCTTCTTTTTTCTGCCCTAGCGTTTTCAGATGTTTCTCTTCTTTGTAATTATATAAGTGAGAAATACATAATTTTAAATAATTCTGTAAAGTTCTCAAATATTCAGACTTTCCTTTAATTTTTAGATTTCAATTGTTTTCATTTCTTCAGTATTACTGTTGAACATTAGTCCTACTTTATTATTTTAAAGCCAGATGCAGCAAACATTCCCTGTGAATATGTGTATGTGTGTGTGTTTAGTAGACTTTATTTTTTAGAGCAGTTATGAGTTCACAGCAAAGTTGAGTGAGAAATGCAGAGCACTCCCATACACCTGCTGTTTCTACACATGCACAACCCACCCCAAAGTCAGCATCTTGCATCAAAGTGGTATATTTTCTACATTGAGAATCCTACCCTGACATGTTATTATCACTCAGACTCCATAGATTATGTTAGATTTCACTTTTGGTGTTGTTCATATGTTTTTTATTTTCTTTAATTTGTCTGTAACTATCCCAAGGTTTTATGTTTCAAAGTTTTAAGGACACTAGAGGCTTAGCACAGTATTTTGTTTTGTTTTGTTTTGCTTTTGAGATGGAGTTTCTCTCTGTCACCCAAGCATTGAGTGCAGTGACATAATCTCGGCTCACTGCAACCTCTGCCTCCTGGGTTCAAACAATCTCTGCCTCAGCCTCTGGAGTAGTTTGACTACAGGTGAACTCCCCAGTGCCTGGCAAACATTTTGTATTTTTGGCAGAGACGGGGTTTTACTCTGTTGATCAGGATGCTCTTGAACTCCTGACCTCAGGGGATCCACCTGTCTCGATCTGTTAAATTGGCAGGTTCATAAGTGTGAGCCACCACACCAGGCCTTGATTCCTTAAACATGTTTGTTTAAGATTGTGGTAGCTTAATATCTACTTTCAAAGTGCTGCCTACTACAACTGTTTTTGGCCTCTTTCCCCTATTGGTAGTTTGGGATTACAGGCACCCACCCCCACACCTAGACAATTTTTGTAATTTTAGTGGAGTCAGTGTTTCACCATGTTGGCCAGGTTAGTCTTAAACTCCTGACCTCAAGCGATTCATTCGCATTGGCCTCACAAAGTGCTGGGATTTCAGGCATGAGCCACTGCACCCAGCCTTAGAACCATATTGGAATAAAAACATTGTTTGTTTTATACTTTCAGTTCTGGGATACATAGGCAGAATATGCAGGTTTGTTACATAGGTATACACCTGCCATTGTGGTTTGCTGTACCCATCAACTCCTCATGTACATTAGGCATTTCACCTAACGCTATCCCTCCTGTAGCTCTCCATCACCCAACAGAGCCCCGTGTGTGCTGCTTCCTTCCCTGTTTCCTTGGGTTATTGTTCAGCTACAACTTAGGGTGAGAAAATGCAGAGTTCGGTTTCCTGATCTTGTGTTAGATATGCTGGCTTTCTTCATAAGCAACCAAATTTTATTTATCAACATTAGGAATGTATTTATTTACTAATTTATTTTTTAGGGACAGGGTCTGGCTCTGTCACCCTGACTGCAGTGCAAAGGCATGATCTTGGCTCACTGCGAGCACTGCCTTTGGGGTTCAATCAATTATCCTGCTTCAGCCTCTGCAGTAGCTGTGATTACAGTCATACACCATCAAACCTGGCTAATTTTTGTTATTTGTTGAGATAGGGTTTCACTGTGTTTGCCAGGTTTGGCTCCAATCCTAACCCCAGGATATCTGCCCACCTCGGCCTCGTAAAGTACTGGGATTACAGCTGTGAGCCACTGTGCTTGGCCTGGAATTCATTTTTGATACATATTTCTCTAAACTTTTAACCACTTTATACCTTTGCATATTGTGTAATATTTATAATTATTATAGCAGAAACTCATCTCTTCTCATTCATACACCTTAACATTTTCTACTAATATGAAGTGCCCATGCAGAATATTTTATTTAAGGGAAATCCAGTTGAAAACAAATATTGGTGTTACCAGGGTAAACATAATAAATGATATATATGGTAGTAGAAATAGATATTAAAAGCTACCTAAAATGTCTCTTTAACAATATTTTAAGTACACGAAAGTCATGATTGTAAAGACAGTAAAGATTTAGTTTATTTACATTTTTAACAATGAATACTCAGGAAATTAATTGAGTGACCCAGTAACTCTGTCATGTATTCATTGGTTCGTCAGATATTTTAGTGTCATTTGTAAGGCAGTAAACATTCCTGTCATTTCTGTTAGACATATTATTATTTATTTCAAGTACTTAGAGGTTAATTACATGATCAAGAAAGATATCTTATTCATATGAACATTTTAATAATCTTCATTGTAATTTATCTAACAGTGTAAGAAAGGGCTTAGTTTGCATTTTTACCATAACTATAATCTTATTTATTCTGAAGGATGTTTCTTAATCTCACATTCAGAAACATGTTATAATGTGTCATTCAAATACTGCTGTAAAACTATGTGTAATTAGTAAACTTTTATTTCCTTAAGGAATTTGCTATGCAGCATGTATTACACCTCATTAAAATCAACTCTACTTCCAGTCTCTACAAATCACTGTTTAGATTGCTTAGTTTCTATAATCTGTTTTGGTTTGTTAGTTATATTTAAATAGCTGAATAAAGGCAAAATGTTTTCTCACAGCAGGTTTCAGGATCTGATAAAGAAAACCAAAAAGGTAAGAGCCTACATCTTTGTAAATTATGGCCAGATTTTTCTATGTAATTTTTCTTATAAAAGAATGAAGCTGGCTGGGCACTGTGGCTCACGCCTGTAATCCCAGCACTTTGGGAGACCGAGGCAGGTGAATCACGAGGTCAGGAGATCGAGAACATCCTGGCTAACATTGTGAAACCACATCTCTACTAAAAATACAAAAAAAATGAGCCAGGTGTGGTGGTGGGCACGTGTATTCTCAGCTACTTGGGAGGCTGAGGCAGGAGAATGGCATAAACCCAGGAGGTGGAGCTGGCAGTGAGCTGAGACCATGCCACAGCACTCTAGCCTGGGTGACAGAGTAAGACTCTGTCCAAAGAAAAAAAATGAAGGTAATTTTTAGGAGAAGAGTAAGAAATTTAATTTGCTTTAAATTATTTGATTTTCCTCATTGACCACACGTTACCTATTAAACAACATTTCACTACTTCTGCAGGTTATTTTTTCCATATTTCCATTTTTGTAATAATTTTTAGATACTCAAATTAGAGAACTGCAGACAGTATCAAGGCCCTAGAGACATGCTAAAGATACTATTCTTAAAAATATTCACTGTTCAGAACATTTCTGAAAAAAATAAAAAAAATCTCAAAAGTCTGATTTTAAGGCCAAGTGTCTTTGCATACAAAATATCCCTCTCAAGTAGACTAGACTGAAGTACTCAACTACAATTGATAGAATATTAAATGTATTAATATGTCCTTAAAGAATGCGATATGGTTCAGCAATGTGTTGTGTAACTTTTGTTCTTAAATGTTTATACAGACTTGATCAATTGCCTTAGTTTTAGCCTTGGTAATAACCTTTCATAGAGTTCATTAGTACTGAATGTTGCAGATCATTGGTTATACGTGATGATGGGTTTTGTAACATAAACATAAGCTGGCAACTTGTTTTTGATGTATACTTATTCTTTAGGTCTTTCAAAATAATTTGTGAACTATTAATGTTTTTTTGTTTTGGTACAACTTTGGGTTTTGTCCATTGCCTGTGTTGCTATCATACCCACAGGGACATTCATTTATTAATTCATTCATTCATCCATTCACACATCAATTCATGCAGGACTAAATCATTTGAGTACTTACTTTTTGCCAGAATTTAAGTAAATCTGTAAGTTAATTGTGAAGGCTTTTGGTAGGATCATTAGCATATGGTAAACAATTTGGATCAGAAGACATTTTGGGCAGCCTGCAATCTAGATCATTCCCACTAAAATTTCAGGATTGTAAATGTTCCTACATTGTGTGCTGTTAAGCACCATCCAGTATGACTCGCTGTGAAAATTGAAATGTTTGTATCTATGTTGTTGACTGTGGTAGGTACTAGCCTCATGTGGCTATTGAGCACTTGAAATTTGGCTAGTGTGACTGAATAACTGAATTTTTAATCTATGCTTAATAAACTACATGTGCATAATGACTACCATACAGGGTAGCATAATTCTAAGGTACATGGCTGGTATCTGTTGCTTAACTCTTACTACCAAAGGAAATTTCTGGCTTGAAGGGATATTAAGAAACAATCTACGGGCCACGCATGATGGTCCTTGCCAGTAATCCCAGCAATTTGGAAGGCTAAAGTGGGTATATCACTTAAGATAAGGAGTTTGAGATCAGCCTGGACAACATAATGAAAACCTTTATTTACTAAAAATACAAAAACTTGCCAGGTCTGTTGACAAGTGCATGTAATCCCAGCTACTTGGGAGGCTGAGGCAGGGTAATTGTTTGAACCTGAAATGTAAAGGGTGTCATGAACTGAAATGATGGCACTGCAATCCAGCATGGGTGACAGAGCTAGACACCATGCCAAACAACAACAAAGAAAAGAAATGAAATTCAGAAAGGAAGGAAGGAAGGAGAAAGAAAGTAAAAAAGAAAGAAAGAGAAAAAGAGAAAAAGAAAGAAAGAGAAGAAAGAGAAAGAGGAAAGAGAAAGAAAGGAAGGAAGGAAGGAAGGAAGGGAAAGAAAGAAAGAAAGAAAGAAAGAAAGAAAGAAAGAAAGAAAGAAAGAAAGAAAGAGAAAAAGAAAGGAGGACTATGTAATTGGAATAGATAGATTATTTTTTAAAATATTTTTATTACCTTTACAGTTTTTTTAAATGCCGCCATTTCAGAAAGAAATCTGGTCAGCAGCCCTTACCAGCTTTACCTAGCATCCCAATAAAGTTTCTAGAAGTGAGAGAACATTGAGTAGCGGGCATGGCAGATAGCACAGTGACAAAATTTGGGTAGAACTTTAGCTCACAATAAAATAGCTCCTGGCAAAATAAAATTATTTTAAAAATTGTTGGCTTCCAATTAACCAACAGAGAATCTGTAGGAAGTTATGTTGTACCTAACTGTTGTCTGTAACCCTGACTCAGAAACCTATGTTCTTATCGTATCTGACTATATCTATGCTCAGGTGCTTCTAAGTTGTTGAATGTCCAGGGTACATTTCCCCCTAGATTCTAGTCACCTATTTTTTCTACTCCTAATAATTGCTTTTAGAGATAAGGATACTTGAGAAAATGATGCACACAGAACTTGAATTAGGGAAGAAAATTTGGACATTGGTCTTTTGCTTTTTGGAAGCTCATATTCTTATCTGCATTTTGCAAACAAATAGGCACATACATCAATGGGGCCAGACTTAGAAAGTTCAGAAATTGATTAATAAAAATATGGTCAATTGATTTCTTGTTTTCTACCAAGTTGCAAAAGGATTTCAATAAAGGAAAGATAGTCTTTTCAACAAGTGGTGCTGGAACAATTGGATAATCATGTGCGCAGAAATGAACTCTAGATCTAAATGTGAAATGCAAAACTATAAAACACCCAGATGAAAACAGGAGAAAGTCTATGTGATCTTGGGTTTCATGATGAGCTGTAACACCAAAAGCGAGACATATCAAATGAAAAAGTAGATGAGTTAGACTTTATTGCAATTAAAAACATTTCTGTGGAAGACACTGTTAAGAGAATGAAAACACCCAATGTCAAAGCCCATAGAGTTTACATCACCAAGAGTGAACGTTAATGTTTGCAAATTTAGGTCAAGTGATCCCAGGAGGAAATGCAGACTGTGATAGAACAATCTAACTGTAATCCCCTCACTGAAAGGAGTTCATGATTATTTTTAAAAGAACGTATTTAACCCCCTATTGATGGAGAGTTAGGTGTTTCATTGTTTGCTTTTGGCCATTAGAAGCAACCTTCGTGCAGTGTGCACCCTTTGTGACCTTGTGAAAGTACAGCTGTGTAAATTTCTAGAAGTGGAATGAGCGCATTAAAGGGCACCTGCACGTTGAATATATATAAGCATTGACAAATTTCTTTCCAAAGTAAATGAGTGTACCCATACAGCCACTCCCTTGACAACATTAGCATTATCAAAGCTTTAATCTAGTGGTGTTATAGGGGAAAGAATGGCTTCACTGCTGTATTAATTTGCATTTATAATTTTGTTCTTGTTTATTCAGCATATAAAAATTTTGTTCATCTTTGTTTAACATTTTGTTCATCTTTGTTTGACATTTTGTTTTTTGCTGCAAACTATCTATTTTTTTCCCATTTTTTCTTTTTTTACCTGATTTTTAAGGGCTCGTTGAAATTATGAAAATGTCTTTACTTTAGTATTGATTATGATATGGCTCTGAAGAATGGAGGAACACCATGGCTTTTGTCTCATGCGAATTGGAAAAAATGACATGAACACACGTGGAGTTTTAAGGAAGAGAGCATAATAGACAATAAAGAAGGAAGAAGCTCCCTTGTACTGAGACAAAGGGAGAGGGACTCCAAAGCTGACTGAGGAAACTGCAAGTGCTGGGGAAATCAACCAGTTATAGGAGAAGGCTGGAGGAGACGATGTCTGATTTGCCTAGTCTCAGGGGAATGGTTTGACCAGGCATGTCACTCACATAGCCTCTGAAAAACCTGGCTCTCCCACCCTAGCCTTTCAATATGAAAATGCAGGGCACCATTCTACACATGTGGGGATGTATGAGGGTGGCCATGCTGCCAGGGACATGTGAAGGCAAGGTTAAAGAGAAGAAGGCAGGAATTGCGACGCTTGGGTGGGCCCATTTTCTTCTGGCCAGCATTTGCATATCAAAGTTTGCTTTCTGGATCTAAGATCTGGGGCTTTCCTGTGAAACAAGAAACATTTCTGGAGCTGCTTTAAAAGAGAAAAAATTTCCAAGGGCCTCTTTTCTTCTCTATCTGCTTAAAATAATTTCTTAATAACTCCTTTAACATTCCATCTCTCCCCGTCTGCAGAAGTCACCTTAACTGATGTTAGAGGGTTTGGGGCGATGACTCTTTCTGGATGCTTCATGCTAAAAGGGCACAGCAAATGGGGAACAGCAGGGAGGGTTCCTTCTGGGGTTCACCTAGGGGTCCTCAGAAGAGCAGTGTGTCCATGTGTGGTTCAGTTTGCAGCACTATGTAGGTTTGATGGCTTCGACAGGAGAAAAAAAAATTGAGTTACAGTTTTGAGTATACAAAATTCAAATATTAGCACAAGACATATAAGCAAGAGAGGGCTTATTACAGGGATTAGCCAATTTTATAAAGAATACTGGAATTCATTAAAGAGGGACTGTAGCTACCAGGGGCTGAAAGTTGCATTTTTCCTGAGCTTGTCAATAATTTTAATTTGATTTTTAATTGCCCGTAGATTTTTCTCTGCTTGAGTAGAGGTGTTTATCTAAGATACAGAATCTCCCTTTTGGGATCTATGAAGTTATTTACTTTTATTTTCCCAAACAAAGAAAGCTCTGAGTTATGGGCATTGCACTCAATTTTATTACCTGGCAGAATTTGCAGGATAATGTCCCAGAAATAGATCCAGATATTTACACTACCTATCCTTTTTTTTTTTTTCCTCCCAAGCTGTAGGAGATTACCACTTGACTCTCAGGATTAAGCACGCTTAGTCTAAAAGGTAGACAAAAGGCTTACAATCTATTAAGTGGACTAAGATTTAATGACAAGTGTATGATAAGCTTTGGAGCACAATTTCTTCAGGCCTCATTTTTTGTTTAAAAAAAGGCAAATTATAGAACCCTGTGTCTTTTTTGTAGAATAAACTTTAGTCTTATACTTGGACTGATAATTGCATTAAGTGCAGCTAGAATGGTTATTTTTTATATCAGCCTATTGGATTAGCTTTGATGAAACTCTGCTCTGGAAAGAATTTGAGATAAAACTTTTAAAGCTGAGACTAGCCATGGTTCCTATTCTCAAATGCCTGTAATTTGGTAAGTTGGGTGATCCTCTGTTCTTGAGGTCCCAGATAAATTTGGAGCTCCAAGGTCTTGTAGAAAGTGCAATTCTTTACTGACCACAGGTGAGGAACACTGTGCAGGGACTGGCTTGACAAGGTATGAGGCCAGTTCTCCCTAATGGGCTTTTATCAGCTCTGAGTGCCAAGCTTGATTCCTTAAAAGGAAACACATTCTTTCGGTCAATGCCTTGGTCAATTAACCAGTTTTTCCAACTGTGTTCTTTAAAAAAGTAAATGATTCTTATTGCACTCATGGAGACAACAGTCTTGCCATAAGTTAAGAGTACTTACAGTTTAAAACAAACATGGTCCAAATTTTGTTGACAGGAGAATGTCTTACTGAATTTGCAAGGGCTGCAAATACTTCAAAGTAAGTTTTCTTGACTCTGAAAATCAAAACAAGGATCATTAATATTCCAAACTAAGTTAAAAATGCTGCTTTAACTTTCTGAGCGCAGTGCAGTTAGTTAACTCTTCTTTCGCTTGATATTTGTGAACATGTCAGACCTTTATGAGTGTCGTACATTCTGTCTTTATCCCAACGTTACAGTCATCAAAACTATTAAAAACCTGCATTTGAGAACACCTATTAAAGTCTTTAATATAGCATGATTAAAAACCCTCTTTTCAGAAGGAACCCTAAACAAGACCATTGTCTGCAAATGACAAAATTTCCAGGATAGTTACAGTTAAAACTATGACTGAGAGAGAAGTTTATTTGTCTCCATGGTTTATAAGAACTTTTCCCTTAATTATGATTGAGAGCATATACTCAGACCTTAGAACTTAGAAATGCCACAAAATTTTGGAAAATCTATTAGTATTATTCACCAAATTATAACTTAAAGAAAATTGGACATCATTTTGGCAATCTCTTGTGACTAAATGTGTCTGTATATGTCTTTTCTGAATGTTTTGGAAGCCCTCTAAACGACTCAGAAAGCCAGGCATTAGGAAGGACAATTTTGAAACTTGAATTATGCTTTTAGGATGCCTGTTACATTTTAGAGGTTTGGAACACTCGATTTTATGAAATAGCAATCCAGATTGCTATAAATTACTTGTTTTGCCGAAAGGATGGCTCAAAAGGCAAAAACCATTTTTATTAGTTTTTATTATTACATGACACGTCATTTGGCTCTGAGATCCTGTTCAAAGCCAAATTTTACCCTTGTATTAATTTGTTAATGTCAACCCCAATTTGATTAAATAAAACCTTATGGATCATTTCACTTAATCTCAACCAATTTGACCATGACGTGAAATATTTACAAACCTTTTAAAACGCTTTTACCAAAGGGCAGATTAGTTTCTTAAGAACTCCTTGGTGTGCTTTTATTTCAGTACTCAAGTTATTTAAAAAATACAGTAACTTTTTGAATTTAATGTTCACTGTTGACATTTAGCAACTTTCTTTTTCAGTGAAAACCCTGGTTAATAAGCAACTTTACTATATACAAGGTGTGGATCCTAGCACCCAGACAGAAGTGCAGATAAAGTGTGAGTTTTCAGCTTCTATCTCCATGTATCCAAGGTTTTACAAACCTGTAAAGCAGGCAGGAAAAAAACCTTGGAATGTTTAGCAAACCTGGTGTCCAAATTGTATGATTCAGATGACCTATTTTCATTCTCACAACACTTACATTTTCCCAATAATCCTTAAGACTACATTTCTTAAACTCACAGGAACTAAAAAAAAAATTTGATTTAAGTGCTTACTTCTCTTTAAGACAATTAATTAGAGCTTGTTTTTATAGATATTACACACACCACATATATAACAACACAAACAGAAGATTCAGAGTTATTTTGTGTGCCAGTTTCTTAATTGGATTATTGGTTTCAAGTTGTAGCCCTTGGAGAAACAGTGTCATTAGCATACATTTTTAGGGTCTAGTAAGTAGATGCAGCTGAAGGCAATTAGCCCATCCCCCTTGGTACTCTTTTTCTTCGTGGAGGAGTGGGGGGTCAGGATGTTTCTCTATGTTTTAGGCAGACAAGAGCATGCTTCACTAATTTATAACTACTACTAGCCATTTCATACAGTGCATTTTCTACCTAGTTATTACACACCAAAGCTCTCCCATAATGTGAAGTAACTTGATATCAGCAAGAGCCACAAAGGGTAAATAACACAATACATAAGAATACAGAGGCTTTGCTTTTCAGAGGAAACTATCTGCTTTCAATTTTGGGGGTTTCATGAGGAAAACATGGGTGTTTTGTTTTGCTATCTGTGTGTGTGTGTGTGTTTCCCCATATGGGGATTTTGGTACCTACTCTGTTTTTCCCCAGGAGTCTTATGCTATCAGAAGGTACCTTATTAGGACCTTTCAGGCATGCAATAAGAGTGGTAAGACAGAAAATGATGGAGAAAAATAATTCAGTCGACTGAGAACAAAAGAGCCTTTTTTTTCAATTTTTTTTTTTTTTTTTTTAAACAGATTCTCACTGTTTTGCCCAGGCTGGAGTGCAGTGGTGATATCTCGACCCACTGCAAGCCCCGCCTCCTGGGTTCACACCATTCTCCTGCCACAACCTCCTGAGTAGCTGGGACTACAGGCACCTGCCACCACGCCCAGCTAATTTTTTGTATTTTTAGTAGAGACAGGATTTCACCATGTTAGCCAGTATGGTCTCGATCTCCTGACCTCATGATTTGCCCACCTCGGCCTCCCAAAGTGCTGGGATTACAGGCATGAGCCACTGCGCCCGGCCCCCCAAAATTTTTTAAATATATCAACAACTAGAACACCTACTTTTAATTAACCTGAACACGTTTTAAGAAAATTCTTTAAAAAATTTTTTATTACTTGACTTTAGCCCTGCCAAGCAGTTAAGAATTTTGGCTTTTGAACTTTACAAAATATAATCTCATAGATAAAACCAACTCATGTTATGACTTAAAAGCTAGTGTCCAAGGTATTTTCAGAGGAATAATAGTCAGCTTTTGAATCTTTCATTGCAAAATTTTGATGGAGACAGTGAAAGAGCATTGACCTAAACAAATCTGTTTCATTTGTTGCCCTCAAGCTGTCTTTGCCAATCCCTGGGCTTAGGCTGAGCCAACTTTAGGAGGAGCCTGGTTTACAGTCTACAGTCTAAAACAAAGATGATAACAGCTGCTTCCCAAGATATCCTTTCCTCTTGACTGGAGCCCAGAATGAGAAGCTAACCACAAGGTTAGGGGCCATGGCTTAGGTGTCAGGGAGGTGGAGGCTACAAGGTTTTGACCTTCCCTAAACTGCTTTCAAGATCAGTGCTTAAGATATTGTATAAACCCTGCCCTTGGTGGATCAGCTGGGACCACCCAGATTGAAAAACTGGCTTATCGGATTTTGTGGCCCTCACCCATGAACTGACTTAGCAGAAGAAGAAAGCCACCTTTGTAAAATGGCAGAGACTAAAACCAATTATTGCCACATAGTTACAGGTTATGTTCCCAAGGACATGGAACAAGATGTAGGACTGTAACCCAGTTTGTTACTGACCATTTAGTTGCTCTGGCTTGCACAGAAGGCTTATGGGGTCTTGGGCCTTCACCCTGACTTAAGATACCCTTTTGTTGACAGAAAGATACAGAAGGACATGCAAAGCACACAAATAGTCTACAACTTAAGATCAACCTCATAAATCTTTTTTCGTTATTTATAAATTTACCTAGAATATAAACAATAATCCTTATTTTCTTTTTTACCCATTTACTAAGGGAGAGAGAAGCCAAAGACCAACTGGTAAGAAATTTTTACCCTTTTGCCAGCATATCAGGCTTCTACATTTCCTTTCTTCTAGCTCAACTCTAAGCCAAGCATTTTAAGGTTTGGAAATTAACTTTTCCAAGATTGGATGAACAGTATGAAAGATATAGAAGCCATATTAAATCACAAAAAAAAAAAAAATGAAAAACACTATAGAAAGAAGTTCCAGTTAAAATTTTCAAGAGGTATTGCCCCTTTTCCTATAGGGAATGGTATTTCCCCTATTTCTTTACCTAGGGAAAGTTTCTCTTTTCCCTTTTAGCCTACTATAGAAGACATGTTGCTCATCTCCACAATTTTCTTTTGCTTGCAGAGCTGCCTCTTTTAGCTGAAGTTAGACTTTGGCTTAGGAGCAGAAAAACATTCCTTCAAAAGAGATGAAATACCTAAGTTAAATTTTGGAAAGCGCCTATGTGTCTATCAGGATCATCAGAAATTTGGCATGACCTCCCTTTATTTTCCAAAGTTCCTCCAATGAGAAGAGAGAACTTGAAGGGGCCCCAAATAAGGGAATCCTCAGATGGTTCCCCTGAAACTTGCTTCTCTAATTTTGGGTAATTTTTCTCTTTGGGACTGCCTGATAGGATTGCTAAATGCGCTGGGTTATTCTGCAACACTTACAAAGCTGTAGTAAGAAGGCCATGCCATTGTGCAAAAGTAAATAAACTATTTCTTCAAAGTTTCAGGGTTGAAGGAATCCAAGCACTTTAAAATACACTCAGCCAGGTGCGGTGGTTCACGCCTGTAATCCCAGCACTCTGGGAGGCTGTGGCGTGCAGATTATGAGGTCAGGAGTTTGAGACTAGGCTGACCAACATGGTGAAACCGCATCGCTACTAAAAATACTAAAACTAGCCAGGTGTGTTGGTGCGTGCCAGTAGTTCCAGCTGCTCATGAGGCTGAGGCACAAGAATCCCTTGACCCCAAGAGGCAGAGTTTCCAGTGAGCCAAGACCTCACCAATGCACTCCAGCATGGGTGACAGAGTAAGATTCTGTCTCACACACAGGCATATAAATAAATATACATATGTGTGTGTGTGTGTGTGTGTGGTGTGTGTGTGTGTGTATACGTATATATACATATATACATATATGCATATACGAATATGTATATATATATATATATATATATATTCCAAGGGAATGGATGTTAAAGACTATCTGTTACCAATCTAGAAAGAGAGGTAAGAATAAAAGCACCTTTTTACTCTCCTTCCTTTCAGTATGTGATTCCGAAAGGAGATTAGTACATTAGGGGGTGTTCTGTAACTGTAGTTTTTCTTTGCTCCTGAAATTCAGCTCCCATTTAAATGTGACACCCATGACTGCAGTCATGACATTTTAAGCCATGTTACCAGAGAAACTAAACTTTTGGGTAATGGTATTGCCTTCCACAAGCAGTCTTATTCCTCTTTCCTTTATTTTCCTTTTATTTCTTAGACTTGTGTTGCCTGCATGCCTTTCTTAAAAAATGGATTTCAGGAAAAACAATGCAATTAGGCAAGACCCCTTTAAGAGAAGTGTCTGCTAGATTGAACTCTATGTTCTGCCATTGTGGCCAGTAGTAAAGCATGTACCCATAGTGAAATGGTTCCCATTAACTTCTGGACTTAAAGTCCTCTTACTAATTAAATACCGTCTTAATAGGAGAGATAATAGAAGCTTTAAAGGAACATAGGAACCAAATGGAGGATTATTTTCCTGCCAGTGGGACACTATGGAGGCTAAAATTTGTCTACAGAAAACATCTTACTCCTAATTGCTAAAGGCAGAAACTGTCGATCTCAGAAGAGGCCTAGAGCCTGATTTCTAACAGTGTGAAAGAAAGCTTTGGACTTGCACTGAAAAAAACAGGAACAAAGTGTGCTTCTTAGAGGATTTCCATTTTCACTAGGTGGTGGTGTTGGCTGAGAAATGCTATGTGCTCACCAGAGAAGTGGCAACAAGTAAACTCACCACAGAGGAAAAGGGGAAAACTCTGTTCCTAGACTGTAACAATCCCTGCCCATTTCATGCAGAGAAGGATTAAGAGGCTGGAGATGGAGAAGAAGAGTTTTGCAAAAGGATAGTTAAGGATTCTCTGCAAACACCCTAAATGGGCTGTCGGAGGCTGCGTCCAGGTCATTGGCCTCTGAATCATGCCAGCATGTGCCCCGGTCAGAAATTCAATACCCATTTGTAATGTGGTGTTCTCCATGTTCTCCCCAGCTAGCCTCACATCCATGTTTTTATTACGGCAGTTAACGCTAACAGTAGGTACTAGGCTGATGGATTTCCATTGATTTATTGGATTTATTTTAATATAGAGGCTAACTGCACCTCAGAGTGATAGAACAGGTTTTAAGCTTGCTTCCATACTCACCACTCTGAGGAAGACTGTACCTTGGATTCCCATGCAATGCACCAAAATGACTCAGCTCTGACGAGTGGAGAAACACTAGGGCTTTTGTATCCTGCTAATTGGGTAGAATAACACAGACACACGTGAAGTGGTTTTAAGGAGCAGAGCATTTAATAGGCAGAAAGAAGGAAGAAGAAAGAAGGAAGAAGCCTCTCTGTACAAAGAGAGAGGGAAGGAGGGGCTCCAAACCCGAGAAAGGAAAGCCTAAGTGAGGCAGAAACCAGCCAGCTGCATAAGGAGGCTGGAGGAGGTGGTGCCTGATTTCTATAGGCTCAGGGGATTGGTTTGACCAGTCTCCTCACTCATGTAGCCCCTAAAATACTGGCCCTCCCCCCGCTCCGCCCAGACTTTTAGAATGCAGATGCAGGGTACCAGGATGTTCTGCATACCTGGGGATATGTGGGGGAGGCCATGTGGCCAGGCATTTGTGGGGGCAAGGTCAAGGAGAAGAGAGCAGGAAGCCATGTTTGGGTGGACTCAGTTTCTGACGGCGGACATTTGCATATCAAAATTTGCCTGCCCGACTCCAAGAGCCAGGCCTTTCCGGCTAGACAGGAAACTTTTCTGGAGCTGCTTTAAATGAGACAAAAACGTTCCAAGGACACCAGGTTTTCTCTATCTGCTTAAAATGATTTCTTAATAACTCCTATACACTTATGACTCCATATTATTGCAGTGTGCTTTGTTTATTTTATATCATATGTAAATTTTTCAAGTTTTAAGTCATTAAATTCATAAATATTTATCATTATTTATGCCACATTTTGTAGCATGCTTGGAAAGGTCTTTCCTCAGATTTATTCTTAGAAGCTGTGACTGGGCACAGTGGCTCATGCTTGTGATCTCAGCACTTTACGAGGCCCAGGCAGTAGGATCGCTTGAGGTCATGGGTTTGAGAGCAGCCTGCGCAACATAGGAAGACCCTGTCTGCACAAAAAATTAAAATTAGCTTTACGTGGCAGGTGGTGGTAGTTGCCTCTAGTCACAGTTACTTGGGAGGCTAAAGTGCGAGGACTGCTTGAGCTCAGGAGTTCGAGGCTGTAGCGAGCCATGATTACACCGCTGCACTCCAGCATTTGTGACAGAGCAAGATTCTGTCTCTACAAAAAAGAAACATACACGATGTATAAAATGATACTGTCATAAAACGAAGATTGTGTAAACAGTGTCTGAGCAGTGGCTGAAAGCTCTGAGGAAAAAAAACTGAATGCATTTTTTTTTAGGTTTTTGTATGCATTTATTAAAATAATTAGCAGAATATCATCAAGCTAAAAAGAGTTGTAACATGGAAACACAGACAACTTTGCCATTTATCAGAGATTCTCTAGGTAATTACAGTCTTCTTTCTTAATTTCAATTCTGTTGTTTCCATTTTGAATGAAGGAAGCTACCTGATTTACCAAGTTGTGTGGTTGCTTCTTGAACAAGAGGGATGCAGCCTGCAGGGAAAAGGGGAATTTACTTTTTCTGGAATCATCCTGGGGGCCCAGCAAGTGCTCTCCAATGTCATTTCCTGGCCTCATGCATGCCAGGGCTACATTGGCCAAAGCATGCAAGGATTCAAAGGCCCAAAATCTTCCCTGTTTGTTGAGTTTTACCTCTCTTAACTGGGAGGTCCTTCCTCGTGTCTTGTCTTAAGTTTACAGCAACCAAGGTAGAAGATTATGGACTATTTGTTTTGCAGAGAACTAGAGAAGTAATTGGCTCATCGCTTCAATTTACAGTGGAGGAAATCGAGGTCCTCAGAGGGAGGGCAAATTGAAAACGTTCAATCTGCCTCAGAGCAGCTAGTGATGTCCGAATTCTCCCATCCATGATCTAGATTTTGTGTACTACGCAGCGGGTCGACAATACCATCTTGCCCTTCAGTTTTGCACTCAGTAGAGATGGGAGACAGCTGTTTAAAATGATGTGCTTAATGGATTTTTGGGCCTTCCTTATTCTTAAATAGTAACAATAACATGTTAGAAGATAAATTCAAAATTTGTATTATCTGACTATGCCTTTAATTAAGTGTAGGTTTAATTCCATTAGAAACATTTTACTTGATAATTATCAAGCAGTGCTGTCCAATAGGTGAGCCACATACATAATGTTCAGTTTTCTAGTAGCCACATTGAAAACAGTAAAAAGAAATAGATAAAATTAGCTTTAACAATATATTTAATCCAATACATCCAAAATATGATTTCAACATGTGTTCAATATAAAAATATGAATGAGATATTTCACTTTCTTTTTGCTTTGTTTTTGCACTAAGTTTTGAAATCTCATGTGTTTTTTACATTTAAGGCACATCTCAGTTCAGACTGGTCGCCTTTCCAGTGTCAATGGCTGTATGTGGCTGGAGGGTCTTGTGTAGGACAGCATTTGAAAAATACAGAAAAGTAGATGAAAAAACATGTCTAAAGTCATGCCTACCAGGGACAAACACTATCAATGTTATCGTCTACTTCTGCCAGCCTTTTTCCCACTGGGCATACTTTTTTGGTGTGTTACACATGCTCAAGATTGTACCCTGGGTTCAGATTTGCACTCTGCTGTGTGGTTGATTTTAGTCCATAGTTGGTTTGAGGCCCACTTGACTAATGGAAGAAAGAGTCAGTCGGTCTCATTTTAGTCCTGGCTATGCTGTTATTTAATCACTTTTTCAGCTATATTGGTATGTGTTCTTTATCTGCAAAGTGGAGGCATTGAAGTAACATGACCTTTGATTCCTTTACAGTTATTGTTTTGAATCTGAAGTCAATTTTAACAAAAGTCCGATAAAGAGCTCTCTTCCTTAGCATTTAGTTAATAGGAAGAGACAGCAGTATTTTCTGACTTTAACTGTACTCTTCAATTTCTATTTCCTCCAACATTTTATGATGAACATTTTGAAACATATAGAAAAGTAGAAAGAATTCTATCAAACACTTATAAACCTCCCACCTAAATTCCATTATTACATTGGCATTATATATGCTTCATTACTTTTATCTGTTTATCCACACATCCATCTTTCTTTTTTTGTGTATTTTGAAGTAAATCGCAGACACCCATGCTTTCCCCTAAGTATACTCTTTACCTTTGAAAAAGAAAACTGGCCTCTTACACACCTGACCATGCTTCTATGTCCTCTTTTGACATGTTATTTTTTAATACCTGGGAAGTTTCAGCTTATTGATGATCAGTTTGCAGATGCTTACTCTCAGCATATCAAGGGTGAGTCTTTAGAAATAAAGCTAAATGAATATGAGAGAGAAATAAAAGAGCAAGTTCAGGCAGAAATGTGTCAAAATGTAAGCTTTACCTTGTTATTGTTAACAAGAGTGACATTTTTGTTTGTCTTCTGTGAGAAAAAGTGTATCTGGGTTGCCAGTTGAGTTTGTCTCCCCTGTGTGAGACACCCATGGCGAGCCATGAGTGGCCTCTGAGGAGAAAAGTCTCCTTATTGCCTTCATGTCTTTATGCCCTGAGAGCGTAACCACTCAGAGAGCATATCCACTCAGTGGCATTCTACAGGTTCCTCGGGGAGATAACACTCCCTGGAAAGAGTGGAGTGTAATCAAACGTCTTGGCTCCTCCTGAAACCTGCTCCCACCTGCTTCAGTCCCAATATGTTAAATATCTTAAGTAGTTTAAACACACACCTTTACTCAAGAAAATTCACAGAAACTGCCACTGCTACACATCTTATTGAATGACTCATGACTTCTCCTTCATTGATTAATCCTTTTCTTCATCCCTTCCTCCCCCCTCCCATCTGACATAAGAACAAAGAGCTTGTAAACCAACAAATTGGGTGGAGCCTAAGAACTCTGGGCCATGAACAAGCCTTTGACACTGCAGTTCCCTTAACCCACCTTTTAAACACTGATTCTATCTCTTTCTAACTCCTTTGTCTGCACGGGACTCAGGGGACCCACTGGGTGGTGAGGGGATGGTTTCCCCATGTGGCACACAACACAGTGCTCCAAGTAATCTCTACAAATAATCTGGTAAAGAAATGACAGAGAGTGGAAAGTGGAGGACGCCTGATGAAGGAGGCCCGAGTACATTTTCACTTCAAGCTCCGTGGGTAAGTAGGGCACTCAGAGAATTCCAGGGTAACCTCAAGAAAATATAGGTCAGACTGAAAGTAAGTTTGCCAATTATTTAGCCTGCTGCAGCAGTTATTGTGCCTCAGAGGGATAATTGTGAGTACCCAAAATCTCACTTCTTTGTTCCATAACCTAGAAAAGTTTTCTCCTTGGTTCCTGGAATATGGAACCATGAATGTAGAAGATTGGGATAAAGTTGGATGAGACTTAAAACAAGCACAGCAAGAGGGCCATGATATTCCCTTCTCTGCTTGGTCTGTGTGGTCAGCAATTAAAACTGCACTGGAGCCCTTCCACCCAGAGGATGAGGAGGAGTTTCAGGGTGACATAGAAAAGTTTAATAACCATGAGTCTGACGATCAGCAAAGTGAACCATCACAGTCTAGTTTTAAATAAGGGGAAGAAACCAGAAGCTCTATATGCTAACCCCCAAAAAACTTATGAAAGAAAGAGTTCCACCTACAGCAGAAACAGTGCCAACTACTGCGCCTTTATGGGAACGTCTGGAACGGCCAGCTCCGCCTTAGCCTTATGAATTGTTGTTAAAGGAGCCTGTGACTTGGCTTGCCGCTCCCATTGTTGCACACCCAGCCATTAACTATGGCAAAAGGAAGCTTCAGGCTAACCCAACAGCCAGTTACAGTGAGGGAATGATCCAGGCTTGTCCACCTGTTAATTGTGGTAAAGGAATGCTTTCATCCAGCCCAAATACAAATTATGGCACAGAGACAATCAAGGCATCTACTCGCCAGGCACGAGAAATGGGGGATTTGGATGCTTGGCCGTATCCAGTAATTATTTTTCCTGCTGAGGAGCCTGGAGAACATCCTGAGGCACTCTGGGAGCCATTTACTTTTAAAATATTAGAAGACTTAAAGCAAGCAATTGGAAAATAGGGGCCAAATTTTCCTTATGTTCATTCCTTGTTACAATCTGTGGCTTATAACTGGCATTTAACCTATGGAATCTCTCCAATTTAAACCCTGGTGGATGGATGAAGCAACAAATACGGCACACAGAAATGCTCAAGCTCAACCTGCCATTGATATCACATCTGATCAATTGCTTGGAATCGGACAGGCATGGGGTACTGTAAATGAACCCATGGTAATGGGTGATGAGGCTGTTGGTCAGTTCAGAACTCTATGCCTAAGAACCTGGGAAAACATTCATGACCCTGGTACTACTTATCCTTCTTTTAACTCATTTCAACAGTGTCCAAGGGAGACTTATCCAGATTTTATCGCCTGTTTCCAAGACGCGGCTCAAAAGACTGTTTCAGATTCTCATGCCAGGAAAGTGATTATTCAGCTGCTTGCTTATGAAAATGCTAATACAGAATGTCAGGCAGCAATTAGACTTAGTAAGGGAGAGGCAGATCAAAATTACACTTACTGGGTCTACATTCCATTCCCACTACTGATTAGGCCTGTTGCGTGGTTAGACCCTCCTGGTGGATGGACCAACAGATAAGCAAGGTCCTACTCATCTAGAGCAGGCGGGAATGTTGGTGAATGTTTCCATTGATTATCGCTTTCCTCCCATCTGCCTGGGGCTGGCAGCAGGATGTTTAAATTATGATAAAGTGGGACATAAATGTCCCTACACAAAATGCATCAAAAGCCTCTATTCATGCAATCAATGAAGCAACATTTTAATCTTTGGACACTATTAAATACTTGAGCACGGCTATGTTATGACACGTTGCCAGATTACTGAATTTAAACCTAATATGAATCCCTGCCCTAGGCAGGCCACTAAATGGCCTGAAAAGTTAGAGGTGCTAACTTGGGAAGATTGTATTGCAAACAGTGCTGCGCTACTGTAAAATAATTCCTATAACATCGCCATTGATTGGGTCCCTAGGGGACACTTTGCAGTAAATTTTACTGGCCAGCGCAAAGATTGTAGAGGGACTCCTGCAAATGACTACCCAGATAATGCACCAAAATTATGTAGAAGAATTGAAACAAATTACCCTATTAAGTGGGAGGAGAATGGTATGGCTCCTCCAAGCCCAAAAATGATCGATCCAGTTATGAGACCAGAACATCCAGAACTGTGGAAATTAATGATGGCTCAAACCCCAGTTTGGATTTGGATAGGAGAATATAAAACAGAGACTCATAGTAAAAAACTTTCATTTGCTGTAGCCATGACCTCTAATCAGACGGTCCCATTGCAGAGTTTTGTTAAACCTCCTTTTATGTTGGCAGCCGGGAAAATTAATTTCCTACCTGACTCCGAAACCATACCCTGCCTTAACTGTCACCTTTTTACCTGCATTAATTCTACCTTTAATAAAGATAATAGCATTTTTACTGGTTAGGGCCTGAGAAGGAATTCAGATACTTGTTTCCCTCAATAGACCTTGGGAGGACTCTCCCTCCATACATATTATCACTGAAGTACTAAAAGGAATATTTAATAGATCAAAGAGATTCATATTTACTTTAATAGCTGTGGTCATGGGCCTTATAGCTGTCACAGCTACTGCTTCTGCACTGTTGCTGCTTTGCACTCTTCTATTCAAACTGCGGGCTTTGTGGATAGTTGGCAGAAAAATTCTTCTAAGCTTTGGAATTCCCAAAGCCAAGTAGATCAAAAATTGGCAAATCAAATTAATGATCTCTGTCAGACAGTAATTTGGATGGGGGATTGGACTACTGGCTTGGAGTGTAGAAGTCAAATGCAATGTGATTGGAATACTTTGGATTTTTGTGTTTCTCCTAGCCCTATAATGTCACTGAACATCATTGAGAGATGATTAGACATCACCCACAAGGAAAAGAACATAGTTTAACACTAGATATTGCCAAACTGAAAAAACAAGTTTTTGAGTCATCTCAGGCTCATCTTATCCTGTTGCCTGGAGCTGATATTCTTGCTGGAGCCACTGATGGCTTTTCTAATACCATTCCTTTAAAGTAGATTAAAACCATAGGTGGATCAACAATTGCAAATTTTATTTTGGTTTGTGTCTGCTTATGCTATTTGTTTTTAGTCAACAGATGCAGACAGCCCCTTGGGTGAGAGGCCAGACACCAGCCATGATAGCAATGGCAGTTATTAATCAAAAAATTAATAAAGACAAAAAAGAGAGACATGTGGAAAGGAGAGTTTCTGTGGTGCCAGTTGAGTTGTTCTCCCCTATGTGAGACATCCATGGGGAGCCATGGGTGGCTGCTGAGGAGAAAAGTCTCCTTATTGCCTCCATGTCTTTATGCCCCCAGAGCATAAGCACTCAGCGGCATTCCTCAGGTTGCTCAGGGAGATAACACTCCCTTGAAGCGGTGGAGTATAATCAAACATCTTGGCTCCTCCTGAAAGCTGCTCTCACCCATTTCAGTTCTGATAAGTTAAAGATCTTAAGTAGTTTAGACACATGCCTTTGGCTCAAGGAAATTCACAGAAACTGCCACTACTATGTAGCTTATTGAAAGACTCACGAGTTCCTCTACACTGATTAATCCTTTTCCTCATCCCTTCCTTCTGCTCCCATCTGTCCTAAGATCAAAATGCTTGTAAACCAACAAATTGGGTGGAGCCCAGGAACTCTGAACGGTGAGCAAGCCTCCGATGCTTTGGTCCTCTGGAACAGCCTTTTAAATACTGATTCTATCTCTTTCTAACCCTTTGTCTCCACCAGACTCAGGGTACGTGCTAGGTGGTGTGGGGCTGGTTGTCTCAACAGCCTTCTAAAGTCTTAATCTAAGGTATAGAAAAAAAAAAAAACTAGGAATTTTAATAAAGAATGGGATACTCCACTATTGTGCACATTACTTTTATTTCTGTTGACATTTGTTTATGCCTTTTGAGTGAATCCTACAAATATAGTGAGTGAGATAAAACTAAAGATGAACTAAATGTAATATATTTGGACAGAGCATTAATGTTGAGCCTGGATGTGAAGACAATATTTGTTACTCTTCTTAGAGTATAATAGTTAAAATTTTTAATTTTTTTGTGATCAATTTGCAGATAAACTTCTGTTAAGCTGCTGAGATAGCAAAAATTAAAATAAAGCAAAAGGAAAGTATGGGAAAAATTAACTGTGTTCAGGAAAGATTTTGAGAAGGCTTGTCAGTCGGAGCCTGAAGCCATCATTTTTTGGGAAAAGAGTATCCTTGAGAGAATTCAAAAGCATCAAGAAGTGGTATTTACAAATATTTTACTGTGTAACTATTTCCTGCAGCTATTAGCAGGTTGGTTCAAGATCCAGGAAAGAGATCACACAATTGGGATGACAAGGTCCCAGGAGAGCAATAGGAATTGTGGTAAAGAGTGCAAAGAAAAAGAAGGGTGGCCCTTGAAATATATACACAGATTTGCTTCCTCTGGGACAAGTGGAAAAGGAAGAGTGTCAGAGGTGAACAGTCAAGTTGGGATTAAGAGAAACACACCCTAAATAAGCTCCCATCTTCTCAGGCAGATTAGAGCATTAGATCATGGGTTTTAGGAGCAGCTTAGAGGTGCAGAGTAGCTCATGGGAGTAACAGAAGAACAGCTGTTTAAAGCAGACAGGACTGATCACTTGTATTGAGGGCCCAGCTGTAGTTGGGGGAGGCTGAAATTAAATGAGACCAAACCATGTGCTTGTAGGTGAGTTTATTTTTTATTTTTATTTTTTGGCAGGTCTGGGGAGGAATTGTAAGCATCGGTCTCTTCTGCACTTTTCCGTGAGGTTGAAAAGATGGAGATGTTGAAGGACTGGAGCTTTGCAGAGCCTAACTTATTTGATGTGAGAATGGCAGCCCATTTAACTGCAGATTCTGGGCTTATCTTGCATAGTGAAGGGAAGCAGAGGAGAGGGCAAGTGACTGCTACACCAGGAGGAATGTGAGTGTTAAGTAGCCGTCTCAGGGATCAAAGACTAGATCCAAAGAGACTGGCAGGTGGAATTATAACAATTGTCCAAGAGTAGAGAATTGCAGGATTAGGTTTCAGGTGGAAACTGGAAACAAAAATGCACTGTGCTGTCATTGGATGGAGCCATGGAAATGAGGAGAGTTCAAGGTCTCTGGGGTAAAGGAGTCATCAGGGCTGCAAATGTCATCCATGTGGTCTTTTGAGCTGGTCATCCCGGGAGTAAACGGACAAGAGAGGGTGAGGATGAGCAGTGGCAGGGATTCTATGTTGGCAAGTGGGAGTGAATCTCTTTTTTCTTAAGAAAGCATATTCTGTTTCTGAGGGCATGTCTTAGACCACACTGGATTTACAGCAGTATTTTTGGCCTGCATCGCAAACTGCAGCTGCCAGATGTTAAAAGTAGCAAGGCTTTACCCTAGCGTCAAGTCTTGCTTGGGGCTTCTCAATGATACCCAGTTGTTTAATGCTAAGGGCACACCCTCTGCAAATTTATATAACATTCCTGGGAATTGGCCTTGCTCCAGCTGTAAAAATGATGTACTGGATGTGAAGAGAGTATTTGTTGCTCTTCTTATAGCGTAATAGTTAAAATTTTTAAGTTTTTGTGATCAATTTGCAGGTAAAGTTTTGTAAAGCTCCTGAGATAGTAAAAAATAAAAATAACATAAAGCAAAAAGAAAGTATGGGAAGAAATTAGAAATTTCTTGTTTCCATAGTTTACGACAAATTTACCCTTAATTATGGTGCATAGTGTACACTTAGACGTTAGAATTTTAGAAATCCAACACAATTTTGGAACATCTGTTACTATTATTCACTAAAATTTAACTTAAAGGAAATTGGACATCATTTTGGCAATACCATGTGACTAAACAAGCCCTGTATATGTCTTTTCTTAATGTTTCAGAAGTCCTCTCACCACCCAGAAAGCCAGGCATTAGGAAGGACAATTTTGCAACTTGAATTATGGTTTTAGGATGCCTGTTAAATGTTAGAGGTTTAGTACACTCGGTTTTATATAGGAATCCAGATTTCCACAAATTACTTGTTTTGCCAAAATGATGGCTCAAAGGGTAAAAATCATTTATTAGTGTTTATTATGATGTGACTTGTCATTTGAGTATGACATCCTGCTCAAAGCCAAATTTTACCCTTTCATCAGTTTGTTAATGTTAACCTCAATTTGCTTAAATTAAATCTTATAGATCCTTTCATTTAACCTCAACCAATTTGACCATGAGGTGAAATATTTACAAACCTTTCAAAACTCTTTTACTAAATGGCAGATTCGTTTCTTAAGATCTCATTGGTATTCCTTTATTTCAATGCTAAGGTTATAAAAAAGACCATACAATAACCTTTTGAGTTTAGTTAATGTTCACTGTGAACATTTAGCAACTTTCATTTTTGATGAACACCCTGGTTAATAGGCCATTTTACTTACATACATGGTGTGGATCCTAGAACTCAGACAGAAGTGCAGATAAAGTGTGAGGTTTCAGCCTCTCACTCCATGTATCCCAGGTTTTACCAACCTGTAAAGCAGGTGAGAAACAACCTTGGAACATTTAGCAAATCTGGTGTCTAAATTGAATCATTTAAATGACCTATTTTCATTTTGACAACACTTGCATCTTACCAGTAATTCTCAAGACTATATTACTTAAACTCACGTGAACTAAAACATATTCAAGTGCTTACTTCTCTTTAAGACAATTAATTAGAGTTTGCTTTTATAGGCATTACACACACCACATATATAGCGACACAAACGGAAAATTCAGAGATTTTTTTTATGTGCCAGTTTCTTAACTGGATTACTGGCTTCAGGTTGTAGCCCTTGGAGGAATAGGATCATTAATTTGCAGTTTTTAGGGAGTAATAAGCAGACACAGCAGAAGGCAATTAATCCATCCCCTTTGGGAGTCTTGTTTCTTAGTGGAGGGAGCGGGGGTGAGGATGTTTCTCTATGTTTTAGGTAGACAAGAGCATGCTTCTCTGATTTATAACTACTATTAGCCATTTCATACAGGGCATTTTCTACCTAGTTATTACACACCAAAGAGGTCTCATAATGTGAAGGAACTTGATATCCTCAATACTCACAAAGGTAAATAACACAATGCATAACAGTACGGAGCCTTTGGTATTGGGAGGGAAACATCTGCTTTCAATTTGGGGGGTTTCATGAGCAAAACATGTGTGTTTGGTTTTGTTTTGTTTGCGTGTGTGTTTTCTCATATGGAGAATTTGGCACCTACTCTGTTTTTCCCCAGGAGTCCCGTGCTATCAGAAGTTACGTTAGGGCCTCTCAGGCGTGCATTAAGAGGGTGAAGACAAAAAATGGGGAAAAATAATTCAGTCTACTGAGAAGAAAAGACCATTTTTTTCAGAAAAAAATTTTAAATGTATCAATAACTTGAATATCTACTTTTAATTAAGCTGAACATTTTTAAGAAAATTCTTAAAAAATTTCTTATTACTTAACTTTAGCCATGTCAAGTAGTTAAGATTTTTGGTTTTCGAACTTTAGAAAATGTAACCTCACAGATAAAACCAATCTAGGCTATGACTTAACCGCAAGTGTCCAAGGTATTTTCAGAGGAATGATAGCTTTTGAATCTTTCATTGCAAAACTGTGAGGGAGACAGTGAAAGAGAGTTGACCTAAACAAATCTATTTCACTTCCCACCCTCAAGCTGTCTTTGCCCATCTTTGGGTTAGGCTGAGCCAACTTTAGGAGGAGCCTTGTATACCGTCTGTAGTCTAAAACAAAGAGGATAACAGCTGCTTCCCAAGATATACTTTCCTCTTGCCTGGAAACCAGAACAATAAGCTAGCCACAAGGTTAGGGACCATGGCTTAGGTGTCAGGGAGGCAGAGGCTACAAGATTTTGACCTTCCCTAAACTGCTTTCAACATCAGTGCTTGAGATATTTTGTAAACCCTGTGTTTGACAGATCGGCTGGGACCACCCGGATTGAAAAACTGGCTTATCAGATTTTGTGGCCCTCTTCTATGAACTGACTTATGGGAAGAAAAAACCACCTTTCTAAAATGGCAGAGACTAAAACAAAGTATTGCCACATGGTTACAGGTTATGTTCCCGAGGACATGGAACAAGATGTAGGACTGTAGCCCAGTTTGTTACTGGCCATTAAGTTGGTCTGGCTTGAACAGCAGGCTCATGGGGTCCTGGGCCTTCACCCCACTTAAGATACCCTTTTATTGATAGAACCGTACAGAAGGACACGCAAAGCACACAAATTGTCTACAACTTAAGACCAAACTCACAAATCTTTTTTTGTTATTTATAAATTTACCTAGAATATAAACAATAATACTCTTTTTTCTTTGTTACCAGTTTGCTCAGTGAGAGAGAAGCCAAAAGCCAAATGGGTAAGAAATTTTTCCCTTTTGCCAGCATATCAGGCTTCTAAGTTTCCTTTCTTCTAGCTCAACTGTCAGCCAAGCATTTTAAGGTTTGGAAAATTAACTTTTCCCAAGTTGGACAAACATTATGAAAGAGACAGATGCCATTTTAAATCACACACACAAAAAATGAAAAACACTATAGAAAGGAGTTCCAGTTAAGCTTTTCAAGAGGTATTGCCCCTTTTCCTATTTGGAATAGTACTTCCCCTATTTATTTGCCTACCCTAGTTGCTCTTTTCCCTTTTCACCTACTATAGAAGACATATTGCTCATTTCCACAATTTTCTTTTGCTTGCACAGCTGCCTCTTTTAGCTGAAGTTAAGGTTTAGCTTAGGAGGATAAAAACATTCCTTCATAAGAGGTCAAATACCTAAGTTAAATTTTGGAAAGCTTCTATATGCCTATCAGGATCATCAGAAATTTGGCGTAAGCCTCCCTTTACTTTCCAAATTTCCTCCAATGAGAAGAAAACTTGAAGGGGCCCCAAATAAGGGAATACTCAGATGGTTCCCCTGAAACTTGCTTCTCTAATTTTGAGAAATTTTTCTCTTTGGGCTTGCCTGATATGATCGCTAAATGGACTTGGTTATTTTGCAACACTTACAAAGGTGTAGTAAGAAGGCCATTCCATTGTGCAAAAGTAAATAAGAAATTTTCCTTCAAAGTTTCAGGGCTGAATGAGTCCAGTTGCTTTAAAATACTCCCAGCCAGGTACAGTGGTTCACGCCCGTAATCCCAGCACTTTGGGAGGCTGTGGTGGGCAGATTTTGAGGTCAGGAGTTTGAGACTAGACTGAGCAACATGGTGAAACTGCATCTCTACTAAAAATACTAAAACTAGCCAGGTGTGGTGGTGTGCGCCAGTAGTTCCAGCTTCTCATGAGGCTGAGGCAGAAGAATCACTTGACCTCAATAGGTGGAATTTCCAGTGAGTTGAGATCTCACCAATGCACTCCAGCATGGGTGAAACAGTGAGATTCTGCCACACACACACACACACACACACACACACACACACAAAATATGTATATTTATACTTATATGTATTTATACATCTATATATACACATTTATACATATATAAAAGTGTGTGTGTGTGTGTGTGTGTGTGTGTATGTATATATATATATATATATGTTCCAAGGGAATGGATGCTAAAGATGATCTGTTAGCAATCTAGAAAGAGACATAAGGATAAAAACATCCTTTTAGTCTCCTTCTTTTCAGTATATGATCCGGAATGGAGACTAGTATTGTAGGGGGCATTCTGTAACTATTTTTCTTTCTTTGCTCCTGAATTTCAGCTCCCATTTAAAAGTGACACCCATGACTGCAGTCATGACACTTTAAGCCATGGCACCAGAGAAACTAAATTTTATGTCTTATTTATGCCGTCCACAGCAGTGTATTCCTCTGTCTTTTATTTCCCTTTTAATTCTTAGAGTGGTGTTGCCTGTATGACTTTCTTAAAAAATGGATTTCTGGAAAAACCATGCAATTAGGCAAGACCCCTTTAGAGATGTGTCTGCTAGATTGAACTCTATATTCTGCTATT
Source organism: Homo sapiens (assembly GCF_000001405.40). NCBI lineage: Eukaryota > Metazoa > Chordata > Mammalia > Primates > Hominidae > Homo > Homo sapiens. The sequence continues at coordinate 18,704,040 of NC_000024.10, forward strand.
GTGGCCAGTACTAAAGCTTTCACCCATAGTGAAATGGTTCCCATTAACTTCTGGACTTAAAGTCCTCTTACTAATTAAATCCTATCTTAATAGGAGAGATAATAGATGCTTTAAAGGAATATAGAAACCTAATTGAGGATTATTTTCCTGCCAGTGGGACACTATAGAGACTAAAATTGGTCTTCAGAAAACATCTTACTCCTAATTGCTAAAGGTAGAAAGTGCCCATCTCAGAAGAGGGCACTTAATGCTAACAGTGTAAAAGAAAGCTTTGGAGATGTATTGGAAAAACAGGAACAAAGTGTGCTTCTTAGAGGATTTCCACTCTCAGTAGGTGGCAATGTTGGCTTAGAAATGCTATGTCCTCACCAGAGAAGTGGTAGCAAGTAATCTCACCACAGATGAAAAGGGGAAATCTCTTTTCCTAGGCTGTAATAATCCCTGCCCATTTCATGCAGAGAAGGAGCGAGAGGCTGGAGATGGAGAAGAAGACTTTTGCAAAAGGATAGTTAATTATTCTCTGCAAACACCCTGAATGGGCTGTTGGAGGCTGCATCCAGACCATAGGCCTCTGAATTATGCCAGGGTGTGCCCTGGCCAGAAATTCAATGCCCATGTGTAATGTAGTTTTTCTGCATGTTCTCTCCAGCAAGTCTCACATACAAGTTTTTTTTATGGCAGTCAGCGCTAACTGTATGTACTAGGCTGATGGATTCCCATTGATTTATTGGATTTATTTTAATATAGAAGCTCAGAGAACCTCAGAATGATAGAACAGGTTTTAATCTTGCTTGCATACTCACCACCCGGACAAAGACTGTACCTTGGATTCCCGGCCAATGCACCAAAATGATTCAGCTCTGATGAGTGGAGAAAGAGTAGGGCTTTTGTATGCTGCTAATTGGGTCAAACAACACAGACACACTTGGAATAGTTTTAAGAAGCAGAGAGTTTAATAGGCGAGAAAGAAGGAAGAAGAAAGTAGGAAGAAGCTTCCCTATACAGCTGAGAGAGGAAACCCCAAGTGAGGCAGGAAACCAGCCAGTTACATGAGGAGACTGGAGGAGGTGGTGCCTGACTTGCATAGGCTCAGGGGATTGGTTTGATCAGGAATGTCACTCACACAGCCCCTAAAAAACTGGCCCTCCCACATTACATTTGTAATATGAAGATGCAGGGTGCCATGATGTTCTGCATACATGAGGATATGTGGGGGCAGCCATGTGGCCAGGCACATGAGGGGGTAAGTCAAGGAAAGAGGGTAGGAAGCCATGTTTTGGTGGACCCAGTTTCTAATGGCGGGCAATTGCATATCAAATTTTGCCTGCCAGACTCCAAGAGCCAGGGCTTTGCTGCTAGACAAGAAACTTTTCTGGAGCTGCTTTAAATGAGACAAAAACGTTCCAAGAATGCTAGGTTTTCTCTATCTGCTTAAAATGATTTCTTAATAACTCGTATGACTCCATATTATTGCAGTGAATTTTTAAATTTTATACCATATGTAAATATTCAACTTTTATATAGTTAAATTGATAAATACTTATGATTATTCCTGTCATGTTTTGTAGCATATTTGGACTGGCCTTTCCTCAGATTTATTCTTAGAAGCTATGACTGGACACAGTGGCTCATGCTTGTGATCCCAGCATTTTGTGAGGCCCAGGCAGTAGCATCACTTGAGGTCATGCGTTTGAGACAAACCTGCACAACATAGAAAGACCCTGTCTCTATAAAAACTAAAATTAGCTTTATGTGGTGGGTGGTGGTAGGTGCCTCTAGTCCAGCTACTTGGAAGGCTGAAGTGAGAGGATTGCTTGAGCTCAGCAGTTTGAGGCTTTCATGAGCCATGATTACACCGCTGCACTCCAGCCTTCGTGAGAGAGCAAGATTCTGTCTCTACAAAAAGGAACGATATATGATGTATAAAATGATATTTTCATATAACTAAGATTGTGTATACAGTGACTGCACAGTGGCTGAAAGCTCTGAGGAAAAAAAAAACCTGAATGCATTTTTTTTTAGGTTTCTATAAACCTAAATCATCAACAAGCTAAAATATCATCAAGTTAAAAATAGTTGTAAAAAATTGGCAGATTATCATCAAGCTAAGAAGAGTTGTAACATGGAAATGCAGACAAGTTCGACATTTATGAGAGATTCTCTAGGTAATTATACTCTTCCTTTCTTAATTTCAATTCTGTTGTTTTCATTTTGAATGAAGGAAGTTACCTGATTTACCAAATTGTGTGGTTCCTTCTTGAACTAGGGGGACGCAACCTGCAAGCAACAAGGGAATTTACTTTTTCTGGAATCATCCTGGGAGGCCAGGAAGTGCTCTCCAGTGTCATTTCCTGGCCTCTTGCATGCCAGGGCTACATTGGCCAAAGCATGCAGCCATTCAAAGGCCCTGTTTGTTGAGTTTTACCTCTCTTAACTGGAAGGTCCTTCCTCATGTCTTGTTTTAACTTTATAGCCACCAAGGTACAAGATTATAGACTATTTTTTTTCAGAGCAGTAGAGAAGTCATTGACTCATTGCTTCATATTCTACTTGAGGAAATCAAGGTCCTCAGAGGGAGAGCAAATTGAAAACATTCAGTCTGCCTCAGAGTAGCCAGTGAAGTCCAATTTCTACCATCCATTCTCTAGAGCTTTTTGTACTAGAAGGCCGGTCGAAAATACCATCCTGCCTTTTGGTTTCATGCTCAATAGAGACGGGAGAAAGTTGTTTAAACTGATGTGCTTAATTAATGTTTGACCTTCCTTATTCTAAAATAGTAATGGTAACATGTTAGAAGATAAATTGAAATTTGTATTACATGACTAGGCCTTAAATTAAGTGTGGGTTTAATTCCATTAGAAACATATTACTGATAATTATGAAGCAGTGCGGTCCAACAGTTGAACCATATATATAATGTTCAGTTTTCTAGTAGTCACACTGAAAACAGTAAAAAGAATTAGGTAAAATTAGCTGTAAGATATTTAATCCCATACATCTAAAATATGATTTCAACATGTGTTTAATAAAAAAAAAAAATACGAATGAGATAATTCACTTTCCTTTTTTTTTTCACTTAGTTTTGAAATCTCTTTGTTTTTTTTTTTTTTTTTTTTTCATTTAAGGCACATCTCAGTTCAGACTGGTCACCTTTCCACTGTCAATGGATGCATGTGGCTGGAGAGTCCTTCTTTACTTAAAGAAGTAGGTAAAATTAGCTTTAAGATATTTAATCCCATACATCTAAAATATGATTTCGACATGTGTTTAATAAAAAAAAGTACGAATGAGATAATTCACTTTCTTTTTTTTTTTTTTTTTTTTTTCAGTTAGTTTTGAAATCTCTTTGTTTTTTTTCATTTAAGGCATATCTCAGTTCAGACTGACCACCTTTCCAGTGTCAATGGCTGCATGTGGCTGGAGAGTCCTTTATTGGAAAGCATTTGAAAAATACAGAAAAGTAGATGGAAAAATATGTCTAAAGTCATACCTACCAGGGAGAAACACTATCAATGTTATCGTCTACTTCTGGGCCATGAGGAAGCCTCCAATACTCCAGTCCCCCGGACCTGCCTTTTCAACACTTATTCGGTCTCTCTCTTTCTATCAGCTTTGTCGCCGCTAGACTCAGGGTACCTGCTGGGTGGTGTGGGGGTGGTTTCCCCAACAGTCTTCTAAAGTCTTAATCTTTGGTATATCAAAAACAACCTAGAAATTTTAATAATGGGATACTCTACCATTCTGCACATTATTTTTATTTATGTTGACATTTGTTTATGACTTTTGAGTGAGTCCTACAAATACAGTGAGTGAGATAAAACTAAAGATGAAGTAAATGTAATGTACTTGGACAGAGCATTAATGTTGAGCCTGGATGTGAAGAGAGTATTTGTTACACTTATTGGAGTGTAATAGTTAAAATTTTTAAATTTTTGTGATCAATTTGCAGGTAAACTTTTGTTAAGCTGCTGAGATAGCAAAAATTAAAATAGAGCAAAAAGAAAGTATGGAAAGAATGTAGCTGTGTTCAGGAAATATTTTGAGAAGGCTTGTCAATCAGCGGCTGAAGCCATCATTTTTTGGGAAAAGAGTATCCTTGAGAGAATTCAAAACACCAAGAGGTGGTATTTACAAATATTTTACTGTGTAACTATTTCCTGCAGCTATTAGTAGGTTGGTTCAAGATCCAGGAATGAGATGATACAATTGAGCTAACAAGGTCCCAGAAAAGCAATAGGAATTGTGGTAAAGAGTGCAAAGAAAAAGAAGGGTGGCCCTTGAAATATGTACACAGATTTGCTTCCTCTGGGACAAGTGGAAAAGGAAGAGTGTCAGAGGTGAACAGTCAAGTTGGGATTAAGAGAAACACACCCTAAATAAGCTCCCATCTTCTCAGGCAGATTAGAGCATTAGATCATGGGTTTTAGGAGCAGCTTAGAGGTACAGAGTAGCTCATGGGAGTAACAGAAGAACAGCTCTTTAAAACAGAGAGGACTGATCACTTGTATTGAGGGCCCAGCTGTAGTTGAGGGAGCCTGAAATTAAATGAGACCAAACCATGTGCTTGTAGGTGAGTTTATTTTTTATTTTTATTTTTTGGCAGGTCTGGGGAGAAATTGTAAGCATCTGTCTCTTCTGCACTTTTCAGTGAGGCTGGAAAGATGGAGATGTTGAAGGACTGGAGCTTTGCAGAGCCTAACTTACTTGATGTGAGAATGGCAGCCTATTTAACTGCAGATTCTGGGCTTATCTTGCATGGTGAAGGGAAGCAGAGGAGAGGGCAAGTAACTGCTACACCATGGAGAAAGTGAGGGTTAAGTAGCTGTCTCAGGGATCAAGAACTAGATCCAAAGAGACTGGCAGGTGGAATTATAACAATTGTCCAAGAGTAGAGAATTGCAGGACTAGGTTTCAGGTGGAAACTGGAAACAAAATGCACTGTGCTGCCATTGGATGGAGCCATGGAAATGAGGAGAGTTCAAGGTCTCTGGGGTAAAGGAGTCATCAGGGCTGCAATTGTCATCCATGTGGCCTTTTGATCTGGTCATCCCGGGAGTAAACGGACAAGAGAAGGTGAGGATGAGCAGTGGCAGGGATTCTATGTTGGCAAGTGGGAGTGAATCTTTTTTTTCTTAAGAAAGCATATTCTGTTTCTGAGGGTATGTCTTAGACCACACTGGATTTACAGCAGTATTTTTGGCCTACATCGTGAACTGCTTCTCCCAGATGTCAAAAGTAGCAAGGCTTTACCCTAGCATCAAGTCTTGCTTGGGGCTTCTCAATGAGACCTAGTCATTTAATGCAAGGGCGCACCCTCTACAAATCTGTATAACATTCCTGGGAATTGGGCTTGCTCCAGCTATAAAAATGAGTTTTGGAAGCACAGTTTTTTGAGATGTTTGGATTGTGTTTAGACTAATAAATTCATCTGCAAGATAGGTGACTGACTAGATTCCTGTTTATTTAACTGTGAGTATCTGAAGGCTTTGAGGAAGATTGTCATCCTCATACAAACCACCATGGCTGTATTTCCTCACCTGGAATGTCGATCCTTTTCTCTTATTGATGAAAGCATACTGTCTTTCAAGACACAGCTGGACAGTCACTTCGTTGATACCTTCCCTGACTCCCACTGAGCGAATCTTTTGGATTTCATTCCTGCGTGCAGTGTTTATTTACCTCACTTATGAAATAATCATGTCTTATTGTGATTGTTTCTCCCTGACTAAATTGTGAGGTCTTTAGAGATGGGGACTGTATCTGGCTACATTTGTATATCCATCTTCCTGTATGCTGCTTGATATGTGTTAGGTAGTTAGTAAACTCTTGGTCTGTGAAAACATAAATGGAAAGATAGTGCATTCATTTAGGATTTCACATAAGCTTGCTAACTCTGAGTCAGAATGTCCCATGAACTGAAACATTCAGACAGCACCGCCACTAAAAACTATGCAATTATATTCTCTTTGAGCTTTATTGCTGATTGCACATTTTGTTCAATGGTTCTTCCTGAATAACTTAGAAAGTTTTAGTTAATGGGGCGAGGTATGGTGGCTTATGCCTGTAGTCCCAGCACTTGACAGGCCAAGGTGGGCATATCATTTGAATCCAGAGTTTCAGAGCCATCTGGGCAGCATGACAAAATCCCATCTCTGCAAAAAAATTAGCTGGACTTCTTGGTGTGTGCTTGTAGTCCCAGCTACTTGGGAGGCTGAGATAGGAGGGTACCTTGAGCCCAGGAGGCAGTGGTTGCAGTGAGTCAAGACCACACAGATGCACTAAAGGCTAGGCCGCAGGACAGGGTACTGTCAATTTTTTTTTTTATAAAGGCCTGAGAATTGTTAAAGCATTAAGTAGCATATATTACATAAGGGATGTTAAGAACATATGAAAGTACAGTTTAACAGAAAGTAGGAGAGTCAATTTATATGCAGCTAGAACATCTAGTTGACTAAATTTTGAAACTTTGCTTTCCAACAGATTGAAAAGATTCAAACTCTGAGGTTGGATTTTTTTTTTTTTTTTTTTTTTTTTCTGTTACCGAGGCTGGACTGCAGTGGTAATCATCAGAGCACCAGAACCTTTGCCTCCCAGGTTCAGGTGATTCTCCTGTCTCAGCCTCCTGAGTAGCAGAAAGTACAGGTGCCCTTCATGATGCCAGGCCAATTTTTGCATTTTGTTACCGATGTGGTTTTACAGTGTTAGCCAGGCTGACCTTGAACTCCTGACCTCAGGTGATCTGACTGCATTGGCCTCGCAAAGTGCTAAGATTACAGTTGTGAGCCACAGTAACCAGCCAAGTTGGATTCTCTTGAAATTGAAATTGTTGCTTTGTGGAATTTATGAAACAGTATATTTGTTTACACCCATTTGGCTTTCATCAGTTTTCTTGCTAAAAGTTAATGATTTTCTATGTAGATTGAAATAAAGAGAATTTATGGCCACAGGCAAATTTAAGTAAAAGCCATGGATTTACTAAGAGGAAGAGAAGCAGTGATGAAGCAGAGGGTTGAAGCTTTTGAATTTTAAGTATGCATGTTTAATTTTCAAATTCAGAATTATGAGAGTACAAAAATTACTCTATATGTCAAAATATTCTAGTGTTTATTGCCAAGTAGAGTTCTTGTTTATAAAGGTCATAGCACCTAGAATTAGAAAGTAGAAATTAAGAAGAACAAACACTAGGCTTTTGCTTTTGAAATATTAAACATTAAAATGAAAAAGAGAATGAGATTCTATCACAAGCTTACAGTAAGACCAGACAGAATATTTGGAGAGGCTATTAATACTTGAACAGATCATACATTTTGCTGTTAACTTCAGTCCTTCAGGTCTGATAGTTTTATGTGTTTATGTAGAGCAACTGAGTTCCACATTTCTACACCTGCAGCTTTTACCAGCTCTGTGCTCAACAGAGAAAGTATGGTAGTCTGACTTTACCTGCACTGGGTGAACCTGTTTCTCTTGTGTTATTCACTTGTTCTAAGTGCTGACAAATATTTCATTCTTCAGATCTTACCTGGGATTGACAGCAAGCGCATCTGTCTATAGTTTGTGCAATAAGCCTTATTTTCCACTGGGAATGTTTTCTTAATTGGCACCCATAGATACTCCAGGAATCTTACTTCATTAAAGAATATGCCTCCATCTTCTTTAATGTTGTTTTTGCACTTCTATAGATTTGATTTGTTGGATGACAACCTCTGCCTGCCTTAGTCTCCTTTTGGCAATAATGAAAAGGTAAACTAATCGAGAGAGAGAGAGAGAAAAATAAGGAACAACATTTTGGCAGAGAGAGTTTATCACTTCCCTACCTCAATTTTCTCCACTCCTGTTTTCTCTCTCTCAGGATATATACAAAATAAATGTCGTTTTTACCTTTCCACAGCTTTCCAGATTACCAGCAGAGGGAGCTAATACCTAGAGCCTTTAACTTTCCTTAGACCAGTCAGTGTTTTGTAGGACTTCTCAGAATGGCTGCATCTCAACCACTGTGAACCCACCTCCCTGGCTTGGGAATTGGTGCTATGGTTAATCTCATGTCTCGCTATAAAGACCGTTCTACTCTTAAGTATTTGGAAGCCCATATTGATTCATCTATCTTTTGCCCTCTCTTTGGGTACTTTTCCCACGTTTAATCAACAGTTTTTGTTTTCTAGGTTTTTGTTGTTTGTTTGTTTGATTTTAAGAGACAGGGCTTTGCTATGTTGTCCAGGTTAGTCTCAAATTCTTGGGCTCAAGTGACCCTCCTGCCTCAGCCTTCTGAAAAGCTGGGATTTTAGGTGCTGGCCACCACACTTGGCTACCTCTGATAGATTATTAAATGACAAAAGTAAATATTCTCACTGAAATATCTATGCGATAATTAATTAAAGCCCACAGTTAGAAAGAACATTATAAGAAATCAAGCAGGTGAATCCACTTTTGTCCCTTTGTAACTAATAGGATTATTCTTTCATCCCACAATTGATTTTGGCCATCACTCACCTACAACTATTGTTTTAAGTTTTAATTGTCTTCTATAGGAAATCACTTCCCACTAGAGAAGATCACACTCCCCTCCGTCAGATACCACAGCTCTGTGGCTCTGCTAGTTTCAATACACTGTAAGTAGATTAGTTCATACACTGAGGACTTCTAGCTCTTTCTTCTGCTTCCCAGCAGGAATAGTCATGTAGCAGTTTTAGTCTGTTGAATCAAAAACACTGGATTTTTTTTCTAAATTTGTTATCTCAGCTATTGTAGCTTATTTAGTTTTTATACCTTTCCTATATTCAGAACCCAGAAGCCCCAGGAAGAAAAACATAACACCATGACTGAGGCACTTAGAAGGCAGGAGCGAATATAAGGAGTCTTGAGGAGACCTATGACCAAACTGCTGAAGTACATGTTTGACTGTTTTGAAGAAGAAATATGTTTAAAATAAGTTAGTGTAAACATAACAAAAACTGAGGAAGTAGTCTATGAATCACATTCTATGCAAACTTTAGTGTTTGAAAAAAATACATATTTTATTTTCATCAATACCCAATAATTACCTGTGTTTGAGATAAGGTACCTTTTAAAAGATAAGGTGCAAAGAAGCAAATCCTCTGCTTTTCTTACTCATGGCTTCTCTAACATTTATTGAGGTCTGTGATTTACTATAATTTTCAGGGTACCTTGTTACTTGCTCAGCTTGCCTACTCGATAAGCTGTAAAACTGGGTTTATAATCACTTTTAGTGACTTTTTTTTTTGTCTACTCCACTCATACTGCCACAAAGATGGATATCTAACAATATAGAAATTATATCAATGGTCACAGTATTTTTCAGTGAACATGTGCCTTTAATTCCTTCACAATTCTGCAAAGCAGGAATGAAAATAAAAGGGCTAAAATTAACTATGTGAGGCAAATGTGATAAAGGGAAAGGAGAATAACAGCAGTTACAGATTCTTTGGCTTTTCTGTGCACTAAGTTTTGTGTATCAGTGGATAATATCACAGGGGTAAGACATTGTGCCCATGTGGTAACGTTTCAGTGGGTGGAAAAGGATCTGGCACATAAAATGTGCCCAGTTAATATTTGTTGTAAATGTGCCACGAGGAAATGATGCAACAAAGGTTTTGGGGGCATTTATTTGGCCTGTTTTTATTGCCTTCCTCATGATTTGACATTGATATTTTATTACATAGTAGGTGCAAAAGTTTCTTGAGGTTGTTATTTAAACAAATTCTATTTTTAAAAAATATAGCAGCTTTTAAAATCGATTTTTAAATGAGGCGTTTTACCCACATCTTCTATGTCAATTCCTCTGCTAGAACAAATAACGTGGAAGTTGCTGTAGTTACCACATATTTAGAAATAAATAAACCAAAGTATGTGCGTTAATTTTATGTAGTTATGGAGCTAGTCAACTATTTGGTAGCATTGTGACAGCTTCCACGGGCTGTGTGGTGTCTGTCTGGCTTTAGGAATCTGCATATGATTTTGGCAAGTGTTAGAGTTTGGAGGCTGATCCCCATAAGAATGTTTCTTTTTCCTTTTGGAACCAAAAGGGCAGATTGTAACAGCTGGGAAAGAGAAGTGAAACTGCAAAAGTGTGTCTTTGGGTGTTGCTAATTCAGATTTGATGCTGTTGACACTTGCCTCTCAGGACTGTTCTTAGTCCCTTGGCACAAAAATTCATACATTGGTTGAGGGTGTGCAGATATTACAGGAGGACTGGAAGTGTTTGTCTAATTATCATTTACAATTGAGTCTATTGTATGCCGTGTAAATTTAATTTTCTTTGCTTTTTGTGTCAGATGAGACCAACTGAAAAGTGATTACTTCAGTAACCTTGTGACAACACGACCCTTTATTTTGTGTGTTTGAGTCTTATAGGATTGAGGTGGGGTTTTAGTGGACATTTTATCTATGGCTTTAGTAATGAGGGACTTTGAAGTTTACACAGTGTCAGGTTAAGTGCTCTCAGATATACCTGTGCCACGCATAAGCTCCTGCATTGATAGTGGGCTTTCTAGAATGATAACTGAGAAACTCATTCGGATTCTCAGGTGACAACTTGAGCTAAAGGATGACTATATCATTAGTACTAATCGACTAATTGAAGGTGAAAGGAAGAAATAATTATTGTTTTTTGAAACAGATTTAACCAATATATGAAATTTTAGTGATAAATAATTTATCCTAGGTCATCTGCTAGAGACGCTTGGATTTCTATTTGTATGGCTAAGAGGATGATGGCTGGAGTAAATTAAGTAATATTTATTTTCAATCAATGTCACACAGAAAAATGCAGATAGTGCCTTGGGTCCTGAAGTCCTGCTTCAAACCTATTTGTGTGTCTAGTTGCTTGTGTGCTTTTGGGCAGATTCTGTGACTCAGATTCTTGAGCTGTAAACTCTAGGAAGTTTTCCAAATTTTAGGGCTGTTGAGGAAATGTAGTGAGCTAATTGACATGCCTAGGTCATAGCAGGTGGTCAACACTATTATTTTCTACACGCAGCCTGTTCACTCTTTCCATCAGCAACAGGAAAAAATTCTGTCATTACATTTTTGTCTTACAGATTAAAACAAAATACGGGGCATTTTTCACATGCCATTGCTTCTTTACTTTTGTCTTCATCGTGTGCTTGCTGTTGGAAGTTAGAACATCAGGTACTTACAAAATATTTTGTATATAAAATTTATTTTTGCAACTTTGACATATGTGAGAACTTTGTAGACTTTCATACTCAAATATGAGCTATAGTATATTAAGAAAATGGAGGCACTTCACATGTTCAGATTTTATTTTATTTTCTCTCTTACAAGGTAGTGTTATTCTGTCACCCAGGCTAGAGTGTACTGGCATGATCTCAGCTCACTGAAACCTCCACATCCTGGCTTCAAGCGATTCTTGTGTCTCATTCTCCCAAGTAGCTTGGATTACAGTCGTGTGTCACGACGCCAGGTAATTTTTGTACTCCCCCCAACCCTGCCTGGAGATGAAGTTTCATTGTGTCACCTAGGCTGGAGTGTAATGGCATGGTCTCAGCTCACTGCAAACTCTGCCTTTTGGTTTCAAGTGATTCTCCTGATTCAGCCTCTCAAGTAGCTGAGATCACAGGTGCCTGAGGCCATGCCCAGGTAATTTTTGTATTTTTAGTAGAGATGGAATTTCACCATGTTGTTGTCCAAGATGCCCTCGAATTTCTGACCTCAAGTGATTTGCATGCCTCAGCCTCTCAAAGTGCAGGATTTACAGGCACGAGCCACCAGGCATGGCTATCTTTTCAGTAGAGATGGGGCTTTGCCATGTTGCCCAGGCTCATCTCAAACTGCTGAGCTCAGCCAATTCTCCCACCTCAGACTCTGAAATCACTTGGATTACAGGTGTTGACCACCATGCCTGGCCATTTTTACCTTACCTTTTCATATTCAAAAAATATATATTGCTATAATGTGTGATTGTTGCTGGTTTCTTGGTTGACTCTGAAAAATGGGGTGATAATCTTAGAAGGACTTGATTCATGGGATATGTTCTATAAGTTTCCTCTGTGTCAACTCTGGGGCAGAAGATAATTTTTGTTAGCGTAGTTATTGCAGACATTCAGACATCTCTTTAGTGACCTTAATTAAATTTTGACGCTATGCCTAAAGGAGCATACCAGATTTTCATTTTGCAGCACTGTAAAGTCATTATTCAATTGTAAATATTCCTTTTTAAATTCCAGGTTGAGTTAGAGTGTGTCAAAACCCAGTCTTGCCAATAACAAAACAAAACCTTATGCTGAATGAAAAGGCTAAAAGGATGAGTAATTATTCACTACTTAAAAGAGAGTAGAAATGAAAACTTGCATGTCCTAAACCATATATCTTTCTTCCTGATTTCCATGTTTTAGTAATTTATATTCAGGCAGTATTATAAAACTATGCTTTGTACTTGTAAGGGGAAAGTTAAATTTGAAGGATTTATGATCCTTGGATTAAACTCTGCAAACATGCCTGTAGGTGGTTTCAAGGTATCCCTTGCCCTCTGCTTGCTGATTGGGTTTGGCCGGTGAGGACTACAGACTCCACATACACTGGCCGAAGACTGGCCATTGTACCTCACAGCCAAGCGAGGTCATGGTGCCTGTGATGACCTCTTCCCAGTGTTCTGCACCACCTCTCTCCCTCCAGCGCTGAGAATTGCACCCTCCTCTGATTCTCCAGGCACAAGGAGTGCTAATACAGTGGCCCTGTTACTATCTCAGTGAGCTTTGCCATCATTTGTGGGCATGCTGCAAAAGTCACCCTTTATTAAAGCATCCTTAGATGACTTTGACTGTGGGAACCATCTGCTTTCTGCCTGGATCCCAACTGCTGCTGACAGATGCACAGATTATGTTGAATCTTGGGGATGTCATCAACAGGGAGATCAGATAGAGAGCTCCTTCTGTGCATGGTAGAGGAGAGAAACAACCTTTTAGGTTAATTTGAGGATTTGAAAAGGGTCTTTTACATGGAGTAGGACTCCAAGAGTAATCACGTTTACATTAAAATGCACCAAATTCTTTTGTTCTGAAATGTGGGTGTCAGGATTACGCTGAGCTCATTAAATAGAATTAATATTATATTTATTGCATGAGTACAAAGAAAAGAAACAACAATGTAAAACCCCTTTAAATGTTTTTGTTAAATGAAATAAGAAAACTTAAGGTAGATAATGACTAGGATTTCTTTTGAACTTCTTAGGTCTAGATCAGCTGGCTCATGAAATTGTGGTATTTCAGAAAGAACTGCAGAAAGCAGAAAATGCTATCATAGCTGAGCATGAGGAGTTCAAGAACCACAGGCCAGCTCTGCAATACAACTGCAACATGCAGTGAGTATTGCTCCTTGCCGGTCCCACTATGATACCAGTACACTTCATCAATATGTAAACTTGGCCCAAGTCACACCTGTGCAAATCAGATTTATTTTTACATCAAACATTACTCCCCCAAATATAACAAAGGTACTGTTTGTCATCTCAGAAAATTCTCTAGTGATAATATGATCTTATATTCATAATAGTAATAACATGGAGAAGAAAGCAAACACACCTAAACGTAAAATTTTCAGAGTGCCTGATTGTATCCACTGTTTTCCCTTGATTCTCACCCTGAGGATTTCAAACATTCACTGTGTCTTCTGTCCACATGCTCTAGAATTTTTTGATATGACCGAAAATGATGATGAAACCTGTGAAACACGCCTCATTTGTGTTCTGTTTGTCATTTTAAAAATAGGGACCCTGTTGTTTACTGGCATAAATCTTCCCAAATAAAGATTACAAAAGGATGAGAAAACTTTTCCTTTTGAAGCAAGCTGTGATTTGTTTTAAAATAATTTATTTTCCTACTCTGAATCTTGTCATATTGTGCATTCTGCCTGGCTGAAGGCCCAGATACTAGATTACGAAGCTTCCATGACAAAGTTAACTATTCATGTGGCTGATTTAAAATTGCAACTGAAGCAAACTCAGACGGGTTAGAGACATTTTAAACCCATGAATATGTTTTCTTTCTGTAAAGCTTCTGATGCTTGTGAAAATGTAATGATCCCAATTTATTGAACATTAAGTAATTATTTTGTTAGAGGAAAAGCCACAGAAATATGTGTCATCTTAGAAGTAAAACTCCCTATCCAGTTTGGTAATACCATCTGGACCATCAACAAAAGTGACTTGTTTCATAGGTGCCTCATGGCTCAGGAGAACGTCATGTCCCTAATGGGAAAGCTGTGGTGGTGATATAGAAGTCTCCAAGTTTATCTTAGAATTTTGTTTTCTGTTTGTTACCCCAATGTTAACACCAGTTCAGTAGTTTTACAGATTCCTTCATAGACAGATGTGCACTCATAGGAGGAGAAGGGTTATTTAGCAAAGAGAACGTTGCCCTCAGAATCAGAGAACTGTTCTTCTTTTGGACCCCAGTTTTGAAGTTAGTTGTTTGATCTTGGACATGTTAACTTAACTTCCTTGGGCCTCTGTTTCCTCATTTGCAAGGGGAAATTTATGCCTATTGAGCCATAATGAAAATGATGACATGAGGTGGGTTTCAATGCAGTGTCTGGGACATAAGAAAATACTCAATAAATGGTGATTTGCTATGATTTTATTATTGTGTCTTCACTGGGGATACATCTCTGCCACTTCCTACTTCATAAGAAGGATGTTGAAGCTTAGATGCTTTCTTCTTCAGTTGCTTTCAAGCTCAAAGAAAGTGTGTATGTGTTACCAGTTCAACTGTATTCTCACACTTATTCTGAGCCTTCCTTGTTCCTATTTGCAATCTTTCCTCATAAGTCCCTTGCTCTCTTCTGCAAGAGCTTGACTGATTCTTAACTCTTTACTCATTTCTACTCATTTCTGTACTTCATTTTTTTGTCAGTTCTGTCTGTGAAACTTCTCACAGCTGAAACCACAGTCTCATGTTAAAAGCAGTTGAATGAGAATACAACGTTTGCATGCATGTGCACTGCTGAGGGCAGGCTTCTTTCTAATAGCATCGTAGGAAGGCATTGCAGGAGAGTGAGATGCATGTACTGGCTTTGCCTTAGGGAAGTCCAGTAGCTATTGGACCTGCTAAATGTGTAACTCAGCCTCAGTAAACTTTAGATCCCATCTATGAAATGGGAGCTGTGAGAGTTCCCTGAACACAGTGTTGTTGTGGAGGCAGATTCTTACCTCCTTGCCTGAAACTCATTCCATATGCTGTGGATTTCATAGCATAGGAAATCCACAGCATGCAAGTTCTGAAGCGCCTGCTGTAGTGAAATGCATTAATTATTTTCCAGTCAACTGTATGAATATTCATGCTGGGATAAATAAGGATACTAAATGGGTTCACATCAGTTCAGGTCAAACTTTTCATTTTGTTTTATTTTTTTGATTTTTGAGATGGAGTCTCATTCTTTCACCCAGGCTGGAGTGCAACGGTGCTATCTTGGCTCACTGAAAGCTCTGCCTCCTGGGTTCATGCCATTCTCCTGCCTCAGCCTCCCAAGAAGCTGGGACCACAAGTGCCTGCCACCATGCCTGGTTAATGTTTTGTATTTTTAGTAGAAGACAGGGTTTCACTGTGTTTGCCAGGATGGTCTCGACCTCCTGACCTTGCGATCCATCCACCTTGGCCTCCCAAAGTGCTGGGATTACAGGCATGAGCCATCACGCCCGGCCAGGTCAAACTTTTCAACCAAATGAGTTCAAGTCTGGCTACGCTTTGCCACCACATGAGTTATGAATACATTTTTGGTTTTCAGAGCTTTTGTGATGTGCCAATTGTTCATAATGGATTCTGAAATTATACCAGGTTACAAAAGACATATGAAGCTGTAGTTGGTACAATAAGCCCTCAATAAGTGTTAGTCGTTGTTACTACCATGGCTTCAGAAACTGTTTAATGTGCAAGTTTGTCCTTATTATTGCTCTCTTCAATTTTTCAAAAAAAAAAAAAAAATGATATTCTCAAGTATATGAATTTTCTTTTCTTCCTTGTCCACTGACATCTGAAATTACCTTTTTGTACTCTGCAGACGTAGAGAATAAAGTATACTCCAATCCAAAACAGTCTCTGAACAATCATTCTGTCAGTGGATTAATAAGTGGCAATATGGTACCCTGCAATGATGTTATACATCAGGCTTTCTTGAACAATTCTTTTAGACAGAAAAGAGTTCTAGCAGGTATGGTTACATCAAGGATCCCAAATTATCCAAATGGAGGTGTAGAAGGTAGTCCTTCCAGTTCTGACCTTGAGTTTGTAGTTAATACTAAGCAAGGGTCAAAGAGCTTAAGCAAGAGTCAAAGAGCTTAAGCAAGAGGCCAGACACTTGGAAGAGCCTTTCAGAAGTTGCCATCAGAGAGTCATTAACATGACTGCCAAAAGCCCACTACCAGCAAAGAGCTCACCATCTCTGCACTTGCTGAAAGCTTTCAAAAACATTACTTCCAGTTCTCCAGAAAGACATATATTTGCAGAGGACAGAGTTGTCTCTGAGCAACCTCAAGTGCAAACACTTAACGAATAAAGGAATGGCACCTTGGAAGCACTCACAGGTAGTGCAGCCTCCAGGCTACACAGGCACACTTCCTCCAGACAACGCTAATCCACACCGTTTCCAAAAGCAAAAAGAAACCTTAAAAGAGAAATGTATCTGGAAGTTTAGCCACCTGGACAAAGCCTTGTGTGCTGCTCTGGAGACGAATAGCTACCCTCCCCTCCCCCTACCCATGATACATTGTTGCTGTGAGGGTCAGCGGGATAGACTGGCTACATACAGTGTTTTCTTAACACACAGAGGTGTTTCAATAGTAATAATTGCCTTTCCTTTGCTACCTGTTGCTTTCACGCATTTTATTATTGCCACTGCAATTAACTTAGGTGCTTGAATCATTAGTTTTGTGGATCTTATGCATCGTTATTTGCTATCTGCAAGGATAACAATTTATTTTCAAACTAATAGAGCTCTTTAGAAACCTGCTGGTATCTTCATGCAATTGGTAATATTCTTGCCTTGGTTCCTTCTGAACCTTAGGCCTGGGCAGATCACATGGTGCTTCCCCCAGGCCTTGTTCTGACAGAATGCCCCAGCAATCACTCACTGAATCAAGGCACAACCTCTCCATCCCTACAGACCAGAAGTTGTGGTAAGCACAACTGCCTGATTGACTAGCTTCAGCTGAATCACGTTACTTACTCTGTCAGCCTTCACTTATTTTGTTCGTTTTTTTTTTTTTTTAGATTAATTTTGCAGACCATTTGGCAGTATAGAAGTTAGAATCAGATTGCAAAATGATGTGTCATCTTTGAGAATCATCTAAATTATGAGGAGAAAAAAAGGATTTTTTTAGCAAATAAGTGGGTAAGGCATATTTGCTAAACTGGACATATAGAACATACAATACGGTATTAATAAGCATCTTCATAGTTCTGTGAATAGACTCAGCTCATTAAGATCAAACACAAATGTACACAATCTGTGAAAGTAAACAAATGGAGGTTATTTCTCCAGTTGGAAGTTGGAACAATTATACACATCAAGAAACAGTCATTTAAAAATATTTTGGCATTGAAATATAAGCAGATAAGTTTTTTGTTTTTGTTTTTTGGTGAGTGAGGGCAGAGTCTCACTCTGTCACCCAGGCTGGAATGCAGTGGAATGACCTTCACTCCCTGAAACCTCTGCCTCTCAAGTTCAAGTGTTTCCCCTGCCTCAGCCTCCCAAGTAGTCTGGATTACTGGTGTGGGCCACCACACTCAGTGAATTTTGGTATATTTAGTTGAAATGGGGCTTCACTGTGTTGTCCAGGCTTGTCTCAAACTCCTGACCTCAGTTAATCTGCCCACCTCTGCCTCCTAAAATGCTGAGATTACAGGTATGAGCCACAGTGCCTGGGCTGGGTAAGGTTCTCACTTCCATATCATTGCAATAAATTCAAACGTGGCAGTGGGATCTGGAGCATGATTATTGAAACAATAGAAGTGAATGTTTTTAGGAACTAGACCAGTGGGTTACCCAGGCTGTGATTTGAGTCATGAGAAGACTTCTAACCATACCTGAGCCCTACAGCACAGAGAACTGACTGTATACTTGCAGGCTGGAGCTTCAGTGTCTGCATGTTGAATATGTTTCTCTTCCAAAAGTGCCAGTGTGGCAAGACGAGGGTTAAATAGAAAAGGAAAAAAAAAATGTCTTCTGCTTAGCCAGCTGATTCCAAGGAAGGTTATAAGACAACACTGTTTCAAAAGAGTTATAAGATAACACTGTTTCAAAAGAGAAGGCCAAAGGAATGGGTTGCAAACAGCCAACTCCAGAGCAAAGTTGAAAAGAAAAATGGATACCAATGCTCTCTCTCCTTCTCTGGACCATTAATTTTGACTATGTTTCCGAATGCTTGTATTTAGTACAATTAAAAGTTACTCTTTTTTGTTTTTCCTTTTTTTGTTTTTTGTTTTTTTGTTAGTTTTTTAACAGCTGCAAGGCCACAAGCTATGCAAGGCTACAAGTTACGGTAAGTCAAATCTTATGCTATAAATTATGTAACCTATCATTGTTTAAGTGGCTTCTTTACTTCTGCTTTTGTAATTTTGCTTATAAATACCCCACTCAGTCTTTGTTCAATGATCAGCCTTTTGGGATATCAGTCCACTGAGCCAGGGCACCTAATTAAATCTTCCTTTTTCCCCATATAGGTCTCTTTGGTCCTCTGCTTCTTGCAACATTATTGACCAGCCAGCTAGGAGAGGAGATGACAGGTTTACTGTCTCCTTTGCCTCTAGGAGCTTAAGCCCTGGGTCTCAGGAGTCCTGAGACCCAGCAGCACCATCGGGAGAAATTCAGCCTGGTTGGGAGATCAGCCCATTTGTGACCCAGTGCCCCTACCCAGCAATGCAATGGTATCTAATGGGCTACAGGATGATTGCAGGAACAGCTCACTTCAGAAACCACAGTAAGGTATTGGGACCCAAGGGATGACCTGTCCCATAAGGACAGAAAAGGAGCCTAATCACCTCCTAGGGCATAACTGGTAATCCGACCAAGAAGGGCTGCAGACAACGAGAGTGTCTCACTAATTCAGAAGAAACTTACAACCCAACCAACAGAGCATGTGAGAGTAGCCTGCTAAGTCAGCTCAGAAGGAAACTGGACGTAGGGAAAGTGGCTCACCACCCCAACTGGGAACATGGGAACTGGTAGCAGGATGGTGTGGGGAAGTGTGTGAATGGAGAGGCCTAACTAGGCTCATCAGCCACGAAGTGAGGAACCACAAGTCTCTTAGTGAAGACTGTACTCCAAGCCAAATGTGTGGCTGACTAAGACTAGTTGTGATCCGCATATGGCTAACGGAAGCTACCTCACAACTACAGCACTTGTGGTGGGCTTAAGAAACTCTCCAAATCTAAGTGATATCTAAAAACCCCCATAATAGGACTAGGTCTAGCTGGTGCAAAACAAAAGTAAAAAGTGAGCACGAGTGTACTGCATCATAACTGGGAGAAAATGGGAAGAGAGTCATCAAAACATATACCATTCAAATATATGCTAAAAAAAAAAAATGAGAAAGGTTTTACGGGGAACTATAAAATTAAGCTAACCCCCCAAAAGTGAAAAACTTTCTGTAACCTAAAATAGCCCTCTTTTGGCGTTAAATAGATGACCCAAAAAGACTACCCAGAGAAACAACTGGAAATGAGTTTGAGGTAATGACAGGGGTCCAAGGACAGCCAGGGCACCCAGGCCAATTTTCTTATATTTACTCATAATTACATATAATACAAACAGGAACAGCATGTACCGAGCCCTGTTTAGCTGCCTACTGATAAACACTTATAGCGCTAGCTGAACCAAAAGTGAAATAAAAGCAGCTTCATCAGCAAACACTCAGTTAAAGGAAAAGTCCTCAGGACAGCAAGAAAAACCAGTTTTACAAAAGCCAGAAGAGGAAAATAAATTTCTCCTGCATATATCACAGCCTACCTCCCTTTGCTGAAGCCAACAGTCCCCCAGGAGCCTGGTTCCATTGCCAGCATTCCCCAAGTTTCACCACAGAGAGAAGAATCGGAGACTTGAGAGGCCAGGGAAGGAAGTCACAATAGTCAACCAGGCTGTCTCAAATCTGGTCATCCTCAAGCTATGCAACTGCCTCTCAGGGAAATATGAGGACTCATCTACTATAATGACCAGCGCCACATCCAGGTTGTGGGGGGCAAGAAGCCTTCCTCTCTCAGCCCTTTTCAACCACCAATCTACTAAATTTAAACCATCACACTCCCTCCTACAGGGAAAAGCCCAAAGCTCTCATAAACCTATTGCAGTCCATCTTTCTATCACACAATCCAACCTGGCTAAATTGCAGGCAACTTCTCTTAATGTTGTTTAATACAAAGGAATGCCAGGGGATAACTCAGGCAGCCCTTCATTGGCTAGAAGCCAATGCATGAGCAAACACAGAAAATGCTCAGGCATATACTCAGGATCAGTTTCCAGAAGCAGGCCTCAACTAAGACCCAGATAACGCAAGCCAGCATCAGTGCCTGCAGAGGTACTGGGAGGCACATTTGCCAGAGACAAAAGCTTGTGGAAAAAAAAGAAATTAATATAAAAAAATTCAAAATGCTTCAGAAAGATAAAAAACCAAGCCAGTTTTATTTAAACAGCTTTGTAAAACAATCTGGTTTTAAACCCCATTTGACACTGAGGCTACTGAAAATTAGCACATGGTAAACACAGCATTTATAAGACAGGCCAAGGGTGACATCCAGCAAAAGCTGCAAATGCTACAGGGTTTTGCAGGCATGAATACATCCCAGTTTATAGGAATGGCTGTCAAAATATATGTTAACTATTACCAGGAAGTAAAAAAAAAAAAAAAAAAAAAAAAAAAAAAAATGTAAATCACAGGCTAAAAAAGAGAGGCCAATCTCTTAGCAGCACTTTCATTAAAAAAAAAAAAAAAAAAAAAAAAAAGTGACCAGGTATATACAAGGACATGGACTTGCATGTGCATGTGAAAGAGGTCAAGTTAGTCCAAAAAGCCAGTTGAGGCTAAAGAGAGAACAATATGTGCGATGGGAAAGAAAAATATTGAAAGAATAAATGTCCAGAAGGGAGTAAAAAATATAATAAGGACTGTTGTATAAAAAAGTCACCAGCTAAAGGCTGCCTCAATGTGGTAAAACCAAATACTAATCTAAATAGGCTGGCTTGCACTAAAGGATATAGCAACTAGGAGAGACCAGGCTCCTTCTTACTACACTTCCACGAGCCCATGGTTACATTAAAAGTTGAAGGCCAGCTGACGGACTTTATGGTAATCACCAGGGGTACACATTCAATAGTCACTCAACCCATAGGGCCGTTATCCAAAAGCAATAAAATTATTATAAAAGCCATGGGAGTCACAGAGAAAAAGCTGTTCTGTCAGTCAAGGAGGTGTGTTATAAAAGGCCAAGAAATCCAACATGAATTCCTATACCTCCTGAATTGTCCAGTTCCTTTGCTAAGAAAAAAATTTACTCCAAAAACTGCAAGCACAAATTGCTTTTCATGTGCAAAAAGTATAACGTTAAATCTGACTCACCCAAAAACCCTGGTGTTAACATTTATCATCCTGCAGGCTAAGAAATGGAAACTTTATACAAAGCAAGTGCAAGCAGCAGATTAGACATGCAGGTGCAATGAAAAAACCATTCTCTCAGTTACTTAATACCACTCCTGGAGTATGGGCTAAAGACACCCCACCTGGGTTAGCTGTAAATCATGCACAGGTGGTAGTCCTGTTAAAACCAAAAGAAACTCTGACTTATGTTTGACAGTACCCAGTCCCCCGAGAGGCTATTCAAGGTGTCTGTAAACATTTAAACCCACTTTACCAACATGAAATCTTTGTTTGATGTCAATTGCCCTAGAACACTCCACTTTGGCCAATATGAAAACCATTGTCAGGACCAGGGTCTAATAAGTATAGACCAGTGTACGACCTGTGTGCCACAAACCGGGCCACAGTGACCATCCATCCAGTGGTACCAAATGCATGTATTTTAATAAATCTCATTCCAGCATTGCTACCTGATTTACAGTCCTAAACTTAAAGAATGTTTTCTGTTATATCTGCTTAGCCCAAGTTAATCAACCTATATTTGCCTTTCAATCAAACAAAAAAGCTATGCAACTCACCTGGACCAGGCTCTCACAAGTTCAAAGACTCACCCCCAATCTTTAGGGAAGCACTGACCTTAAAGCCTACAACCTGCCAAAGGATAACTGTGCCTTGTTGCAGTATGTAGATGATCTTTCTTTAGTAGCACCAATCCAGGAGGGCTGTTATCAAGAAACCCAAGACCTCCTCTATCTCCTATGAAAAACAGGTTACAAATTATCTCAACAAATGGCCCAATTTTTCATAAAAATTTCAAATATATAGGTTTCATTGTAAGCCACGTGGAATGCCACCTTGGCCATAAGTGGAAGCAGGCCATTTGTACACTCCCAACCCCAACCACTAGGCATTAAAGAAAACAAATTCTTAGAAGCAGAAAAATTCCACCATATCTAAATCCCAAATTTCTCACTGATGGCTAAGCCATCATATAAAATTATGAAGGGGGAAAATAAAGAAACCCTCCTCTGGAAAAGGATCATACAGCAAAAAGCATTTAAACAAATTAAAAAAAAAAAAAAAGCCTTAACTCAGGCCCCAGCGTTTGGACTGCCAAACATAACTAAGCCTTTCTTTCTATACATCCATAAGTGAAAAGAAATGGCTTCAGTGTTCTTAACCCAAATTATAAAATTATAGCATTGTCCAGCGGCATACTTAACTAAACAATTAGACTCTGTGGCACTAGGATGGCCTCCTTGCCTTAAGGCATTAGCCACCACTGCCTTGCTAACACAAGAGGCTAACAAACTTAATTTGAGACAGCAGCTAACCGTCCAGGTGCCACACTCAGTCGAAACATCAATGAGCCAAAGAAGGTCCCACTGGTTATCAATTCTGAGAATAATGCAGTACCAAGGGCTTCTGTACGAAAACCCTTACATTACTTAAAAAGCAGTAAACCCCTTAAGCCCAACCACGCTGCTCCTAGTTGAACCTGAAGCTCCCCTCCATAACTGTGTCTAAAAAGTGGATGAAATATTTTCTGGAAAAGGAGACCTTACAGATCAACCCCTCAAAAACTCAGATGTTTAATACTTCATAAATTAAAGTAGTTTTCAGCTAGAAAAATATCCAACAAGCAGGGTATGCAGTGGTAACATTAAACTCAATGGTAGAAGCTCAATCTCTGCCTACTGGAACATGAGCCCAAAAGGCAAAATCAATAGCCCTACCAAGTGCCCTTTTGCTACCAAAAGACAAAAAGCTGAATATTTATACAGACTCTAAATATACTTTTACAACACTACATGTTCATAGAAATGTGTATAAAAAGAAAATCTCTTAACAGCTGGAGGCAAAAAAATAAAGTACTAAGAAAAAATTCTACAGCTCTTAACAGCTGTATAGGCTCCAGAAAAAGTAGTAATAATGCATTATTGGGGGCACCAAAATGCAGGGACATCAAAAGCCAAAGGAAATAGGAAAGTTAACAGGAAGGCAAAACAGGAAGAAATAATTATGCCATAATTTTTAAAAGAACCTTAAATATGCCTCTCATCCCAGAACCTCCACTCCAAAATATCCCAAGTTACACTCCAAATGAGAGGGCCTCGTTTATCAAAAAAACTAGAAAATATATTAACAAAAATTGATAAAAGTTGTATAACAGTAAATTAGCCATTGCGGAAATAATTTTTCAAGCAAATTATACAAAAAACTCATATGTGAAAAATGGCACTAAAAACTTACTGAAATGCCACTTCTGCATGCCAGAACTCACTGCCATCATTCAAGGTGTTTGTGAACAAACTTAACTTATATCTGGGGACCCTGCCCCCAATATTTCAACATAGGTTCTTTTTATATTTCTAAGTGTTGGCCAGCCTGAGAAATAAAGAGAAAGAGTACAAAGAGAGGAATTTTACAGCTGGCCCACTGGGGATAACATCACATACAGGTAGGACCCTGATGCCCACCTGAGCCACAAAACCAGCAGGTTTTTCTAAGGACTTCACAAGGGGAGGCGGGTGTACAAACAGAGAGTAGGTCCCAAAGATCACACTCTTCAAAAAGCAATAGGAGAACAAAGATCACATTCTTCTGAGGCCAATAAAGACCACAAGGCAAAGGGCAAAGCAAGATTACAAGGCAAAAGGAAAAATTAGAATTACTGATGAGGGTCTATGTTCAGCTGTGCACTTATTGTCTTGATAAACATCTTAAACAACAGAAAACAGGGTTTAAGAGCAGAGAAATGGTCTGACCTCAAATTCACCAGGGTGGGGTTTTTCCCCACCCTAGTGAGCCTGAGGTTGCTGCAGGAGACCAGGGCGTATTTCAGTCCTCATCTCAACCGCATGAGACAGACACTCCCAGAGTGGCCATTTATAGACCTCCCCCCAGGAATGCAATTATTTTCCCAGAGGATCAATTATCAATATTCCTTGCTAGTAAAAGAATTTAGTGATATCTGTCATACCTGCACATTTATAGTCCATTTATAGGCTCTCTGCAAGAAGAAAAATATGGCTCTTTTTGCCCAAGCCCACAGGCAGTCAGTCTTTATGGTTGTCTTCCCTTGTTCTCTAAAACTGCTGTTATTTGGTTCGTTTTCAAGGTGCACTGATTTCATCGTTTTCAAACACATATGTTACAATCAATTTATACAGTAGTGGTCCTGAGGTGACATGCATTCTCAGCTTACGAAGAAAACAGGATTAAGAGACTAAAGTAAGACAGCTGTAAGGAATTATAAGAGTACTATTAGGGAACTGATAAATGTCGATGAAATCTTCACAATTTATGTTCTTCTGTCGCAGCTCCAGCCAGTCCCTCCATTCAGGGTCCCTGAATTCCCGAAACAAACTTATGCTCAAAACAACCCAGGGCAAGGGCCTACCCAGCCCCCAGGGATCTAAAAAATAAAAGCTATGCCTTGTAAAAACTTACTTGTAAACTTCACAAAACTGTCCCATGTCAGGTGCTATTGTTTTATACTAGCACTTATTTACACCTTTTCAACATAGGTTAAGGTTTTCCAATGAGGACTGAAAAGGCAAAAAAGTAGTTAAAATACTGTTTAAAAACATTATCCCCAGGTTTAAACTGCCTCTAACTTTGAAGTCAAACAAGAGTTTAGCAATTATAGTTGAAATAATTTAAAATCTAGCAAAGTTGCATAAAATAAAATGAAAGTTACACACAGCCTACCAACAACAAAGTTAAAAAAAAAGAAAACCAAATGCATAAACAAATCACTGAAGCACTTACCAAAAGAAATTATCACAAAAATCAACTATAATAAAATCAAATCCTGCCCATGGTGTTCATCCGAGTCAGGTGCACCCCCACTAAACAAACTAGGTATTCACCCTATAAAATTTTTTTCAATCAGCCACACCAAATCTTAGGTCAAATTAAAAGTAATCTCTGCAAACTAAGGAAATTAATCTTCAAAAAGCAAATGCAGGTTTTAAAAATAGCCATGTGAAGTATTCAGCGTCAGGTACATTAAGAAATGCGTATTAGCCCGACAGGCCCAGCATGCTTCTTTAAACCTAACTACTCTCTTTGGGTTAAAAAATGAAACCCAACTTCTCTAGAACCCATAAGGGATGGGTCCCATTTTGTAATCTTATCCACTCCCACTGCTGTTAAAATTGCAGGAATCATGCCTTAATCGATCCATCATGGTTTGCTGAAACAGGCAGCTAATCATGCAACAAGACAGAGTTGTCACTGAGAACAACAGCCCTGCTCTGGTCCCTCCAAAAGCCGACGAATCCACACAAGACTAAAGATGAAGAAGAGGACAACAAGCCCAGCTCTAATCACACTCCAGAAGATAACTAGTCTACGCACAGCCAAAACTTAAAAACTCATCAGGCAAGTTAAATATAATTAAAAATCTTAAATCTAATTTTCACTGTAATACTAATTATTTTACTGTTATTCTGTCACTATACTCAACCTCCTCCCCTGAGTATGAATCTCTTCTAACCACACTAAACATAAATATGCTACTCATTGCTTTGCTGTTATTTCCCCACTTAACCTTGATAAAAAAAAAAAGTACCCATAAAAGGATTCCCAACTTCTACACATACTACATAGTCCAAAAACAATATGACCAGGCATACTGCTACTGAGTTAATAGCCCTAACTAAATATCAACCTTTGACCAAAGAAGAAAACATGCTTTCCCATAAAGAATAAAATAATACGAATGCCTTCTATTAAATTTCTCCTATAAATGGTATCAAAAAAAAATAGAAAAATGTGACAAGACACGTATGACAAAGAAAAAAAAAAACAAGTATTTTCTCCATCTATCTAGCTCACTTCAAGGACAGTCATAAAATAACAGTGTCTAAAAAGTTGAGGCCAAGTGAATGGGTTGCAAATACCCCTTACTGGAGCAAAGTTGAAATTAAAAGCAAATTACTTTACTGTCTCTCCTTCTTCTGAAGCATTAATTATGACTATGTTTACCAATGCTTGTATTTAGTAAAATTTGTAGGTTCATTTTTCTTTCAACACAGCTGCAAAACCCAGCTATGCAAGGCAAGATGTTATGCAAAGTCAAAAGTTATGCTATAAATTACATAACCTTTCATTGTATAATCAACTGCTTTACTTCTGCTTCTGAAAGTTTGCTTATAAAGAGCCCTGCTCAGTCTTTATTCAATACTCAGCCTTTTTGGTTATAAGTTCGCTGAGCTGGTGCACATAAATAAATCCCCCAGTTTCCCCACATCAACCTCTCTAGTCTGCTGTTTCCAGCAACACCAGTCATGTTTCCAAAGCTTTTTCTTTTTTTGAGACAGAGTCTTGCCCTGTCACCCTGGCTTGAGTGTAGTCTCACCTTACTGCAGCCTCTGCCTCTTGGGTTCAAGCAATTCTCCTGCCTCACCCTATGAGTAACTGGGACTACAGACACGCACCACCATGCTCTGCTAATTTTTGTATTTTTAGTAGAGATGGGTTTTCACCATATTGGCCGGGATGGTCTCAGGCTCCTCACCTTGTGATCTTCCAGCCTCAGCTTCCCAAAGTGCTAGGATTACAGACATGATCCACCACACATGGCCAGGTGTTTTTTTTTTTTTCTTTTTTTGTACTTGTGATAAGCCAAAAGGAAGGATAAAACATACACATATGCTGAGTAGGGCACTCTAATCACTCAAGTTTTTGCTATTGCCACCTCAGCTGGTTCATGCTGGTAATATGCAGAATTTTTTTAGAAATGTTTTATTACTATTGAAAAATGAAACTCCTCGGAATAACATTCAGAGTCCAACATTATTCTTCTTTAACAACTGTATTGCCTACTTCACAGCATAACATAGTTACAGGGAGTAACTGAGTAAACAGGTGTCAATTGCTGAGAAAAATACCTCATTGTGGTGGTGAGGTGGAGTTAATCTTTACAAAAAAAAAAGAGAAAAGGAATTTTTCAGAGCATTTTCTTGAGTAACAGAAGGACTTTTGCCACCTGACGCTCTTGGCTTTTCCATTACTAAAACATCACATTCTTGAATTTTATTCTTCCAATCTAGTCTTTCCCAGAGACAGATTGAACTTCAAGGTAAAAGTGAATTTTCAGATGCGGACAAGCTAACTTCTAAGGATTATGAGTAATTCGACTCATCTTTTAAATGTAAGTTGCAACATAAATACCTGTTTTCATAAGTTGAAGATCTGGAAAGTTTCATTTTGGTGAAGCGTATCTATTGATATAAAAACAAAACAGCAGTTAGAAATTGGATCATTTTTATTCTGTGACAAAACTACAAATACAGCTATATCAGCTCATTTTTCTATCATGAAGTTTTTGTGATTGTGTCTGTTTACTTTTAAAGTATTTCAGCATGACTAATTTTAAAGTTTGAGCTAAGCTCATAAATACATTAACTTATAAGATTTAAAATAAGTGATTTTAAAATATGTATTTCTTCCTTTATATGGAATACAAGGATGTTATTTTTCTTTAAATTAACTGATTCTGTTGATTTCCTCAGATCCAGAAAACCTCATTTTTAGTGAAAGAGTGGAGATAAAAGAATATTAAGAGTCCAGAAACTGGTGTTCTGGCTGTGGCCCTGCCTTAGACTGTCTCACTTTGTAGTCACTTTGTAAGTGTAAAATAAGCATGTAGAGCATATCATCTCTGTGGTTCTTTCCAGCTTGAGAAATCTTTATATTTGTATGTAACCCATTGGTTAGTCTTGTAAAAGTCATCTTCAAATCTGGAAGTATAATATTTTGAAAAGTCAATGAGAGGGCTCCGTAAATTTCGTGAATATCTGTTAAAGTATTTGGGTGAAATCACTGACATTTCAAAAGAATTCAGATTATTGTCAACAAGCCATATGGATTCTTCACTGTCACTGGGTTGACTTTCTTGTTGGGAAATCTAGTTTTGTAAACAAAGTTAATTCTTTTAAGTACAAGAAGACTCTGACAAGCTAATACATTGGCAAGTGGTTATGTTTGGAAATTCACAAAATCCGCTCAGGAAAAAGTCCACCTAGTTACTTTGGCTGCAGTTCCCATGCTCCAGCCAGTTGCCCCCACATGGCACTGTGGCCCTCCCACACTGTCATAAAGCCTGATATGCTATTCAAAACCCAACTGAAATGCCATATCCTCCTTATTTCTGAAGGAGGTTATTGCTAAGGAACGACTCATGGGAAAACCATTTGTGCCTCATGCAGATGCAGGAAACGTGCCCGGGCATCTTGAAATGGATGAGTTCTCTTCTGGAGATATGTCTCATGTGTACGCATATCTGGAGATATGCCTCTTGTGGGTGCTGCTGCAGCTGCTGTGCCCATCTCATATCAATACCCAAGTAAGTTATTTATTTTAACTAACAGTCTGCAGGGTCACATCTGTGTAATGTGTACTCTGTGAATTATTTCATGTATCACTGAAGGTCTTTTTGTAGGTGTAATCTAGTCAAAGTATTGGTGTGGGGTTTATAGTGTCGTTATGTCGTTAATGACGTTTCTGAAGTAACTTCTGTGTTATCTTGTAAAGACCATGCTGAGGAAAGCACACGTTGCAATGAAGGACTTCTCATTTTGGCTTCCGAGATGAGTTTCTTGAAAGTGTTTTCATTAACTATTCAGTGTCTAGCATACTAGGTAGACTTTTCCCCAAAACTCTTTGGCAAAAACTATTTCA
This sequence comes from Homo sapiens, assembly GCF_000001405.40. Classification (NCBI taxonomy): domain Eukaryota; kingdom Metazoa; phylum Chordata; class Mammalia; order Primates; family Hominidae; genus Homo; species Homo sapiens. The sequence goes on from NC_000024.10 coordinate 18,733,327, forward strand.
TGAAGGCCTTATCATCTTGAGAGATCATGATGAAACACTGAAATAATAGTTAACTCCCATTAGAGAACTTTATGTGATTGAAACATTTAAATATTATTTCTTTTTCCACCTATATGCTTCCTTCGTGTCTTAAGAAATTAGGGAAAATATTTGTATTTTAATTTTTGGAAAAGCTGTTACGCTGAGTTAACTTAGCACTGGAGAAAAACTGGCCATCAGACTTCTCTTGTCTGGCCCACTTTCTCAATCCAGTCTTCTTTCAGATTACCCACTTTCCTTGCTGGAGGTGCAGGGAGACTGGAAGAGAGCTGTGGGAGCTTTGCACTTTGCTCTAGGGCTAAGCAAACAGCCAGGCTCTTTTGTTTTGGGATCAAAGTGTTTAATTCTCAAACACGAAAGAAAATTTCTCAAGTTAAACCACACTTTCTTCCCCACAAATATTGAAAATGCATCATCTTCAAAACATTTCCAAAACCTCTTGTTAGCAGTTTCTTGCTTATAGTCATGGCACTCGAGAACATACAGAATTACTTAAAGAGGCAAGGGGTTTTGAGAAGTTGGACTTTGCTGATTCAAGAGTAAATCTGCTTTGGAGAGCATTCAGAGAGATTTTATCTAAAGCCTATCTCTCCTTGGCACTTTCCTTGGGGCTGAATGCACAACAGTGAACCCAACCAAGCCCTTGTCTTCCTGAATTTCTAGTCACTGAGGCAGATTGCCAGGAAGACATTACCCAGGAGTGCAGAAGAAATGGGCTGCAGCTGATCATTAGGGAAGGTGGCCCCAAGAAGGAGTTTCTGACAGGCAGCCGTTTGTCCCAGGCCTGAGCAAGGGAATGAAAATAATGTGATAGAATAAAGAAAATCAACTGAGTAGTGAGGTGTTCTGCCTCTGAGAGAGAATGTACATTATCATACTAGCTTTAAAATTATTAAGGAGCATAGTGAGTAGCATTGTTGTTATTGAGAAATTTTTATATTCATCATTTCACCTCTTCATCTGGGCACAGATGGAATGGAAAAGGCTGCAATTTGGTGTCTCTGATATGAGGTGCCCAATGAACATACTTTATTCCTTTGCCTTTGTGTCCACAGAGGTTTCTGTATTCCACCGTGCAGGTGCAAAACATACACCAGAGCAGAAAAGCAGTTTGTTCTTCCTCTTTGTTTCTAAATATAGAGGTGCTTAAACAACATCCCTATTTTGAGATTACTATTCCATAAAAGAAAACAATCTCATCTTAGAGTAACTTTCACTTCTTGTTCTAGCAAAGAGAAAGTTGCCTTTCTGCCTGCAGAAATTATCAAACGCCTCTTTTGTATTTTAATTTCATGAGAAGGATTGAGAAGAGATGGGGGGTGGAGAGAGAGGAAAAACTGTGTTGCTTCTCTCTTATTCATGAAATTAACTCAGTCACTGCGGATGAGTTTAAAACAAGGCAGAGCAAGAAGGTTCAGAGTCCTCTGGTAAACCTATGAATTTTTCTTCGTATTAGCATTTCTAGCTTTAAAAACATCGGTTATGTGTCAGAACTGTAAGAGAAAGGTCAGCATAATTGTTTCTGAGAATGATGTCTAATGAAACATTTGAGATGTAGGGATCTGTGCCAAGATGCAGAGAGAACAGACAATTTACTAAAATATGGGGCTTCACTGGAAAAAAATAGAAGTGGACAAAACAAGTATGTGTAGGTTTTCAACAAGCAGGTGCAAGATATGGTGTAAGTAAGCTGCTGGAGTGGTTTGGTTACTTGTCCCTTCAGAAATAAGGAGGATATGGCATTTCAGTTGGGTTTTGAATAGCATAACAGGCTTTATGACAGTGTGGGAGGGCCGCAGGCCGAGGAGACAGTAAAGGTGAATACCAAGCAAGGAAGACATAACCATGGCCAGGCCCCAGTGAGTGGGTTGAGACAGATGAAATATTTCTAGGTCAAAGCTGGTGGTGTTATAGGAAATCAATATGGAAAGATAAAGGCAGATTTTTGGAGCCCAGACTACCATGGTGTTGAACTCTAACAGAGCAGAGACACTGCACAGAAGATACACACCTTCCCCTCAGGAAATTCCTGGTGCAAATGACCACAAGTTACTAGAAGGCAGAGACTGACTTCACGGAGAGTCTTGACTGGGTGGGCTCTTTAAGTATTCCAGGGAGATGGTGAGAAAGGCCCCTGGTGCAGCTGAATGACAGGGAATGTGAACATGCCAGCACTGGTTGCTAGATGGATGGAGGATAGAAAGAGCATGAGAAAAACAAACAAACAAACAAACAAAAAAACTGGGATGATCCCACCCAGGACAAAGCTGGTGCTGTGAGGATTTCACATGTATATGGCAGGAAACTGTCAGAACTGTGGATGTGAGGGCAGGTAGAGAGACCAGCAGTAGAAGAAAAGATACGGAAAGGATCCATATCTGAGTAATCGTGAAAAACCCAGGAAGGACTGCCGTCCATTTGGTGGAAGTGGGGAATGAAAAGTGAGTTGGCTAGAATGTCTGGGGGAGTGCAGGTGTGTGATGTCTGTTCTGTTTTTTCAGGGGAGAACAGACTTGAGCACCTTTATGAGAGTAAGAGTTATAAAACTGCTCTGTACAGAAATAGGGATCAGTGGCTCAGTCAGGATCCTAAAGTTAGGAGAGGGATTATAATCAAAGGCAGAGGCAGAAATGTAGGCTTTGCTTTGAAAAAGGGGAAGGAGATCCGTGTAAAGGACAAGAACTTGCGACATGGAGGGAGGATATGTCACTTGGAGTCGGTCATGATGAGGGTGACTACAAGTCACCCTGGGATGAGTACAACTCATCTCAGCCAAGTGAAGTGGGATGCAGTGGCAAGGAGCGGGATTGGGGGCTTGAAGTCGATGAACATGGAACAGCGACTTGAAGTAGGTCACGTGTCAAACAAAAGCCAAGCAGAGTCTCCCCGGGTCTTGGCAAGGACTCCTGCAGACTGGTCTCACATTCATTTGAACAATCTGATACGGGCAGCTACTCTTTATTTTCTGAACTGTTAGGTATAGTTCAGAAACCAATTGAGGAACAAAAGCAAGAAGAAAAAATATGGCAACAGCAAGTGAAAGAACAAAGGCAGAGAAGAAAAACGGCAGAGTAACCTACATTTTAGCAAGGGAACAAAGGGAGCTAGAAAATCTAGATCACAAAAGGGTAATGAGTTGCTTCTCTGTACAAGTTCCAGCATTGTACAGCTTTCATAAGTACGTTGAGGTCAGGGAAGGGAGTCAATTAGTGTCCAAAGTCAGAAGAGTGGCATGTGCCCTGAAAGGCACCCCTGTTCTCTTCTTGTCTTACAAGCAGTAAGAAAGGCTGCACAGAATATGGAGCTTAGGAGTTTCATAGTATATGACTGTTTTTGAAGGTAATTTTTGTGCATTCTATTTGATCCTTAAATAAGTCTGTAAAAAATGTAGACTGTGCTTTGCTTCAGAATGTTGCTTTGAAAACAGACTTTAAAGAAGAGGCTGTCAATGTCAGCTAGCTGGCATCAGAAGACCCCAAGGGCGGACATGGCCGCCAGTCCAAGGCTGCTTCCAGGGGCATTTGGTGCCTCCCTTTTTCCGCAGGTTCTCTTCCCTTCTGGGTTCTCATTCTTGTCCTATCAGATGGATTACTCTGTCCACTTAACACAGTTGTTAAGTCTTGCTTGAATTACCATAACACATGGATGTTCCCTGGATTCCTGGTTAATTCAGATCTAAAGCATAGGACGCTTGAGGGAAATTCATCGCTCCCAGCATTTAGATGATCTATTTGTTTTCCAATGATGACAGCAATGACTTTCATTACAAAAACTTACTTCACTAGCATACATGCTGTGGGTGGGGGACACACAGGGCTTCTGTGGTTTATTTTAACTCCTTGGAACAGGAATCCACATCTGAGTAATCTTTCTCCTCCATTGAAGACAAAAAGGTGGAAAGCATAAAAAATCTAAATTTCACATGGAACCTTGAGTCATTTAAAGGTAATGCTGTTTTGAAAAAAATTATGGATTTTTTTTCTTAAGACAAAGTATTTAATAGGTTTTGGTTTATCAATGTTTGTAAAGGTAGGGTTTTTCATGTTTTTTAGGAACAAGAAAGAAAACAACTATTATCATATAACAAGTACATATGTACTGACATTAATATTTTATATAAGTCTGAAGTATCATGGTGTTAAATGCATACCTGATCGTTTATTTTGATGTGCTTGCTAAATTTTGTATTTATCAGTCACAACGTTTTTAGGCTTTTAAATGACATATATGTTTCAAAAATGGTTCTTAGAGAAACTTATATCATAAAATTAATACATACCAAATTTCAAAAATCTTCCCTTTCTGCCACATAATCAGAGCTCAAGAAAGGTGGTTCAGGAAGGCTCCCTATAGACATGCTTCAATCTACGGAAAAAGTTGAAATGGACTTGGTTTCCCAACACTGTGTTTTATATGTGAACAGCTAATCGCTCATTGTGTCAGCTAAAGAAATGGATAGAAATTTGAGGTTGCCCGTAAGAAGTTATTGAATCAGTCAGAATTACTGACTATAAAAAGAATGGATTGATATTTTTAACGTGTGAAATTGTTCCTAATGTAATTTATAAGCTAGGCCAGAAACTCCCCAGGATATAAGTTGAAACCATTATAAAGATACCAGAAAAGTCCGACACAAATTTTCAAAATTTTTACCCTTTAATTTTTCTCTTTCCTTTGTTAATTTAACAGGCTTTTCTCATGACGAACCAGATGACTCTTGGTAACCAGGTTTGCTCCCCAGCTTCTAATTTCAATATGATGAGAAGTTACATAACATTTACTCCTTTGTAAAGGTTTCTCTGTCATCAGACAAAACTCTGAATAGAAACCGGTGGGTAATCCAGTGTACTGGTTTTTCCTAATGTATTTGGTACTATAGTGTATGAACCGAGAATAATCGAGTCAAGTGAAACCCCCTTTTCCAGTCATAAAATGTCTCATTCATTATACTAAAAGGAGCTGTTCTTTTAAAAAAGCCTTCTTATTTTTCTACTAAATTTTTAGATAAGTATAACCTACTATATTCCTCAAATCTAGGCTTACATTTGAGAAGGGTAAGCTGTGTTTTTTCCTCCGAAGAGTTGGGCTGTGATCTTTACAACGAGACGTCGTTTTTCCCAGCATATTTCTGTTTTCTACCTAAACATTAAGATACACATTTTTCTAGGCATTAGAAATAGTACAATATTGCCTGTGGTCTTTCCATTTGACACCTGTGGCTGGAATATATGTGTCGCTCCAGAATTTATATGTTGGAATTTAAATGCCCCTGTGTGATAGAATTAAAAAGTGGGGACTTTGGGAGGAGGTTAAGAGTGCAATTAGAGACCTTATAAAAGAACTCAATGGAAGTAGCTAGGCTTTTTAGCCCTTCCACCATTAGAGGACACTGTATTTGTCCTCTCTGGAGAACACAGCAACAAGGTGCCATCTTGGAAGAAGAGACCCACCTTCACCAGACATTGGACCTATTAGTGCCTTGATCTTGGACTTCCCAGTGTCTAAAACTGTAAGAAATTTATTTCTTTCCAGTTTCATAAGTTACCCAGTCCAAGGTACTGTGTTATAGCATCAGGAACATACTGAGATGGCATATTTATTGTGGAAATTTTGGTCCTCATACTTAATGAATGGGCTTCAAGTATTTCGTTAGTTTTTAAAAACAGGGCTCCTCCTTTACAATTGATCTCATTTTTATTTTTTAAAAGTTAGCTTTTACAACATAGAACTGGAAAAAATCTCTACTCAGACCTCTAGAGTGTCCTAGATTTTGTGGCAGAATCACTATGGATAATTTATAGGTGCTTGTGATCTCATCTGTGTATTATTTACAGTTTCCTCTATCTATTCATGTGACAAATAATTGCACAAAACGCTACTTAAACAATAGGCAGTAAGCAGTGTGACAGATAGCACACTAATTGAACTGCTGACGGTTTTTCTGTCATGCCAGAATAAAGGGTGATGATCCAGAGTCAGCACCTCAATTAGGAGTGGCCATGTGTCAGTAGTGACAAATCCTAGGCCTCACTAAGGAAGGTCAGATGCAGAGAATCCAAATTCAGAATTATGTTGACAGATAAGGAGTTCAAACAGATTATATAATAAAATTCTGAGTAACATATTTAGCTCTGCAACTCTAGAGAGTGACAGAACTGGTTTTCTATATATTTCTGAGTAAATCTTTCCATTTTTATACCTTTGATTTGAAAAATAAACAACTACACACAGGCCTTGATCGTTTGTAATTTGCAAAAGTTCAAGCCTTGTTAATCTCGTAGGTAGGTGGCATTTATTTATTTCAAAACTAATCAGAAAAGCTATTACTTTCTACAGAAAACCACAGAAGTGCTAGGGGCACTTTTATGCCCAATACAGCCCAATAGGCTATAATATTTTCTTAAATTGCTGAAGAGATTTTTGCCAGAAATAAACAAAGTAGCGCTCACGGACTTGATTTCCACACCAATGTGCAATCTTTACTATGCACATTATTCCAAAGTGACACCACACTGAGGACAAAGAAAGATTGGATGTACATATGGTAAAAAGGCAAGTGAATGAAGCTATACTTTTATTTCATTTCTCTTACTACATCCGCTACTATTTTCACCAATATAGATCTTTAAGCATACACAAATATTGACTATTATCTACAATTATTTATTGTAACACTTGAGTAGAACTATAGGAAGCCTTTGACACTGATTGAAAGTATGGATTCACTGTTAGGTTACAAAAATTTATACATAGCAAAATTTAATTCTCTTTACATTAAAAATACTAGGCTACATAAACAAAACTTTCAAAAGTTTCTGATAATAGCTACCAGAATTAGAAATGTAAAATTAGGCTCAAGACACTAACTCTTCTGGAGTACTGGACTCTGAAGGCACCACCATTGCTGGAAAGAATAGTTAAATCTGTCATGCAAGAGGAAAATAAAACACGTAGCTATTTTTAGAATAGCCATTCTGTACAGAAGAGCGCTTCTCCCAGTTAAAAGAAAAAATCCCAAACAGGTGTTTTTATGGAGTAACAAAAAGAAAAAGAAAAAAAAAAAAAAGATCTGCTGATGTATGATACCTGATGTTCAAATTTAATAGCATCCAGATAAAAGTTTACTTTTGTTAATTTTGAATATATTTCTGCATTGTGGTGTTCTAAAACCCAGGAAACAGCCAAATCACAAGTTACCATTTAACATAAACATACATAGTGGATCCTATATTAAGCAACCCATTTGGAAAGCACTGATGTACCCAACAGTTACATATAGCATTTCATAAAGAACTGCACGGAGTTTACCATTGCTAACACCCAGTACCTATAGTCACCTAATGTCTGGAACACAGTAATGCAGATGGCAAGTTTCTTTTGAAAATGACTTAAGTAGTTTTCTTGTGGAACATCAAACTTTATTATTCCAAGAAATTAAGATATAGGTAAGAAAAAATGAAATGCCAACCCTAATTTAAATTATCTACATCTTCAAGTCTGTTAACAGTAGGAGGTTAGATGTCTGTGGCCAATTTTAAATTAGGTTTCAGATAATTGATATGAAACTGTTTACACAGACCACTGAAAAATGGTTTAAAAAGGTGGTCGTTTGAGTAAGGTAACAATTCTTAATTAAAAAAAAATATACAGAACAAAATTCTATTAAAGATATTTGCATCTCTGGTTATGATACAAATTCTGAAAAATGTATATACCAAATACTCCTTAAGGCAGAGCTGACATTTAACTCTTGAGGATAATAAAAACTGGATCAGTATTTTGTTGAAATAAAACTTATGATAAAAGTGCCTCTGGAATTCTTGTCAATGAATCCGAATCCAGATTCTTTAGTAGTAGGGTCAGCAAATGGAGCTAATTTTAGCATTATTGAAAAATATTTTCTTATTGGCTGAGGAAATTAATGGAACACGGACTTGGGAGAGAAAGCTAGTACAAAAAGTCAATCATGAGACGAATCACACTACCTTTGAGCCAAAGTTTAATAAATGTCAGCAGTCAGAATTGAAACTGCACAACAATTTCAGTTTATTTCCTATGTAGATAACACTTAACTGAGAATAAATGACGTACATGTAAATGTATGGTCTCATCTTTTGATGCCGGCATGTCACCAGTCCATATCAAAGAGTACCACATATTACACTGAGTGTTTTGGGAGAAATGTTCTAGCAGTAAATGTGAATGTGCCCCCAGTTTCCAAAGAGTGAAAGGTCATTTTGTCAAAGTGTTGCCTTTTAAAATGGCTAACATGAAACTTCCAATATTTGCTCTAAAGAAAAAGATTTCCTCACTGCAAGGTATTCCAGGCGCTGCATCCCAGCAGCTTGAGAGAGAAAGTGAGGTGTTTGAATGTCTACATTAGTTTGGTGGAATACTCATGTGTAATGCAGAGCAGCTGTCTCATAATTTGTCAGGGCTGTAAATGCATTGACTGAAAGCCCCCCGGCAAACATTCGTGTGTAAGAATTGAGTTACTTCTTTTACTGAAACTGGATATATTGTAGTTCCTGTTCTTTCTTTGCTTTGATATCCTGGTAAGCCTGCATTTTGCTGGCATCCAAGTAAGACCAGTTAGAAAACAGTATCATGAGAAAGTGGATCTGGAAGAGAAGGTTGAGCATGATGTCTAGTGAGCATGTGAGAAGGCAAAACAAAGTGCTAGTTAGATGAGACGTACTTGATGTTAAAGGGGAAGAGGGTTATTCTGTATTAATACTTGCTCTGCTAGCAGAGCTAGTAGAATCCTAAAAGTGTGCTCTACTACTTGGCTTCACATTAAAAAACTGAAGAAAAGTAAGTACACAAACATTGCAAAGTCTTTCTATTAACTCTTAAATGTCTGTGTACTCATCAGTCTCGGTGAGTAATATAATAAACACCTCTCACTACAACTGGGATTTGTCTACCTAAATAGACATTTATAAAATTTGCCTCCGGTGTATATTGAGTCAATGCTACTGAGGCATTTAAATTCCTGACTGTTATATTATCTTTAAAAGTTTGTTCATATGTTGATATTTCTTATTTTGTCTGTCACCTTACAAGTTATATATTATTATCCCTCTTTATTGCTTGCATTTTTCTTAAAAATCTCCTTTGCCTCATATAGTATCAGTGGCCTTACTTTTTTGACAAATACTTGTTAATTTTCTCTAAACCTTCATTTTCAATATTTCAGTGTCATTATTTCAAGGTAAAAGCAATTTTTTCTCTCAATCTAATATGAGTATTTTATATTTTAACACAGAAATTTAAACAGTTTATATCTAATATGGTTACTCTGTTATCTCCATAACCGATATCCGATTAGACAGTTGTTCTACCCTGGATTTTCTTTGTCTCTGCCTTTGCCTCCCATTTGCCTTAGTTTTTCTCTTCCTCTCCCCACCCACCACATGTTTTCCCTAACTGTGTTGATTTAATTGTCTTACTCATATTTATTTCTTTTCCTGCTTTTGACATTAATCACGATATTTCTACCCTTTCTGTAGTTAGTCAGTAGGACCCAGTTAGTTAACTTTTTTCTAACAAAGTAAAACATTTATTAGCCCCATAAAAAAAAATTCTTGTAATACCTCCTTCATTTAGAGGTTTACTTTCCTTCATTCTGTAAAAAGAAAGAAGGAAACTTTTATTCTTCTTTTCCTTGGTCTTTTGATAAGTCTTTGATATTTGCATAATCTTTGTGAGTTGAAACTTTGTTTTAAATACCAACAGTGTATGTGGAATCATATTCTGTGTAGAGATTATTTTTGTATTCTGCCTGCTGCCCTTTCTACACATTTTTGTCTTACGGTGTTTTTCATGAATGTAGATGAAAGCTTCCTACTCTGAGCTTGACTTTCATAACTTCTCTTTCATAGATGGTCACCAGATAAAATGAAGGCTTCTCGGTTACCTTTTCATTTTAAATAAACAACAAAAAGCATTTTAGTATAATTGTCAATATTCTTGTAACTTAGTAATATTCTCATTATTGCATGGACAGACTTATACTAAAAATAATTATTTGTTTTTTGTCAACAAATTGTCAAATTTCAAATTAAAATGTGACATTTAAATTCCTGTATTTTCTCCCTACATGTGGCAACCTTACTTTGAGATCTACTTAGGAAACTACTTATTCTTGCTATATTTATACTGAATCTACTGTATAAGAAACAAACAAAAAATTCTTTGATTTCCTTTAGCATGTGCTTCATTTTTCAATGATGAATAATTGTCTATTTAAAATATTTATTTGTGTCCTGCTACTCACCTGTTTTTGCCTTTAGATTCTATTTCTTCATCTCAAACAATACCTAAGCCTAATTATTATGAAGACTCGTGATTTAACTTTTTGTTTTTGAGTGTGACGCCTAAGTGTCTTCCTGGACTAGCCCGTAGGGCATGGAATGTCCACCATTGAATTAGCAATGTTGCCTTTGAAGTGGTAAAGCAATCTTAAGTTCTTGAATGCAAAGTTATTCTTGTTGGGGGGCAGTTTTACGTTAATCTTTCCAGATTTTTAAGAACTTAATTGTTCATATCTAGTAGTTTATACCAGTCTGATTTCGAGGAAGTTATATATTTTAGGTACTGTGAAAATCCTCTCCTCAGTCTTGAATATACCACAGGATAGAGGTTGAGTTATAAATCTTTCTTTCATGGATTTGAATGAAAATCTCATTTTGTGTTAGATCCTAGTATCTGTGGGCATGGCTTTTGGTATTGACTGAAATGTTCCCACTGAATGTCTGAACAACACCTACTTTCAACAATTATTTAGGAAGGGTGTCCAGCCCCACTGAACAAAGAAATGGTCTCTTTCCTGGGAATATATCCAACATTACTCCTCAATTGACTATTTCAACAAACTACCAATGTTGATCTCAAATGAATATTATTGGAGTCCAAACCACAGAAACGATTTCTTTCTTGATATTGAGTTTATTTTTAAAATAATTTTGTCTTACACTTATAATCTCTTGCTTTCATAAGAGTTCCTTTTGCAAATTTTCACTTTGCTCCCGAGAGCTAGAAATAAGTGCTTGATTTCTTTTAATTCACTCATTACATAACAAATAAAACCTCTTAGAAAGGTGTTATTACTATATCCTTTCAGCAATTGTGGCAAGACATATTTTTGCTTATATTTTCTGGAAGCATTGCCAACTATATTATCTTCCCAAGTGTATGGCAGGTATTCTATCTTTTCTTCCTTGATCTATATTATTTATATGCTATCAATCAGTTTCACATATATTATGAAGACTTTGAGATCATTTAATTTTGGTGAAGACTTTATTTTATACAATCATTTTATTGTAGGTAAATCACATCATGTCATTCTGTGTAATAATATCATCCCATGATTTGCATTACGAGATTTCCTTTCCATGGTACTTTAAAAGCCTTTCTATAACTTTCACTTTTTAGAATTTCCAGTTACAATGCAGCACGCCAGTGTTTCTGACATAATGTTAGAAAACAAAGTCTCTGAAATCTAGAAAGAGGAAGACAGTTTCTCTAGGGACTTCACGACTTGAAGAGTGATAGTATGATACCTTTATTGGATTCTTTTAGGTCTTCCATACAATATCCCAGATGATGGACTGTAAGAGCTTTTAGTTGAGAATCTCCAATAGGCACAGATAAAAAGGGCTTCGAGGAAATCCTCTTCTCTCCCAGTCAAAATACCAGGAGAGCATGACCTTCCCAACACACAAATCCACAAAACACTTCTAGAAGGAATAATGAAGCTATTCCAGCACGATGGAACCTAAGGGGTTACAGAACAATTCCACGGACAGCGTGCTGCTGAACCATGGGAAGGTTCGGGGCCCAAGGAAGGACCCATCCCATAAAGATGGAATGGGAGCCGGATCACCTCCCAGGGTGTACCTAGTTATCCGACCCAGGACGCAAGATTTGCTCGCTAATTCAAATGAAACCTACACCCCAACCTATGAAGAGGAACTGAGGGTAGGGAAGTGGGTGAATGTGTGTGCAAGAGTAGGGTGATGTGTGTGGGGCTGCAGGCCTCTTAGCGTAGACCGTACATCCTGAGTGAAGTGTGGGACTGACCAGGACTACGGGCAAACGTCCTCTGGAACTAGCACATATGGCTTAGTGAGGCACCCCACAATTTAGTGATTGTGGTGGTCTGGGTTCAGGGTTTATACAAACCCTCCATTAAAGCTAAGCAGCATCTGAAATACTCCTGCAAGGGAGGCTGTCTAATCAGTGTGAAGCACAAAAGTAAAAGTGTAAGTGCATGGTGCCATAACTGTGAGGAAATGGGAGGGAAGTCGTCAAAACCCACCGCATTATAATGTATGTTAAAAAGTTTAAGAAGGGAATTATAGGATCAAGTTGACTCCCCAGAGATAAAAGACCGTTTGTGAAATGGAGTGTCCCTCTTTTAGTGTCACGTGGCCAGCTGAAAGAACAACAGATAGGGGAACAATTGGCCATGTACATCAAGTGGTGACTGGGGTCAGAGGACAGCCAGGGCATCTAGACTAATTTTCTTATCTTCACTCATGGCTAAATATCCTCCAAACTTGAGCAGGATGGCTACAGTCCTACCTGATGGCTTGTTGCAAAACACTTGTGGCTTGAGCCGAGCTTAAAGTACAAGAGGAATTAGCTTCACCACCAGCTATGGAGAGAAAGGAAAAGCCACAAAAAGGGCAAGAAAAACTGGCTTTACAGAAACCACAAGAGGAGACAGAAATCCCTCCTCCCTATACCCCTATCTGCCTCCCTTTACCAAGGCCAACGGCCTCTGAGGAGTCAATTCAGAAGGTGACACACCCCAGGTTTCACCCCAAAGGGAGAAATCAGAGCCCCTGTCCCAGGAGGTCAAGGAGGACTGTCAGAATAATCAAGAGAGCTGCCTCTGGTCTGGCCATGCCCCGGTTCTGCAGATGCCTCTCAGGGAGACTTGGGGACCCCTCTACTATGATGAACATGGCCATATTCAATGGGGGGCAATGGACCTCCATCTGCCAGCCTATTTTAATCACTGATCCCCTAAACTGGAAATACCATATTCCCTCCTACATGGAGAAGCCCCAGGCCCTCTTAGATCTGATGTAGTCTATTTTCCAGACACATAATCCAACTTGGCCAGATAGTAAACAGCTTCTGTTGCTGCTGTTCAACACTAAAGAGCACCGATGGATGGCTCAGTCAACCCTCCACTGGCTAGAAGCCAATGTGCCATTCCAGGCATACGCTCAGTTCCAGTTCCCAGAGGAAGACCCCCACTGGGACTCACATGCTTTGACCCAGTTTCAGCACCTGCAGAGGTACTGAGGAGCCCTCCTGCAAAGTCTGAAGGAAGGCAGAAAACAAGCAGTCAGTATATGAAAAATCTCTAAAGTGCTTCCAGAAACTGATGAGAGCCCTAGCCAATTTTATTAGAAACTCTGTGAGGCATTCTGGCTTTACACTCCTTTCGACACTGAGGATACTAAGAATCGGCAGATGGTAAGCACAGCATTTGTAGGACAAGCCCAGGGGGATATCAGGTAAAAACTGCTGAAGCTAGATGGTTTTGCAAGCATAAAGGCAACCCAGCTTTTAGAAGTGGCCACCAAGGTGTACATTAACTGTGACCAGGAGGCACAAAGGGAGGCTGATTGGAGACTCAGGAAGCGGGCCAATCTGCTAGCGGCAGCCCTCATGGAAAGGGAAGCTATCGTCACAAGCAGACGCAGATACAGATGCAGATGTGGAAGGGGCCAAACAGGGCAGAGACTCAAAAGTCAGCTGAGACTAGATAGGGATCAATGTGCACAATCCAAAAAGAGGGGACACTGGAAAAATAAGTGTTTAGAGGGCAGTAAAAGAAATAACAGTGGACATAAATCTATAAAATGGCCAGCCAAGGACCACCACACCCTAAGGGGGCCAGGCATCAACTTGATGAGGCTGGTAGAGACTGAAAAATATGAAGACAATGCAAGACTGGGCTGCATCTCCTAAGGCCCCCAGGAGCCCGTGATCACAGCAGAAGTAGGGGATCAACAGATGGACTTTATGGTGAACACTAGCACTAATCACTCAGAAGTGATACAGCCCATAGAGCCACTATCTAAACACGATGCAACTATTATTGGGGCTACAGAGGTCCCAGAAAAGAGGCCATTTTTCTGGCCAAGGAGTTGTGTCATAGGGGGACAAGAAGTCCAACATGAAATCCTATACCTCCCAAATTGCCGAGTTCCCTTACTTGGAAGGGACCTGCTCCAGAAACTGCAGGCACAGATTGCTTTTGGGACACACTAGGATATAACTTTAAACCTAACTCACCCAAAGGTCATGGTGTTAACCCTCATCATTACACAGGCTGAGGAATAAAGAATATACACATAACAGTCACCGGAATTGTCTCAAAAGCCTGGGCTGGAGAAGTTATTTATGCTACCTGGTAAAATTTTTGGACTATGGGCTAAGAATAACCCACTGGGGCTGGCTCTAAATCAGGCACCAGTAATAGTAAAGCTAAAACCGGGAGCAACCACAGTTGAGGTTCTCCAATACCCATTTCCCTGAGAAGACACACAGGGCATTCACAAACATTTAAAGTGACTTTTCAAACACAGAAACTTCGTCTGGCGCCAGTCAACCTGGAACACTCTACTCCTACCGATACAAAATCCAGGGTCTGGTAAATATAAGCCAGTGCAAAACTTACATGATGTGAACCAGGCTACTGTAACCATCCACCTGGTGGTACCAAACCCATACACACTAATAGGACTCATTCTGGCAAGTGCTGCCTAATTTACTAGCCTGGACTTAAAGAATATTTTTTTCTGTCTTCACCTGGCACCAGTTAGTCAGCCCATCTTGGCATTTCAATGGCACGATTCAGTCACAGGCATGGGGGAGGAGCTCACATGGGCTAGACTCCCACAGTCTTTGGAAACACACTGGAATCAGACCTTAAGGCCCACACCCCACCAAATGACAACTGTGCCTTGCTACAATATGTTAACAACCTTCTCCTGGCAGACCCAACGCCAGGGGACTGCTACCAAGGAACCCAAGTCTTTCTCCACCATGTTTATAGAAAACTGGTTATAAGGTATTCAGAAAGAAGGCCCAATTTTGCCAAGAAAGCATAAAAAATCTGGGATTCATAGTAAGCCAAGGGGAACACTGGCTTAACAGTGAGCAAAAGCAACGTGTTTATGCACTCCCAACTCAGGCCACCCAGTGCCAAATAAGAAAATTCTTGGGGAAAGCATGGTTCTGCTGTATATGGATCCCAGATTTGTTACTAATGGCCAAGCCCTTACATAAGGGCACAAAGAGGGGGGAAAGGGAACCCCTCCTTTTGGAGGTTGTCCAGGAGAAGAAGGTGTTTAAACAACCCAAACAAGCCTTAACTAAGGCCCTAGCCATAGGACTGCCAAATATAATCAAGCCTCTCTTCATGAACAAAAGGGATTGGCTATAGGGGTCCTGAGTCAAGTCATGAAATCATGACATCACCCAGGGGTGTACTTATCGACACAATTGAACTCTGTGGCCCTAGGGTAGCCTCCTTGGCTTAGGGCACTAACTGCCACCTCCTTATTGGAACAAGAAGCTAAAAAACTGACTCTAAGACAACAACTGACCATCCAGGTACCGCATTCAGTTCTAACTTTAATGGATTAGACAGGGCACCATTAGTTATCAAGTCCGAGAATGACTCGGTACCAGGTGCTCTTATGCAAAAATTCCCACATAACTTTCAAAATAATAAACACCCTTAAGCTGGCTATCTCCTGCTCCCGATTGAACCTGGAGTCCCCTTTCATGACTCTATGGAAACAGTAGACACGGTACTCTGAATCCAGAGATACCTTACAGAACAACCCCTTTGGAACCCAGATGTTAAATGCTATACATATAGAAGCAGCTTTACACTGAAAGGTGTCCAGCAAGCTGGGTATGCTGTGATGATATTAGACTCAGTGGTAGAAGCTCAGCCACTGCCCACCAGAATGTCAGCCCAAAAGGCAGAGCTAATAGCCCTAAGGAGACCATTTTGCTAGCAAAAGGCGAAATGGTCAATGTTTATACAGATTCCAAATATACGTTTGCCACGTTGCATGACAATGGGGCTATATATAAAGAAAAAGGACTCTTAATGGCTGTAGGCAAAAAAATAAAGTACAAAGAAAAAATTCTGCAACTCTTAGATGCTGTATGTGCTTCGAAGAAGATGGCTGTTATGCACTGCAGGGGGCACCAAAAGGCAGGAACACTGGAGGCCAAAAAGAACAAAAAGATAGACAGAGAGGCAAGAGGGGCAGCAATGACTACCCTTCAGTTTAAGAAGAAAGCCATAGCTATGCCTCTACTTCCAAAGCCTCTCCTCTCGGAGGTTTCAAGTTACCTCCAAATGAGAAGCCCTGCTTTGCCCAAGAGTCTGGAAAATATATAAAATGTTATGGTGAAAATTCTCCAACAGGAGGCTAGCCAACCATGAAACAGTGGCTCTAAAATTTGTAAGACAATTCTATCAAGGAACCCATATGGGTAAAACGTCACTGAAAACACTATTAGGACACCATGTTTATGTGCTGCGGCTGCCTGCCATCACTTGATCCATCTGCAAACAATGTCTAACTTGTGCCCAGAACAAGCTATGACAAGGGCCCACTAGGCCCCTGGGAATTCAGGAAACGGGAGCCACACCCTGTGAAAAACTTCTTATAAACTTCACCAAACTGCCCCAATCAGGGGACTATCAGTACCTACTGGGGCTTGTCTGTACCTTTTTGGGATGGTTTGAGGCTTTCCACACCCCAACAGAGAAATCAGGAGAAGTAACTGAAGTA
Source organism: Homo sapiens (assembly GCF_000001405.40). Classification (NCBI taxonomy): domain Eukaryota; kingdom Metazoa; phylum Chordata; class Mammalia; order Primates; family Hominidae; genus Homo; species Homo sapiens. The sequence goes on from NC_000024.10 coordinate 18,750,213, forward strand.
CGGTTAAGAGATATTATCCCCAGATTTAGACTGCCTCTAACTCTGAGGTCAGAAAATGGGCTGGAATTTACAGCTGAGATAATTCAGGGACTAACATGGCTGTTAAAAATAAAATGGAAACTAAACACAGTCTACCTGTGACAAAGCTCAGAAAAAGTAGGATACATGAACTAGACACTCAAACAGCTTCTAAAAAATATTGCCAAGAAACCCATCTGGAATGGAATCAAGTCCTGCCCATGGTGCTCCTCTGAGTCAGGTATACCCCCACAAAACAAACTGGATATTTGTCCTATGGAATCTTCTGCCGGCCACCCCCAATCATAGCTCAAATTAGGGGTGACATTTGTGAACTAGGGAAATTAACTTTAAGAAGGCAAATGCAGGCCTTAAAGACAGCCATGCAAGTGGTCCATGGCTGAGTATGGGAAAAACTGCCCATAAGCCTAGCAAAACCAGCATACTCCTTTAGACCTGGGGCTTCTGTGCACATAAGAAATAAAATCCAACCACTTTAGGACCCACATGGGATGGGCCCTATACTCTAACCTTGTCCACTTCCACGGCAGTTAAAGTTGCAGAAACTGTGCGCTGGATCCTCCACAGTCAGTTAAAACTGGCAGCCAACATGACCCAGATCACTGGAGCCAGTTAATCCTGTGACAGGACCAAGTTGCCATGAGAAATGATGACAGCCCTGCTCTGGTCACTCCAAAAGCTGACCAGTCTCTGCTCAGCTAAAATCTGAGGAGTCAACAGCCCTGCTCTAGTCATCCTGGAAGTTGACTAGTCTACGTACGGTCAAAGCTGGAGTAAAATAATAATAAAATAATGATTAAAATCTTAAATCAAATCGTTGTTTTACTATCGTTCTGTCACTTTCTTCAAACTCCTCCGCTGGGTAAAAACCTCTTCTTTTCCTCTTGGATATAAACATGTTACTCTTTACTTAGTTCCTACTCCAGGCACAGGGATAACTAAGCCCACTTCTTTCCCTCCTAACTGTAATACTCCCCTTATTTGTGTCAGAAAAGGAGACCATAGAAGAGTGCCCCCACTACACTCACAATACTCAGTCAGGGAGCACCATAACCAAAACCCTGTTATACCACATTTATCAAAAGTAGACAGGGACCCACCTAGGAACTTGTACTCACAACCAGACAACTTACTCAGTCTGTGACCCAGGAAACGGCCAGCGTTATGTATGTTATAACCCAAAATTCCTACCTGGGACCTCTTTTAAAGTTTATGGGTCAAAAGAAGGAAACCTGCCACACCAAACCAAGGCCTCACCCTCCCACAGGGGAGTTATGTCCTTATCTTTTAATATGTGCCAGTTAACATTGATGGGCACAACCTTTCCCATAATCTCCAATTCTGAAGAGCACCGTAATAGTTGTCACAAAAATATATGTGCACCCCTTGCTTGCTTTGCCAATTTCTCAGACAACTTGCTGGAACTGCATAATTCAGTCCTCTAACCTGCAATCGCCGGGGCCAGTCATACTTACCAAAATACCTGAACAAAAAATTGTAAGACAAGCTGTTGCAATCTTGTAAATCTCACCATCTTAAACCGGATCTGCCCATATGGAATGCAGGTTTAAAGACTCTGCTGGAAATACAAGGTAGTGGCCAGAAAACAGACTCAGAAGTCTATTGATATATTATCAAGAAATCTTGGATACATTCCACCCAAAAACTCCAAGTTTATAAGTCATTCCTTAAAAATATCAACCAGAAAATATTTGAGCCCTCTCCCTTAACCACAATCCCGTTTGCTTAATTGGCTGAAAACATAGCCGGCAGCCTACATAACTCCTCATGCTATGCTTGACGGGGCACCAATGGCCATGGGAGGCAAGAAAGCTAATGCCCCAAAATAACTTCACTCGTACTGTCTCTTCCCCCGAACCTGTGTTCACAAGCAAGAGCATCTGGTTCTTAAAGACCTCCATTATCAGAAAATTCTGCATTGCTCGTCGGAGAAACACATTTACAGACCCAGCAGGAAAGTCAACTTGCCTAGAACAATATTACACTAAAACACTAAGAAACACTGTCTGTTGGAGTAAAAATAATTCCAAACCACCCCAACCAAGCCCATTTTCCTGATTCCCTTCTCTAAACCATTGTTTGTACCAACTTAAAGCTCCCAATACCTGGCAGGTGCCCACTGGCCTCTATAGTATCTGTGGGCCATAGGCATATTGGCCGTTGCTGGCTAAATGGTCAGGGGCCTGGGTACCAGGAACAATTAGGCTGTCTTCTTTCTAATCCCCTTGGAACAGGGAGAATCTTTAGGATACCCAGTCTATGATAAAACAAATACAAAACAAACAAAAATTCAAAAGACATAACCATAAGAAATCGGTAAAACAATAAATGGTCCCCTACAAAAAAAAAAAATCGAATACCATGGCCCAGCCACCCAGGCAGAAAATGGAATGTGGTGATAGTGCATCCCTATTTTCATGCTCTACCACCTCATAAGGTTACAGGTGGTGCTGAAAATTATTATTAATAATACTGCAAATGCCCTAAATCTGCTGGCCCAACAAGCCACAAAAATGAAGAATGCTACTCATCAAAATCGACTGGCCTTAAACTACCTCCTAGTCCAGGAAGGAGGGGCATGTGGAAAGTTCAGTCTAAAAAATTGCTGCTTAGAAATTAATATCAAATTAAAGGTCATCAAGAATATAACTGCCAAAATCCCAAAACTGGCCCATGTTACAGCCCAGACCTGGAAAGGATAGTCTCCAGTTTTCCTATTCAGGGTCTCGTTTTCATCCCTTGAAGAATTTAAGACCTTAGCAAAAATAGTTCTAGCCATACTAGGATTCTCCCTTGCTCTCTCTTGTCTCTGACCTTCCTTGTTAGAAACATTCAAGCAGCCATGGAGGCCATGCACGACCGCTCAACTAATGGCTCTAACTAAATACCAACCACTGACAAATAGGGAACTGCCCCACCTTGAAGAATTAAATGGTGATTATATTCTCTATTAAACCTCATTTAAGAAAAGCATCAAAGGTGGAAATGAATTGGGGAATGCTAAAAAACAACACCACACACACACAAAAAATTTTCTCTGTACTGAGGTGACTCACTCCAACACCCAGTGATAAGCCAGAACCTGTTGGGGCTCTAATAGCACTATTAGCAGAGCTAGGGCCTGGAAAGAATGGATTTGAGAAGCAGGAATGAGAAAAACAAGTTCTTCTTATCAATTTCCCCTCTTTAGAACTCTCATGCCACACCAATATTCTTTGTGCTGCTCTCACAGCTATTTTTATAACCACTTCTGGAGGTTTACAAACATTTTGAAAGTTGCTGTTGTTTTTCTATCCAAGTATTATTGCAAAGGTCATGAGACATGCGTGAGTTACAACACCTGTCACTTTCTTTAAAAAAGTGTCTTTGTTCTGCTTCTATAAGCTTGCTTGCCCATCCTGCAGATTTCATGCCACTAGCTGGCCAACCCTCTTTGGGTGCTTGTGTTAAAAGTCAAGCCCTGTCTTTGTTCAGGGCTCAGCCTTTAAATGCTATTCCACTAAGTCAAGCTACATCCAATAAAATCCTCCTGTTCCACTCATTGGTCTCTCCTGTTCCTTAATTCCCACAACAGTAGGAGATTTGTCCTTTATTCTAGGGATGAGCAAACAGCCAGGCCCTTTTCTTCTGGCACCATAGTGTTACTCTTCAAATATGAAAGCTGTTTTCACAAGTAAGGCCACCTCTTCATCCCTCCCAAATGTTGGAAATACATCATCTTACAAACATTTCCAAACATCTGGTTAGCAGTTTTCTGGTTAAAGTCATGGCTTTCAGAAACATACAGAATTACTTAAAGAGGCAAGGGGTTTTGAGAAGTTTGATTTTGCTGATTCAAGAGTAAATGTGCTCTGGAAAGCACTCTGTAAGTCCTCATCTAGAGCCTGTCTCTGCTGGGCAGTTTCCTTGGGGCTGATCATATGACAGTGAATCAAACCAAACTCGTTTCATCCTGAATTTCTAGCCACTGAGGCAGATGATCAGTAAGCTATTACTCAGTACTGCAGCAGGGGTGGGCTGAAGCAGGTGAGTAGGGGCCATGGCCACAAGAGGGAGTTTCTGACAGGCAGCCATTTGTCACAGACCTGGGAAAGGGAGTAAAAAGAACACAATAAGATGAGGGAATTCAACTGAATAACTTGGTGTTCTGCCTCTGAGATGGAATGTCGATTATAATATTGGCTTTAAAAATTATTGACTGGGCTCGTTGGCTCACGTCTGTAACCCCAGCACTTTGGGATGCTGAGGCAAGTGGATCATGAGGGCAGGAGATCAAGACCATCCTGGTTAACATGGTTGAAACCAGATCTCCACTAAAAAAAAACAAAAATTAGCCAAGCGTGGTGGCATGCACCTGTAGTGCCAGCTACTTGGGAGGCTGAAGCAGAAGCATCACTTGAACCCAGGAGGCAGAGGTTGCATTGAGCTGACCACTCAACTGTACTCCAGCCTGGGCAAGTTGGTGAGAGTCCATCTAAAAAAAAATAAGAATAATAAAAATAATTTATTAAACAGCATAGTGAGTAGCATTGGTGTTATTGAGAAATTTTTATATTCCTCATTTCACTTGTTCATCTGGGCTCAAAGGAAATTGAAAAGTCTGAAATTTACTGTTTCTGATATAAGGTGCCCAATGGACGTACTTCATTTCTTTCCGTTGTGTCCAAAGATCCTTCAGTATTCCACTGTGTAGTTACAAAATATACACCAGAGCAAAGAAGTAGTTTTTCTTCCTCTTTCTTTCTTAACAAAGAGGTGCTTAAATAACATTGCTATCTTGAAATTACTATTCCATATAAGAAAGAAACCTCATTTATGAGTAACTTTTTTCTTCTTGTTCTTCTAGCACAGAGGATGTTACATTTCTGCCTGTGGAAATGATCAACTGTCTCTTCAGTTATTTTAATTTTATGAGAAGGATTGAGAAGAGATGGCAGGTGTAGATAGAGTAGATAGAGAAAAAACTGTGTTGCTTTTCTCCTATTTTTGAAACTAACTCAGTCCCTGTTGATGACTTTAGAACAAGGTGAGCAAAAAGTTCAGAGTCCTATGGTGAACCTATATATTTTTCTGCTTATTTGCATTGCTAACTTACCAAAAAAAAAAAAAATAGGTTATGGCTAGAACCAGAAGAGAAAGGTCAGCATAGTTGTCTCTGAGAATGAGGTCTATTTAAATATTTGAGATGTAGGGACCCATGCCAAGATGCAGAGGGAAAAGACAATTTGTTAAAATATGGGCCTTCCCTGGAAAAAATAGAAGTAGGAGAAACAAATATGTGTATATTTTCAAGAAGCAGGTACAAGATATTGTGCAAGTAAGGTGCTGGAGTGGTTACTTTTCAATTCAGAAATAAGGAGGAGATGAAATTTCATTTGGGTCTCCAACAGCATATCAGGCTTTATGACAGAATGAGAGTGCCACAGGTTGAGGAGACAGTGAAGGCAAATGCCAAGCAAGGAAGATACAGCCATAGCCCAGCCCCAGCAAGCAGGTTGGTACAGATGAAACATTTCTAGTACAACGTTGGTGGTGTTGTGGGAAATCAATCTGGAAAGAAAAAGGCAGATTATCAGAGCCCAGAATACCAAGGCATTGGACTCTGCCAGAACGGAGACACTGCACATGAGATACATATCTTCCCTTCAGGGAATGCCTAGTGCAGATGACCACAGGTATCTGGCAGGCAGAGACTGAATTCACAGAGAGCCTTGACAGGGCTGTTTCAGTATTCCAGGCAGATGATGAGGAAGACCCCTCTTGCAGCCACAGGACAGGGAGTGGGAATGTGCCAGCGCTGGTTACTGGGTGGATGGAAGATAGAGCGTGAGCGAAGAACTGGGATAATCACTCCTGTGATGAAGCTGGTGCTGTGGAGTTTCTGCATGTGTTTGGAGGGAAACTATCAGAAATGTGGATGTGAGGCTATGTATAGAGATCAGGAGTAGAATAAAAGTTATGGAAAGGGTCCACATCCGAGTAATTGCTAAAACCCTAGGAGGGGCCGCCGTCCACTTGCAGGACTCCGTTTCAAAACAAAACAAAACAAAACAAAAAACAAAAAACATAAACAAAAGCCAATTAAACAAAAAACGGAGCTTAAACAAGAGGTTGTCAACGTCAGATAGCAGGCAGTAGAAGAAACCAAGGGTGGAGGTGGCTTCCATTCCAAGGTTGCTTACAGGGACATACACCGCCTCCCTCCTTCCTCTGCACCTCTGCTTCCCTTCTGTGTTCTGATTCTGGCTTAGCAGATACATTTCTCTGTCCAGTTAACACACATTCTAAGTCTTGCTTGAATTACACCAACATATGATGTTCCCAAGACTCCTGGTTAATTCAAATCTAAAGCACAGGCCACTTGAAGGAAATTAATCGCTTCCTTCATTGAGATGACCTATTTGCCTTCTGTTGATGATAGCAATGACTTCAATTTTAAAAATCAGTTCACTGACATACATGCTGTAATTTAAAAATTGCGATTATATTACGGCCTTTTTAAACACTTAAAATATTTTACAAATGTATTTGTGTATTTCCTGCTTTGGTGCCCATGTGTTTTAAAGAGGATGATTCAGGAATAAGTGAACACTGAAAAAATGAATTAGATTTAAAAAATGAATTAAGAATGAGTAATGAAGAAACCAAAGACAAATGTGCTCACTGTGAAAATTCCTTAGAGAAATACATAAAAATCATTCAGTGGAAGCAAGACCAGGAGTCAACAGATAAGTTGCCAATGCCCATGGACAGGGGAATCTGTGGGTGGAAGACATCCAGGGCTTCTGTGGTTTATTTTAACTGCTTGCAATGGGTATCTTTCTTCCCCATTGAAGACAAGAAGGTAAAAAGGCATTAAAAATCCAAAGTTTATATGGATCCTTGCGTCTTTCAAATGTTTCACTCTTTTGAGAAAAATTTATAGTTTTTTGCTTAAGATAAAATATTTAAGAGATTTTGATTTGTCAAAGTTTGTAAAGGTTGAGATGACTTACTATTTTAGGAGTAAGAAAGAAAAGACTTATCATCATATAACAAGTACATGAGTACTGACATTAATATTTTATGTAAGTCTGAAGTATCCTGGTGTTAAAAGCATACCTGATGGTTTATTTTGATGTACTTGCTAAATTTTATTTTTAGAAGTCACCACAGTTTTTAGGCTTTTAAATTACATATATGTTCCAATAATGGTTCTTAGGGCAATGTATTTTATAAAATTAATGCATACCTAATTTCAAAATCATTCCCTTTCCCCCATGTAATCAGTGCTCAAGAAGGATGGTCCAAGAATTCTCCCTGCAGGCATGCTTCAATCTAGTGACAAAGTCAAAATGTACCTGGTTTCCCAACACAGCGTGTTCCATACACAAACCCTGAATGGTTCCTTTAGTCAGCCAAGAGAAACTATTAGAAATTTGCATTAAAGAATTTATTGATTCATTAAGAATTACTGACTATAAAACCTGTAAGCTAAGGCAGAAACTCCCCAGGGAAGAAACTGAGAACATTATGAAGATACCAAATAAACCCGAAACAAAATTTTTGATTTTTTTCTATCATAACTGTGGTCTTTCCCTTAATAATTTAACAGGTTAAATAAAATCCTGAGTAACATATTTAGCTCTGCTACTCTAGAGAGTAACTGTTAGAACTAGGTTTCTTTATATTCCTGAGTAAATCTTTCCATCAACTTTTGTACCATCCATTTGAAAAATAAGCAACTGCACAGGGGCCCTTGTTTTGTACTTTGCCCAAGTTTCAGCCTTGTTAATCTTACAGGTAGATGGATTTAATTTGCTACAAAACTGGTCAGAAAACTTTTAACTTTATACAGATAACTACAAAGTGCTAGTGGCAATTTTATGCCCAATACTGCACCAGTGAATTATAATATTTTCTTAAATTGCTGAAGAGATTTTTGCCAGAAATAAAACAAGTAGCATTCACAGACTTGATTTTATAACAATGTGAAATCTTTGTTATGCACATTATTCAAATGTGACACCATACTGAGGACAAAAAAAAAAAAAATGATAGGATTTATTATATGGTAAAAACACAAGTAAATGAAGCTAACATTCTATTTCATTACTCTTAATACATCCACAACTATTCCCACCTAAATATATCTTTAAAATAAGTATGCATAAGTATCGACCATTATCTACAAATATTTATTGTAACACTTGATTGGAACTTCAAGAAGCCCTTGGCACTGATTGAAAATATTTTCTTTTTTTCTTATTTTATTTATTTATTTATTTTTTAGACAGAGTCTCACTCTGTTGCCCAGACTGGAGTGCATTGGTGGGATCTCAGCTCATTGCAAGCCCGCCTCCTGGGTTCCTCCCATTCTCTGGCCTCAACCTTTGGAGTAACTGGGACTATAGGGGCCCACTACCATGCCTGGCTCATTTTTTAACTTTTTAGTAGGAACTGGGTTTTACCGTGTTCGCCAGGATGGTCTCGATCTCCTGACCTCATGACCCATGCACCTCAGCCTCCCAAAAATGCTGGGATTCAAGGATTGAAAATGTTGATTCACTTTTAGATGTTGAAAATTTATACATAGCACGATTTCATGCTCTTTACATAAAAATGTCAGACTACTTAAACAAAACTTTCAAAAATTCCTGTAGCTACCAGAATTAGAAAAGTAAAATTAGGGTGGAGACACTGCCTCTTCTAGAACACTGGACTCTGATGTACCACGACTGCTGGAAAAAAAAAAAAAAAGTTAAATCTGTCATGCAACAGGAAACAAAACACTGAAATATTTTGAAATAGCCGTCCTACACAGAAGACAGCTTCTCCCAATTTTAAAAAAAACACCCCAAATAGGCGTTTTTATGGAGTAATCAAAAAAAAAAACCCTCAACTGATATATGATACTTGATGTTCAAGTTTAATAGCACCCTGATAAAGGTATGCTTCCTTCCTCAATTTTGAATATATTTCTGCACATGTATACTATAAAATACAGGAAACAGTCAAATCGTGTTAATTCTTAACATGAATATACATAGTTAATCCTAAATTAAGCAGCCCATTTAAAAGCACTGATGTACCCAACAGTTACATACATTATTTCATAATGAAAAACACAAAGATTACCATCACTAATACCCAGTACCTCCTGCATCAGCCTTCCGAGTAGATGGGACTACAGGCCACTGCCACCACGCCCGGCTAACTCTTTGTATTTTTAGTAGAGATGGGGTTTCACCGTGTTAGCCAGGATGGTCTCGATCTCCTGACCTCCTGATCTGCCTGCCTCCACCTCACAAAGCGCTGGGATTACAGGTGTGAGCCTCCATGCCCAGCCACAAGTAATTAAATTTAAATTGAAAGGTGACATTTCAAATGTATTATTATCACCCTGCACCTGGCAAACTTACTTACAGATCTACTTAGGAAAGTACTTATTCTTGCTATATTTGTGTGGAATCTACTGCATAAGAAACAAACAAAAAAAAAATTGAGTTCCTATAATATATGGTTCATGAACCTTCATATATGGTTCACTTTTCAAAAATGTATAATTGTCTATTTTAAAAATTTATTTTTGTCCTCCTACCACCTGTTTTTGCTTTTAGATTCCATTTCTTCATCTCAGAGAACACCTAAACTTACTCATTTTTTATTCAACTTTTTATCCTTGGGTACGACCCTTAAGTGTGTCTTCCCTGGCTACCTCCTAGGACGTGGAACATCCATCAGTGAATTGTTAATGTTGTCTGTGAAGTGGTAAAGCGATCTTTAGTTCTTGAGTGTAAAGTGATACTTATGGGGGGAGTTTTATGTTAATCTTTTCAGGATTTTAGGAACTTAATTGTGCAATCTAGTATTTTATACCAGTTTCTGCTTTGGGGGTAGTTATATTATGTAGGTAACATGAAAAATCTAACCTCAGTCTTGCATATCCCACAGGATAGAGGTTGAGATAAAAATCTTTTCTCATCAATTTCAATAAAAAACCGCATTCTGTGTTAGATCCTGCTATCTGCAGGACATGATGTTCTGTACTGACTTAAATATTTTACTTAAATGTCTGAACCACACTTTTTTTCACCAAGTATTTAGGCAGGGAGCCCAACCCCGCTGAACACAGAAATGGTCTCTTTCCTGGGAATATATCTAAATTTACTGCTCTGTTGACTGTTTCAATGAACGACCAAGTTTAATCTCAAACTAATATTGCTAAAGTCCAAACCTCAGAGCTGTTTCTTTTCTTGATAGTCAGTGTGATTTTTTAAAATTTGTCATACAGTTATAATCTCTGGCTTTCATAAGAGTTGCTTTTGCAACTTTTAACTTTGCTCCAGTGAACTAGACATAAGTGCTTGATTTCTATTAAATCATTTGCCACTTAACAAATAAAACCTCTGAGAAAGGTATTTTTACTATAACCCTTCTGCAGTTGAGGAAGTACATATTTTTGATTACATTTTCTGGAAGCCTTGCCAACTTTATTTCATTTCCAAGTGTAGGAGAGGTATTTTATCATTTCTTCATTGATCTATATTATTAATATGCTATAAATCATTGGCTAGTTTACATATATTATAACAAATTTGTTGGGAACAGGCCATGCTCATGATTGCTATGATGCCCATGCTGAAGGTTGTTGGTTTACCAGAATGAGGGCAAGAAACAGCTGGCACACCCAGGGCAGAAAACTTCTTAAGGCATTCCTGAAACTGCCTCAAGGACAAATTATTGCTGCAGTTAAGTAGCCAGAGCCCATCCTTTGTCTCCCATTTTAGTTAATCTATAATCTATAGAAATAATGCTTATCACTGGCTTGCTGTCAATAAATATGTGGGTACAACTCTGTTCATGGGTCTCAGCTCTGAAAGCTGTCAGCCCCCTGATTCCCACTCCACACTCTCTATTTCTGTGTGTGTGTCTTTAATGCCACTAGCGCTACTGGGTTATGGTCTCCATGACTGATGTGGCTTCGGCAAGTCGTGACCATACGGGGGAATCAAACCCAGGTCAAAGAGTCACCAAAGTGAGGGTGGGAGAATGTGGAACTACACTGAAGGACACCTGGCTACTCTTAAGAAATCCCCATGGTGAGTAAGTAGAGAAGTTCGGAAGCATCAGGGTTACAATGGGACAAGTGTGGGCTCCAGTTCTAGATTTACAGATTTTTTTTTTTCAACTCAGCATTCACCTACTGGTGTTATTGTTCAAGGGCAATACCTTGTAGAATGGATTTTTTTTCCACGTACTAATTCATGGACTTTGACTCCTTATTTGGATCAAATCACTACTATGATAGGAAATGGAAGAACTTAGATCATTAAATTACAAGGATATCATCCTGGAAAAATTATTGTCCCCCTTACAAAGACACAAATACAACAGGCTTTTACAAATAGCCTTACTTGACAAACACATTTATCTGACTTTGTATTCTTGATAACCATTTTCCAAAAACAAAATTATTTCAATTTTTGAAATTAACTCATTGGATTCTCCCTAAAATAACCAAATTTAAACCTATTGAAAATGCTAAAAATATCTTCACAGAGGAGTCTAGTAATACCAAAGCTTTTTATTCTGGCTCGAAAGGTAAAGTTTTCTGAATGCCCTATACTTCAGCTCAAAAGTCGGAGCTTGTAACTGTAATTGAGGTATGGACTGCTTGTAATATGCCTATAAATGTGATTTCTGATTCTTCATATGTGGTTCATTCTACACAGTCGGTTGAAAATGCTCAGCATGATTCCACACAGATGAGTGACTGATGAATTTACCCAATTACAAAGAGCAGCTAGGAGTAGAATGCACCCTTTTTACATTACTCATATTAGAGCTCATACATCTCTTCCAGGACCTTTGACTGCAGGGAATCAAATGGCTGACCACCTATTTGCTGCTACAATATCTAATGCCAAACACTTTCACAATTTAACCCATGTTAATGCCTTTGGTCTCAAATGCAGGTCCAGCATTACCTGGAAAGAAGCTAAAGCTATTATCCAGCAATACCCAGCTTGCATTCCTCATCTTTTACAGGAAGAGTTAATCCTTGAGGATTGGAACCTAAGGATCTTTGGCAAATGGATGTCACACATGTTTCCTCATTTGGGAGACTAACTTACGTACATGTATGTGTAAACACCTTTTCTCACTTCGTCTGGGCTACGTGCCAATTAGGAGAGTCTTCTGCCTGTGTTAAATGTCAACTTTTGCAGTGTTTTGTGTTGATGGGCAGTCCAGCTTCTATTAAAATGGACAATGCCCTAGGCTACCCTAATGAAGCTGTAGCGACATTTTTCTCTATATGGAATATTAGACACATAACTTGTATCTCATATAATTTTCAAGGACAAGCCGTAGCGGAAAGAATGAATCTCTCCCTGAAAGAGCAGTTGCAAAAGCCAAAGGGGGAATCAAGGACTACGGGATACCACATAGGAAATTGAATGTAGCATTATTGACTCTAAATTTTTTGAGCCTGTCTAGAGGCCAGATGCTATCAGCAGCTGATCAGCATCTGCAGAAACCAGCTGCAAAGACAGAAGCAGAAAAACTGGTTTGGTGGTGAGATCCAATAACAGAAAATTAGGAAATAGGTAAAATAATAACATGGGGTAGAGGTTATGCTTGTGTTTCTCCAGGACTGATCAACTGCCAATGTGGGTGCTACTGAGATGCCTAAAGCCCTGCTTATGAGCCAGATACCCTGGAAGAGGTGTTAGGAGGATCTCAAAGATCCAGCGGTGGCAGCATTCTCTAAGTTGATGCTGAGGAGTACCCCAACTATCACGAGCAACACGCATTGAACACAGCCACCTACCTGGGGACAGATCAAGAAGCTGCCACAGATGGCAAAAGAAAACCTGAGGAAAGTAGGACAATGAGTCCCCCATATAATGATAGCTATGATACTGGTGATCACCATTGCCATGAGTATTCCTTTGCAGGGCTGACACAGTTACATATGCTTTCTGGTCTCAGTGTTTATCATAATGAATCTGCTCCTAGAATTGAGGCATACTGCCCTCAAGAATCTAATTGTAAACAGAAATAGACACGGCCAGAATAAATGAATGTACTTGTTTTAGAAAATTGCATTGCAGAACATGCAGAGGTGCTCTGCAACGATTCCTATGGAATATTTATTGATTTGTCCCCTAAGGGGAAGTTTAGCTTAAATCGCACCTCTCGGTCTGTGTGCCAAGGCCACACTATGTTCAGCTTGTCTGACCAAAATGGTCAGATGGTAGAAATGGTAAGAGATACAGCAAGAGATCTTCTGGAAACATGGAGGTAAAATGGCACCTCAACAACAAATGATACAACCCGCTCTAGGAGCTAAACATTAGGATTTGTGGAAACTGTTATTGGCTCTTAATAAGATCAAAATTTGGGAAAGAATAAAAAAGCATCTAGAACGGCAATCTGATCAAAATTTGGGAAAGAATAAAAACGCATCTAGAAGGACATTCTACAAATATGTCTTTGGATATTGCAAAATTAAGAAGAGCAAATATTTGAATTATCCCAGGCACGCTTGATCTTAATGCCAGGAACAGGAGTGCTTGAAAGAGCTGTGGATGGATTAGCTGCTATTAACCCATTAAAAAGGACAAAAACACTTGGAGACTCTGATTTAAAGATGATTGTGCTTTAAATCTGTGTTGTTTGTCTTTGTATAGTCTGCAGATGCAGATCCCAAGTCCTGTGAGACGTAGTTCACCGTGATAAAGCCACCTTTGCTTTTATCGAATTGGAAAAACCAAAAAGAGGAATATGTAGAGAACAGACCCCCAAATCTGGCCATAGACAGGCCCCCAAACTGGCCATAAACAAAATCTCTGAAGCACTATGACATGCTCATGATGGGTATGACACTCACACTGAGGGTTGTGGGTTTACTGGAATGAGGGCGAGGAACACCTGGCCCACCCAGGGCAGAAAACCGCTTAAGGCATTCCTGAACCACAAAGAATATCATGAGCGATCTGTGCCTCAAGGACCTGCTCCTGCTTCAGATAACTAGTGAGAACCCAACTCTTTGTCTTCCTTTTTACTGAATCTACAATCTACAGAAACAATGCTTATCACTGGCTTACTGTCAAATATGTGGGTAAAACTCTGTTCATGGCTGTCAGCTCTGAAGGCTGTCAGCCCACTGATTCCCACTCTGTACTTCATAATTCTGTGTGTCTGTCTTTAATTCCTCTAGCACAGCTGGGTTAAGGTCTCCATGACCAAGCTGATCTCAGCAGACTTCTTTGAGATTATTTAAATTTGGTGAAGACTTTATTTTATAAAAATCACTTTATTTTGGGTAAATTATGTCATGCCATATCTTCCCATGTTTTGCATTATGAGATTTGGTTTGCATGGTACTTTAAAAGCCATTCTCAAACTTTCACTTCCTAGGATTTCTAGTTACAATGCAACACCCCATTGTTTCCTCTGAACAACTGAAACACCACAGATGTAAAGACAAAAAACAAGGACAGGATCTGAAAGATAGAAAAAGGAAGACAGTTTGTCTGGGGACATAAGGACTTGCAGAGTGGTATCATGGTCACTTTACTTGGTTTTCCTAGTGTCTTCCGTATATCGCAGATGATGGACTGTAGAAGTTTCCAATCCAGAATCTCCAATAGGCACAGAAGAAAAGGACTTCAAGGAAATCCTCTTCTCTCTCAACCAAAGGACAAGGAGAGGATGACCTAACCACACACAATAGCATGAAACACTTCTAAAGGTAATAACCAAACTATTCCAGATAAACACTACCAGAAAATAATTAATAAATAAAATAAAATAAAATTAACTAGTATTGCCATTTCTGTGGAGCCATGTACAGAGACAGTCTTCTCAACATGTCAGTGATGCTCTCATTCCCCATGAAGTCAAACTAGTCAGCAACTTTTTTTTTTCTTTTCGTTCTTTTTTTGTTGTTGTGTTTTTTTTTTTTTTTTTTTTTTTTTTTTTTTTTTTGAGATGGAGTTTCTTTTTGTTGCCCAGGCTAAAGTGCAATGACACACAATCTCAGCATCTCAGCTCTCTGCAAGCTTTACCTCCCTGGTTCAAATGATTCTCCTGCCTCATCCTCTCAAGTAGCTGGGATTACAGGCATGTGGCACCACACCCGGCTGATTTTGTATTTTTAGTAGAGATGGTGTTTCTCCATGTTGGTCAGGCTGGTCTCAAACTCCTGACCTCAGGTGATCCACCCACCTTGGCGTCCCAAAGTGCTGGCATTACAGGCATGAGCCACTGTGCCCGGCCAGAGAGAATATTCTATCACCCTCCTGGAGAAAGCAGAGGAGAGCATTCTAATTCCCTTATGTCAGCAGACTCCGGTAGCAAGCTGAGCATACAGGTCGACCCAACAACCACAGTTTTTAAAGAGCCAGAGCTAAGTAGGACAGATTGCACTGTGTGTCTTGCCTGCTGTCCCCACTACCCTCCTCTAACCTATCCTGTCAGAAGGCTTCAGTGGGGAGTTAACCATCTACCACAAACCACCCTCCTAGGAACTGAACAGACAAAGTAAATCTAAACTAGTTAGCACTCTGCCATTTCCCCAGATTAGAAACTGTATCATCTACAGCTGCTCCAAAGAACATCAAATGTTTTGATATGCATTTAAACAAAAGAAAACAGGTATGAGATCTGTATGCTGAAGCATATAAAATACTGGTGAAATAAATCAAATAGAAATAATAAGAGATACACGGTGTTCATGGATGTAAAGATATAATATATCATGTTAATTTTCCCCAGCTTGATCTATATATTTGATGCAATTCCTATCAATATCTCAGCAAGAATTTTTGCAGACAATGCAAACTTACTAGGATAGCTAAGACAATTATTAGTGTTTAATATATAGTGGGAGAAATCCATCAACAACATTTCAAAGACTTATTAAACAGCTAAAGTGATCATGACAGTTTAGTATTGGCATAGAGACAGATTCGTGTAAAAAATGGAGCAGAAGAGAAAGCCCAGGAATAGAGCCACACTGGTGTGGATATGACCAGGTAATATGACATAAATCTGGCAAGCAAAAATCAGTGGAGGAAAAACAGCCTTTCAACAAATGGTGCTATGGCATGTGGACATCCATAAATTTAAGAAATAAAGCCTTAACATAAACATTACTCTACACAAATTAACTCAAAATGGCTCATGAACTTCAATGTAATATAAAATTATAAGACATTTTATAAAACATTTTCAGAATAAAAGAATCATAAGAAAATTGAAGCCTCTTAGTTGTAGCAAAGTGTTATTACATTTGATACCAAAAGCATAAACCATAAAAGGAAAACCGATAAACTGGATCAAATCAAAATTAAAAACTATTGCTCTGTGAAAGTTCTTATGAAGACACTAAAAAGCCAGTCTGCTGCAGAAAGGGGTACCCTTCCTGCTGATCCCTGCAGACCATGGGAGGAGAGCAGTACCCTCTCCGCTGGGAGCAGCAGCTGCAGCAGAGAGCTGCAGAGACCTGCAGAGTCATGTAAATGACTTGCCTGCAGAGAGGAGCCTCCCTCTCTATAGAGTGAACACACCATGGGAAGACCTGCCTATAGAGAAGAGCTACCCACTCCTTTGTGAGGTATTGCTCCTCACAAGAGGGCACTAGCTGTAGGGGTCTGCCTGCAGACCCTGACCCAAAAGATGGATGAATAAAGCATAAACTGACAAATATTCTGCTTTGCCAGTACAGCTGGGTGTCCAAGCGCCTGCACATCAAGAAATGTTTTTTACTGTGACCGGCCCTTAGAAGCTTGCACTCCAGTCACTTAGTTAGTATGTGATTAACAACAGAAACTCTGAGTCAGCACACTTGTACATAATTAACATGGTTGAGAGAGTAGTTCTATGAATGATTAAAGCTCAGGTACCGTGGTCTAAAGTAAATTCCATTAAAGGGCAATATCCTTGGTCAACCTTCCTCCAAGAGGGCAATCTGCCTTAAAGGTTAGTTAATGGAGGTAAGGTTAACAAGCTTAAATGGGGAAGCCTCTATTGTCCCTAGTATTTATCCTATGACCTAATGCTCTAAGGTAAGAACTGGCTGCCTTCAGCCTGTTCAATTATTACAAGCTATGTAACCTTTCAGCCTTCCAAAAGGTTTGTGACTATTCCCTATATCTTTCCCTAATATTTCCCTTTAGTATTTCTGCTACCGTCCTGAGTGAACACCAATACTTTGAACTGTTTTAACACTAAATAGAACTCTTCTTCTTCTTTACCCTTCACTTGACTCTCTATCTCATTCTCCCTGCACACAGGACAAGAACTCAAGGAAAGGCATCGTGGTCACAGAGGTTTCTGGCAAGTAAAATTGACACCACAGTGATCCCATAACAGTAGCACTAGAATTTCTGTCTCAGATTTTTACTTGAAAGTTAAACATTTGGGGGACCGTTAGGAGACTCCGGACCATATTTTGACATCCTATTTGTTCATCTGTAGCTGGCTTTGTCTGATACCACCCTAACAGAGGGAAGTGTATACTTGTCAAGTAGGGCCACAATTCCAACTTCCCGTCTTCACTTCCTTTGACACCCAAGGCAGTGCTCCTCATTACTGATAAATAAATATGCAGATTCCAGCTTCAACCTAGGTGTTACTTGTACCTTCCTGGCTAGAAGTGGAAGGGTATCTTGTTACCACACGGCAGGGTTGAAAACTCTAGCTCTCTACTTTACCTTCCCTGATTCCACTCCGGCAGAGGGTTGGGTTGCTTCATTAATGCCTGGTGCTCTCTATGTTCCAACTTAAACTTTGTTGTCCTGGCTAGCTTTTTTGGGTCGTTTTGTTTTGTGTTGTAATGTTTGACGAAAGTAGGATGGCTATTGTACAAAGATTTTTGTCTTAATAAGGTGTCCCTTTCCTAGACCTGTGTCTATAGAGGCTGGAGCTTTTGGGGGACAATTCTGTCTATACCTACTTATATTTGTCGGTACCAGCTCCTTCAGGATCAAGTCTGTGATAACACCAGGCAAAAAGAATTCAGGGAACTCAACCATCTTATCACTTGTTGCATCTTAAATTTCCTCACCAGTTTATCTTCTTGCTCCATCCTTCAGTCTTATGTTTGCTTTATATATATCACGCACGGATATTAATTGCATTTATGTGAGGGAGAAAGTACATCTTCTCCATCTACTTTATTACTCAAGTGATGACTCAAGATGAAGAACGTCCGTGATGTTCCTTTTGGGCAGAAAATTCAAAGTAATTTTTGTTATTGAAACAGTTTAAGCTAGTTTAACCTAGATAGAGAGAGAATACTTAAGAAGGTACAATGTCTTTGTATGAATCCTAGAAGAAGCTAGGATATTTTCTGGGTTAGACTGCTCTGTGATTGGTTACATTAAAATCTTGTAAGGATGTTCCTCAAAATACAAAGAATTTTCCGAGGGTGGGAATGGACAGATTTTCTAATCATGCTGATCACTTTATGTTTTGCATTTGCTTACTCTTTTTCCTCCTTCACACTCTCTCTCCTCCTCTCTGTGCTTATTTTACTGTTGCTTTTGTTGTTTGACACTCGTCTTATTCGGGCCTTAAACTTACAATAATGTATTCCACATGTTAACCTGTCTCATTCCATCTTTCATTACTTTATCCTCACTTTCTAAACTGTCATTTCCTTTTTTCTTTCTTGCCTTGCTGTTCACCCAAGTTATTCTTTTCATTTTTTATTGTGTCTGGCATTAGCCTTTTTATTGTTGTGGATTTCTTTAAGATGAAGTCTTACTCTGTCACCCAGGCTGGAGCGCAAAAGCAGGATCTCAGCTTACTGCAACCTCCGCCTCCTGGGTTCAAGCGATTCTCCTGACTCAGCTTGGCCTCCCAAAATGCTGTGATTACAGGCCTGAGCCACCACCCCAGCCGGAATTTTTTTTTTAAACATTCTTCCTGTTAACCATTTAACCATGTCTATCACACTACCTTCTGAAAACCCAGTTTGAGAACTAAAAAGTTAATAGCATGTGGATATAGGTGAAATGACCTTTGTCTTTCTGTCATGGTCTGCCAGGAAAGGAAATCAGGATTCCCTTTTTAGATGATGGATTCTAAACTTTTTCTACTTATGCACAACTTGGAAATATACGTATATGGTTAGATGGCACCACTAGGTTTCCATCCTGAGGAATCTGGCTGTCCAAATCCATGTTCATTTTCTGCTATCCCAGAAAACTGCATGGTGAATCTTGTCAGACCTTAGCCTGTGACACCAAAAGCTGCATAATATACCAAATCCACAGTGAATGCTGCTTCCGAAAAGTTGTGCAGCTGGATCCCCAGTGTATCCCATTTCATCACAGCAACCAGGAATCTCCACTGCAAATAAAGGAAGGAGTGGTAAGGATACAGCTAGTTCTTTCAGACAAGGACCTGCTACTCAAAGCAGAAGATGAAAAAGAATTTTTAGAAGAAGCAGGGGAAAATCATAACTAGATGTAAAAAGAAAGCATGATAGTCAAAGGGATAAGCAGGGACGCTAGCCTCAGTAAGTCCAAAATATTGCATCTCTAGTGAAGGATACTGTGAGGTACGCTTTTATGATAAGTTGTGGTGAGGAACGAAGAATAACAAATAATGCCTCAATACCAAGAATATGTGTTTTTGACAACGAAAATAGAGTTTATGATTGTAAGTCCGCAGTCAACATCAACTAATTCACATACATGTGTGTGTGTGTGTGTGTGTGTGTGTGTGTGTGTGTATATACACACACACTCACATACATATATGTGTCAGATACTGTATTACATCAGTGCTGGTTGTCCAAGGCACACAGACAGACAAGAAAACTAATATGATAGATGAGAAGCACCTCCTAGAAGGAGTGATATCTGTGTTGTATGAGTCTTAAGTAGGCAAACAGGGAGAGAGCCTTTTACCTCCAAGTAGAAATGGGAGCCTTGTTACCAGATGGTAAAGGGCATGGCTGAAAGTGATGTTCTCCGAATGTTGCTCCAAATAGACTGTGGTGAAACACAAAGACATGAAGCTGAAAGGAAAACAAATATCAGGTCTGGAATGGATTTGTTCAGCCATGCTCATGATCTGGACTCAGAATCTAAAAGTTAATAAATCCTGACAAAAACAATTAAATCTGACTTTGTATGGAGCATGGAACCAACGTGTTGAAAATCTGCATTAGAGGTGGTCTTTGGTGGCTCAAGCTTGTAATCCCAGTGCTTTTGGGGACCATGGTGGGTGGATTACCTGAGGCCAGGAGTTCAAGACCATCCTGGCCAACATGGTGAAACCCCATTTGTACTAAAAGTACAAAAACTAGCCCAGCATCTTGGGCAAATATAATTTTACTTACTCAAAAGATGGAGGTACAAGAATTGCTTGAACCTAGAGGTTGAGGTATCAGTGAGCTCAAATAATGCCACTGCTCTCCAGCGGGGGTAACACAGAGAGACTGTCTCAGAGAAAAAAAAAAAAAAAAACAGAAGGAAATGTGCATTAGAAAACATGAAAAGTGGACTCTAACAGGAGGTAATTAAAGGCACAAACAGGTTGGAATGCTTTGATGTAGGATCAAAAAGGTGTACTGTTAATGCCAGCTGTAAAATTCCACAATGTTCTGACAGTGATGCAATCCATGAGCATAATATGATGTAAACTTTATTATTCAAGTGATGACACAAACAGTTGTGATCGTGGTCACTGAGTTCACTAGGGATGAATTGCAATGAAGACAATCTTTGCCAACTAAAATCCAAGTTTAAAATAACTGGGGAAATGTAATTGAGAAAATACTGAAGTGTATAGTATGTGTTAACTCTTCTCTAAATTTTGTCTGTGTGTGTGTGTTTGTCTGTGTGTATGTGTCCATTTATTCCCTTTGTGCCACTCAAATTTATACCCTCATTTGATTTATGCCAGACTACTTGAGAAGTCACTTATTATTTTTTCCTAACTCCGGTTGCTTCTTCTCCCTTGCCTGCTGTCATTGTTTGGTATGTCACCTCCAAATTTCACATTGAAATTCTGTGTCCATTGTGATAGTGTTGGGAGGTAGGACTTTTAAGAGTTGATTAGCCATGTGGGTGCAACCTCATGACTGACTTGATGGTATTATATGGAGAACAAGTTAGTTATTGTGTGAGTGGCCTTTGGATCAAAGGATGAGTTTGGCCCCGATTTTCTGTTCATCTCATGCCCTTCACCGTAGGAGGCCGACCTGCCATGTTGTAACGTAGAAAGAGGATCTCACCAGATGCAACCCCTTGGACTTCCCCACCTCCAGGAAAGTGAGCAAAATAAGTTTGCTTTACAAATTACCCAGGCAGTGGTATTGTGTTGTTTCAGCAGAAAATGGACCACAAAACTTTATTATTTCTTCCTCTTTAGAGAGATAAATTATTTAACTTACAAAGGCACATGTCAAATTTGCTTTCAAAGGATCAAAAAGCCCATATATATTTTTGCTAAAAAGTAGTACAATAGCCTCCCACTGAAACAAAATGTCATTTTTTTCTTAACCATACTTTTAGAAATAAAGGAAAAGCAAACATAGAAGTAAACATGCAATTTTATTGTTCAATAAGATAATTGCAGAAATTTTTAGGGTTTTTTGTCAATGTAAATGTTAGTCTCTGTTGTCATTCATAATCTGGTCCTCTTTTAATGGCAGATCAGTTGTAATTAGGGTGATATTTGTCCAGTGGTGATGGTTGAAGAGCTAGCCTGGAATGAGGGGCAGCTGATCTATCAGCGATCGTAGGCATTTGCAACCACGGGTTGCCTGCTGGTAGCATGTTACGATATGGAGCCTCATTGACTGATACCAGAGGATATCGTGTGGGAACAGCAGATGGTTCCACTGTCAGCCCAAAATAACCATTTTGTAAGGGAGATATGATGTGGTATTGAGAAGTTGTGGTTGTAATAAAATTCACAATGTGGCCCCTTGCTTGCATGTAGGTACTATGAGAGTGCATATGAATAGTGGTCAACTGATTTAAAATAGCATGTTGATCTGTTGCAATTTGTTCTGATGGTCCAACTGAGGTTGAAGGTGAAGGAGGAGGGAAACCACTTCTAATGGGGACAGATGAATTTGCAATTATCTGTCTGACAGAAGATTCCCTTGTTAGAGGCATATTTAAATTTTTAGAGGCTGAAAATAAACTTTCTTCACTAGCTTCAGCAGCTAAGGCAGAATTATGATTCTCCATGTTAGCCCCTGCTCTAAAATGCTTCTTGTTGAAATCTTCGTTGAATAAAGTAGATATAGGTGAAGCATTTTTAACACCAATTCTTCTCTTCACTCTTACTAAAAGTTGGGGATAGCCACGCTTGAAATTTGGATTATAATAGAACTTTAACTAAAACCAAAGAAAAACATAATTCAGTGCCATTTTAAGCCAAGAGACAAGTGAAAATAACAAACATAACACATCAAATATCAGATTTCTCTTTCATCACACAAATTTAATGTCATCAAATAACTCATAAACATCGTTTACTATTTTTAAGAATGTGCTTATTGTGAAAAACCACTCAAGTTGTTAAGCCCTCAAGTGAAAACATGTTATATATTAATAGTAATATTTCATTAAGTGGCTTTGGTACATTTATTTGGAATTCACTGGTAAGATTCAAAGTTGTTAGCAAAATTTCTTAAAACACTAAAAGGTTAACGCTCAAGCTGAACACAA
Organism: Homo sapiens; assembly: GCF_000001405.40. NCBI lineage: Eukaryota > Metazoa > Chordata > Mammalia > Primates > Hominidae > Homo > Homo sapiens. The sequence goes on from NC_000024.10 coordinate 18,772,961, forward strand.
TAATTTCAAAACAAAATTTCTACCTTAATATTTTATATAATTTTCAAAAGCTGGTCTTACTGCATGTATTAACATATTTACTGATGTACAAAGTAAAATTACATATATACTTTACATAAAGTGGTAACTCAAATATGTCAAATACCTTGCTTAAGACAGACGATTCTTTCTCTTCTGACAGAAAGGTGGCTAGAAAGGCAGATCTTTGAAAATTCTGTTGAATTTTACTAAATCCATAAAGGTTGAGCTGTCGAACAAAACTTTTGATAGCATCAGTTTGAAATATTCTGTAAGGAGCCTTTGTTTCCAAAATTTCTTTCTTGAAGAGTTCTTCATTAATCACTATGCAAGTTCCATTCTCATCCCATGAAATAGACTTGAATTGGTCACTTTCCACTATTTTCCAAAGTTTCCTGGGAAAGTTCAGAGAAAGAAAATCATCATCTTTATCTGGCTCAGAGACACAAACTGTGTAACTTGGACTTTCTAACAAGGATCCTTGTGACAAAACCTGAAAAGCATGTTCTTCAATCATTGACCGTAAGTCTGAGTCCCCAGGGAAGGTGTGTTCACACAATGGAGACCTAGTGGAGGCTTCTGAAGCAGTTAATTCATCTTTGGGGGAAACATCTTGAGTTTCTGAAGAAACATGTGCCATCTCAAATAAATATTTCTTTATCTACTCTTCCGGCCTGCATGGTTTTCAGGACTGCAGCTTCAAATGCTGCTTCAGAAGGCCTAAGCATGTACACTTATCTAGACCATCACAATGGTTCCCAAACTGAGTAACAATGACATCACAAGGGGACTTTGGTCTCCTAGCAACCAACAAAATTCTAGCCCAAAGGGTTTCCTTCCCAATCTGAGAAATGTATCCAGTGAAAATAAAATATAGACTGCTCACTTACACAATGTAAGCTGCAAAAATCTCTTGCCTGCATCATTATTTAAATAAATAAGGAAATAATGTCCTCAATCCCTGAAATAAATCCAATGTTCTTCCTGACACACTCATTATAACTAGATTGGTGTGAGGAGCACAAGGCCTAGTAATTGCAAAATGCAAAAAAATAAAATAAAATAAAGGAAAGAAAAAGAAATATGAATGATTTTAAAACTAGTTTGGCATGTTGGATTGAAAACTGATGCAATGCTAAACCTGTGTGGTAAAAAGACATGGCCATAGAGATAAAAGGTAGGTTACGGGTTGTCAGGGGCTGGACAATAAAAAGAACTGTATAATAGATATGGAGTTTCTGGTTGGGCAATAGAAATATTTAGGAACTATTGATAGATGATGATCGTATGACATTATAAACATATTTAATTCCATTCAATTATACACTCAAATGTAATTTTATGTTATTTGAAACTTACCTTCAAAAGTTAAGGTGAAGACAAAGATGAATAAAACTAACTGATTATATTTCAGAATGAAACGTTATATTTATGCATATCTCTTCAAAACATGTTTCAGTCATATCAGAAGAATATATAATGATTTAATTTGGTATGTCTCTAAATATCTGACAAATGTTAAAGATGAAAGAGATTTTAAAAGCGGGTGACTTACTTGTAAGGGGATCCCAAAGAGTGGGAGATTAAAAAAATAATAAAAATAAAAATATTGAGAAAATGTTTTAAGAAAAGTAAATATGTATGTGTGTCTAAGCAGCATATTTTTTTTTTAATTTGGCTCCAAGAACCAAATCTCTATTAAAGAATAGATTTTGTAAGGAATAATCTTTGTGCCATGCAAATAATGGTATCATTATAAAACAGGACTTGAATTTGTGAAATAATTTTAGTATTGAGTAAAATAACCATGGATCATTTACAGTCAGAATTTTTATATGTTCATGGTTGACAGTTGGTATATTAAAATTCGAACTCCTTAGCATTGGTAAGTGTTGAATATGTGTGGAAGAAAGAAATATAGTATTGATATTTCTCATACTGTAGGAGGCAGTTCTCTCATACTGGAAAGAGGAGTCATTGTTAGAAAATTGCCTTGGTTTAATATAGTTTAGGTTTTGTTTTTTTGTGTGTGTGCCTGTTTAATTCAGAATTTTCTGTATTAACATTATGTAACAAAAATGTTCAAATCAGTAAACTCTGTGAAGATGAAACAGGTGCCCCTACCAGATGCATGTGGTTTCTCAATTTTGACAGTTTTTTAAAATTAAAAAAGTGCAAAATTAAAATTTTTTTTTTTTTTGTTCTTCTCAGGAATTTTCATGTTGCTCTAGCTGAAGGGAGTACAGACTTCTTTTGTGATGCGAGAGGATGAATGATTACTGAGAGCAGCAAAAGATAGGACATGGGTGTGGAGGAAAGAGGGAGTTAATAGGAGAATCAGAAGACAAAATCACATTAAATGTAGGATAATCTAAGACAAATTGTGGCTGAGCATTTTGGGGAGCTAAGATAGGTGACAGTTTAGGGAGGAAGAATGCCTTGGTGTGTTCAGGGGGAGATGGCTCAGCTAAAGGTGTCCCCTGACTCCAAACTGGAAGCCTACTTTTAGTCATAAAAAAGCAAGAAAATAAGAAATTTTATATGAAAAACATAAATGTTCAGTAGGCTGTATCCACTTAGCTATAAAAAAGAATAAGATGTCTGTCTGATCTTCTTAGTGACAGCCTGTGCTACCCATGTTCTTGCCGCTTCAGCCTCCCAATTAGCTGGTTCTGCAGGAAACGCCTAGTAGGCTCAGATAATTATTCAATTTAATGAATTATTTTAATTTTTTTAGAGACAGAATCTTGCTATGTTGTTCAGGCTGGCCCGAAATTATAGGCTTGAAGTGATCCACCCACCTTGGACTTACAAATTGCTAAGGTCACCAGTGTGAGCCACGATATCTTCCTATTTCTTAAAAAGCTTTTGTGGAGATAGTGTTTCACATTTTGCCAAACCAGGTTCAAAATTCCTGGCCTCAAGCATTCTTTTTGCCTTGGCCTTCCAAATTATTGGAATTACAAATGTGAGGCAAAAAATGTCATCTAAAATATGTTGTATCTTTTTAATTGTCACTTAATATTTTATCTAGTAAAGGTAAAACTTCATACTTAATGATAAAGTGGAAAAAGGTGTAATATAAATGTATTGGAGTAGAAGCCAATTTTTACATAATAAACACACATTTAGATTAGACAATTTTAAATGTACTAAGAATTCTCTCACAATTACTGAAAAAAAGTTTATGCATATTTAAAATCTGAAATAATATTTTTATGGTTAGGAAAATGTAAAGCAGGATAATAGACAACCAAACCAATTATAAGTTCCCTGTGAATAAAATCCAAAGCCAAATACCAGTCACTGGCAGGACCACAAGCTATTTTTTTAATGTAAAATCCAGTGGTAATGAGGAATATAGGTGCAAACTGTATGCTAATGATAGTCATTTAATTTGATGCAGGCAGAAAAATAATTCTGCTCTAAATAAAAAGTATATATACAGTCAAAAACATTTGTATTTTCAAGCTCTTTCTTAATAAAATTTTTGCTAGGTAAGACCAATTTTCAGTGATTATCCTGCCGCTTCACTAACCCGCATTTCAAGCTCATGCTTCAGTAAAAAATAATAATTTGTGTAATAAATAAAAGTGCTTCATATTTCCATACATAAAGTCCACTATTTTAAGGTACAGACATCTTAATTTTTTCTTACTTTGAAATAACTAAAATAGAAAGGCTACACATTCACATAAATTAAGGCTAATGATGCCATGAAAAAAGCTAAAAGAAGACTGAAGAAAAGTATTAAACACATGTTGATGCCTTGTAAAGAATCATACAAGCCAAGCATACATTATTTTTATTACTAAGAAGGTAATCAAAAAGCTTATCATGAACAGGACTTCAATAAACACCAATATATATAAGCAGTTCTTTCACAAACTGCAAATGCTCTCAACTTTATTGCTTTCACTTTTGCGTAAGTGTCACATTTTGTTAGTATACACTTTTCTCAAAGGCTGGTGACATAATAATGTGATGAGGTCTCACAAGAGTTAGCCATAATATATATCTTATCATCTCATCATCTTCATCTATCATGTCCATTTGTTTATTGTTTGAAAATTATATAAGCAATTTACCAGCTCTTTTACCGTCTATGTGACATGCACTTCAGCGTATGATCAAATATATTTATGTACTCTCCATCCAAACACTGATTTTTAAAATTTCTTGATCATCATCCATTTTAAATTCTGCTAAATCTTCATCATCAAATTTATACCAGGAATCGCAGTCATCATCCTACCATTGTTTGAATAATATAAGAATAATAATACCCACTGCTTGCTAGACCACTGTGTACAGGCACATCTGCAAGTCTGTATTTTGTGATCTTTGTAGTTTTATTTTCAGGTTACTCTTTCTGTTGAATCAACTGATTTTCTGACTTGAAATTATTCTGTTCCAGCTTTGCAATGCATGCTGCTGTGTAAGGTCCCATATCCAGCTCCCAAGGAAATTCAAAATAATCACCGAATGTAATTGCACATTATTTTAGTCGTACTCAAATCATTTGTGTTGGCCACAGAAACAAAAGAAAATTATTTAAATAGCAAGTGCTTAACTGTGTTAACATACCATAAACAGAGAACAGGTACAAATGTTCTCATTTCCTGAACAAACATTAAAACAATTTAATGATAATTTTAAAGTTTATAATCTTTTAAATTTATTTTAAAAAGAAAAGTAAATAATCATTAACATCATTAGGGTAATTATGCCATAACTAACTTAAGCAATACTTTCTTACCAAAGCTTAAAATATTTATATATAGCAATCCTTTGGTATCTGTAGGGGATTGGCTCCAGAACCCTCTTAAATACTATAATTTGTGTCTGCTCAAGCTTCTGATTTACAATGGTGTAGTATGTAAATATAATGCACCCACATCCTCCTGTGTAGTTTACTTTAACTTTGCATAAATCATTAGTAAAATGTAAATGTTATGTAGACAGTTATAATCTAATGGCTTTTAAATTTGTTACATTTTACTGTAGTATTGTTTTTGTTTTCAAACATTTTAATATATGTTTAGAGAAATCTATGTTTGAAGAACGTGTGTATGTAAAAAGTCTCTTATTTGTTGCACACCAGAAAACATTACTGACACAGACACTGATGGCTATGTGGTTCCATATAGCCACTACTATCTGTGTTACTTCTCTAATGTTTTCTTGTATGCGATTAAGCAGAATTTGGTGTGAATAAACTAAAGATATATAGTAAGCAATAATAATAGCAGCTAATACTTATAGTGCTTAAAGACAAGGTAATACATTAAAAAGCCGCACACATATTAATAAATTTAATCCTCACTGTCCATTTTGTGTGACAGAGTTTCACTCTCTTCACCTAGGCTATATTGCAATGGCAGAATCTCGCCTCCCTGCAACCTACACCTCCCAGATCCAACCTACACCTCCCAGATTCAAGCGATTCACCTGTCTCAGCCTCTCCAGTAGCTAGTATTACAGGCATCTGCCACCATACCTGGCTAATTTTCATATTTATAGTAGAGATGGGGCTTCACCCTGTTGGCAAGGCTGTTCTGTCTGTCTTATAAAAAGGTAAAACCTATATATAATTAATTTAAAAGGTGTGGATTGAGTGGCAGGTAGGGTGAAAAGCAATTGTTTCAAGTCTCAGAGGTGTAAATAGCAAGCAGTATGATGTTAAAAATAAACCACAATTTAAATGGCAGGTAAGTGCGAAATAATGCAGGCAGCTTGGAGGTCAGATGTTATGAAGGTCAAGAAAGACATACATGTTATTTAACATATAATATCTTCAAATATATTTTACCATTACATCTCCCAATCAAATTGCAGAGAAATAAAATTAGCTGGTTAGGCCTAAAGAAAGAAATCTGTTTGTGAAACAAGTGGTTGTTAAAATTTGTTGTAACCCCATAAAATTAAGGAAGTTTTTCGCTTTTAGACTTATAAGTTTTTGCTTATAGTATAGATGTATCTATACTAGAAAGAGAAAAATGCTTTCTTCTGTCAACTCTTCAAGATTCAATCATTAAATTGCAATTTATTTTAGAGTAGGGATGAAAGCAATCTGGGAGATTATTTTACATCCAAAATTATTAACCTAGTAAGAATCACTTTTTTTCCCTAGTCAGTCACTCTATTTTGTCAATAGCATTTCCCTTTAAACAAGTTATCATCTTGACTACCTCTCTGATACCACTAAAAGAGTAAAGAGAAAGCAGAAGTTAATTTTTTGCATGAGCACAAACACTTCTAATGTCTTCTGGTTGTGTTCAAAGAGATAATTTTTTTTTTCAAAGCTGAAAAAAACGTACTTTTTATCACATTTTACAATGATGTGCATTTGCACCTTCCATTTGATATCCTATTCCCAAGAATCAAGAACATTTTGATGACTGTTAATGTCCCCATTTAAAGTTGTAAAAGATTTCTCACGTTTGTATCAAAAGATAGTATTTAAAATACAAATTATAAAATATATTCTTTACTTCTTTTTCCTGTGAGGACAGGTTATTTCCTTGTCACTGAAGCTAAAATGCACGGCACAATTCCAGTTCACTATGGTCTCAAACTCTTTGGCTTCAGTTGGGGTTTCCTCAACCAGTATTCATCTGTGTCTTCTTAGGAACTGGGCTACACATCAGCAGGTGAGCGGTGAACAAGTACGGAAGCTTTATCTCTATTTAAACCACTATGTATGGTGCATATTACTGCCTGAGATCCACTTTCTGTAAGTTCAGTGGCAGCATCAGATTTTTATAGAAGTGAGAGCACAACTATTAACTGCACATGCAGGAAATTTAGCTTTTGCACTCTTTATAACAATCAAAAAACTGATCACCCGTAACTGTCTCCCATCACCCACAGAGAAAACAATCTAGCTGCAGGAAAATAAGTTCAGGGCTCCCACTGATTCTACATTATGGTGAATTGTATAATTATTTCATTAAATATTATAATGTAATAATAACAGTAATAAAGCAAAAAAACAATGCGGGGCACTTGAATCTTTCCAAAACTGTCTCCACAACGCCAGGTCATGAAAAATCTTGTCTTCACAAAACCCATCCCTGGTGCCAAACTGTTGCAAATAATCACACGTAGATGTACGCACACATAAATTTTTGAGTGAAAGTTTTGAAGACAGAAGCTCAAAGTATTATTATAAGTTCAAAGAACAAGAACAGAAACATTGACTAGATTGCAGAAAAAGGAGTGTTTTGAATAGAGAAAACTAATGAAAATAACTTGTTACCCAGTAATGTGATGGCTGGGTCAAATGGTATTTCTAGTTCTAGATCCCTGAGGAATCGCCACACTGACTTCCACAATGGTTGAACTAGTTTACAGTCCCACCAACAGTGTAAAAGTGTCCCTATTTCTCCACATCCTCTCCAGCACCTGTTGTTTCCTGACTTTTTAATGATTGCCATTCTAACTGGTGTGAGATGGTATCTCGTTGTGGTTTTGATTTGCATTTCTTTGATGGCCAGTGATGATGAGCATTTTTTCATGTGTCTTTTGGCTGCATAAATGTCTAAGTCATGCTGCTATAAAGACACATGCACACGTATGTTTATTGCGGCACTATTCACAATAGCAAAGACTTGGAACCAACCCTAATGTCCAACAATGATAGACTGGATTAAGAAAATGTGGCACATATACACCATGGAATACTATGCAGCCATAAAATATGATGAGTTCATGTCCTTCGTAGGGACATGGATGAAATTGGAAATCATCATTCTCAGTAAACTATCGCAAGGACAAAAAACCAAACACCGCATGTTCTCACTCACAGATGGGAATTGAACAATGTGGGAATGCATGGACACAGGAAGGGGAATATCACACTCTGGGGACTGTTGTGGGGTGGGGGGAGGGGGGGAGGGGGGGAGGGATAGCATTAGGAGATATACCTAATGCTAAATGACGAGTTAATGGGTGCAGCACACAAGCATGGCACATGTATACATATGTAACTAACCTGAACATTGTGCACATGTACCCTAAAACTTAAAGTATAATAATAATAAAAAAAAGAAGAGAGATGAAATAAATTCTCAAAGAAGGATTGCAAAAAAAAAAAAAGAAAGAAAATAAATTGTTGACACAAGAAAAAACAAGAGTGAGGGATATGTGAGGATAAAGAACTGAAATATGTAAATTAGAATTATATATGCAAATCATACTCATAACGTAGGCTTACAGTTTAGCTATGAAATTTAGAAACTTATACTGAAAGTTATAATGGGAAGTCAGTGCATTACTGGTGCACTAATGACTTTTAAAAGAAATCTAAGTGATATTCTAGTACATAGAAGTGGAACTGCTGTGAGTGAAACAGAAGGCAGCCCAGAAATCAGAAGATCCCTTTTTCTTCCTGTCTCTGAGCTATCTAAGAACTACCTTCTTGAAAGAACAGTAAACTCTTATGAAGGGGTGCAGCTTCTTCTATAAACTAGAAAGAGCTATGTACTACATCATATAATAAAAAGTTGTGCAACAGTGTTTTATTACCATACATGCCACAAATGTGGCCTTGATAAAATGAGTGAAACAAAGGAAAAAAAAATTAAGATGTTATTAAGCCATTTTTTTCTCTGTGTGTGTGTGTGTGTGTGTGTGGTTGTGTGTGTAAGTTTTGTGTGTGTGTGTGTGGCATGTGTTCTCTTCATTACTCAGTCTGCAGAGTAGCAAAACAATTACAGCTCAGGGGATGTTTTCACCTCAGTGTCAAAGGTAGATGAGATTACTTGTGCAGACCATAACATTCAGCCATTCTACTGCATCTTAGTAATGATGGGATATCAGCATGTGCCTCAGGCTTTTTTTTTTAACTCCTGAGATCAAGTAATCTACCTGCCTTGGCTTCCCAAAGTGCTAAGGCTATCAGTGTGCATGACTAAGCCTGGCCCAATTGAACATTTTCAAATCTAAAAACGGACCAAGTGTTATTGGTCACTTTTGTAAAAGGCTCAAAAATTATGATTACATTCAGGCTTGCAAAACATATATGTATATTATATAGAGTTATATATTATGTATTTACATATAAGTATATCATATAAATATATTTTCTTGCAGGACTAGGAAGCAGTACTTTTTTGTCAGTGACTAAAATATTCATTTGATAATAAAAATGTTTATTTGATGATGAAAATGTTGACTTTTGAGGTGACTATTATACAAAATCTCAAAGATAAATGTTGCTCTACAAACTAAAAGACATCATTGATGAACTACTCTAACTTGAACAATGTAATGAAGAAAGTGTAAACAAATATCAAAAGTTAACAAATGAAATGGTATTTTATCTTTCCAAGTAGCTGATACTACAAGGCTGATATCACGACACTTGAATAATTTTTGTATTTTTTTGTAAGGACAGGGTTCTGCCCCTTTTCCCAAGCTTGTAAACTAATTTGTATTATGTGTGATAACAGTGCCCTGGTCATATTTTTAAAAAATATTTAGAGTTGCCTTAAAATATCCATAGAGATAAAAATATGTACTTGACAATTGCTTCATCTGAGAACTTTTAAATCAAAGAGATGACTTCATTTTTATATTTTGATTATATAGATTATAAATTGTCTTATATTAAGAAGTTAATGACACCTTAAGAGATCAATAATATAGTGCCTGTCTCTGCTGTGACAATTTTAACCTTTTCCTATTAGGATAATAATAATAAAAATGACCGAGAAAGACAGCTAAAATATTACTATTGTTTAAATATTGCCCATCAAATAAATTATGTATTTTAAAGATATATTTTAAAAATTTAATGTACATATGATTTCATCAAAATTAAACTGATAAATCACCCATAATTTACCTGAACCTCTTCTATCCTTTTTTGTTTTATCCCTGTAACCGAGAATGTGGTAAGTGTGGGTTTGTGTGTTTCGGCGCTGTTTCTGTTAGCAATCTTTCGGGTTCACCATTAAGTGGGTCCTGAGTTCTTGACACATATCCAGGCACAATGAGGTATGTGAACAACAGGAGAATAATCAAGGTAAATAGATGCTTCATTGAGTGAAAGTACAGCTCTCAGGAGACAGAAAGCAGGTAACTCCATTTCAAAAACAGGACATACCTGCATCTGTGCAACACTCACTGAAGACAGAACCAATAGTGACCAGCTTCAGTGGAAAAGTAGGTTGTTAAAACATCTCTGAAGTCCTCAGTGGAGAGAAGTTTCAGAGTGGGTAGCTTCTATCTGCAGGAATGTTGTTGAAATGCATCTGCAGCTTTAAGTTTGGAGGAGACCTATCTATTTGCAGCCATGCAATCCCAATAAGTGTACACCTCACAGCGGAGAGGTGGCACACACTTGGTAAATCTACGTTAAGTCAGGTTGAGGTTGAAAGTTCGAGACCAGCCTGACCAACATGGAGAAACCCTGTCTCTAATAAATATACAAAATTAGACAGATGTGATGGTGCATGCCTTTAGTCCCAGCTACTCAGCAGCTGAGGCAAGACAATCGCTTGAACCTGGGAGGCAGAGGTTGCAGTGAGCCGAGGTCACACCATAGTACTCCAGCCACGGCAACAAGAGCGAAACTCCATCTCCAAAAAAAACAAAATAAAAATAAATCAATACAAGTAAAAATAAATAAATACAAATATAAATAAATACATATGTAATTAAATAAATAACCTAAATAAGTATGGAATATATATGGACCTCAGAATGCACATGGGCAGAGAGAATGGGCTGGTTGGTCCATGGGTGGAGATGGCTGAAAAAGAAAAAGATGTGTAAACCTAAAAATGACCCCTAATACTAATGCTGAAACACTAACAATAACCCTCAAGCCCTAATCCTAATCCTCACATAAACCCAACCTGCACCATTAACAAAACATATCCCTAACCCTAAATGTAACTCTACCCCTACTTATAACCCTAAACATACACCTACCACTAAACCTAAACCTACTAAAACCCTGAATCTACCCTAAACCATAACACTCACCAAAACCCTAACCTAAATACTAAACCAAACCCTAAATCGAACACTAACTGTAAACTCTGAACACTAATCCCAACTCTAACTCTAACCCCAAAAGCTACCTTCAAAACTAACCCTAAAAGCAACCTTAATTGTAACCATAAAACTAAAACTCTAACCTTAAAAATGTAAGTCCAACATCTAACCAATATCCCTAATCCAAACTTCTACCCCCTAACCCTAATTCTAACAATTCATTGACCATAACCCTATCCTTAAAACACTGACACTAACACTAACCCTAACTCTAACCCACAACATCAAACGCAACCCCAACCATAACCCTAACTTTAACCCCAATGCCAAAAACAACCCAGACCTTAAGCCATAACACTAAACCCAATTCCAACCCATAACCCTAAACATGACACTGACACTGATGCAAAAGTAGTGCTGAGCCGACCTTAACCAAAACAAAAAAAAACTCAAACCCTAACACAAAAAACCCTAACTCTAATGCTAAACTATAACCCTACCACTACCATTACCTCACCCAAACCCTAACTGAAAAACTAGCCCTATAATTCTAAGCCTAGCACTATAAAACTAACCAAAACACCAAACTTAACCCAAACACAGATACACAAACCTAAACCCTAGTAATAAACCATAATCCCAAACATAACCTACACCAACGCTACACCAACCCTAACTACAAACCTAATCCTTAACCATAACCCTAATGGAAACCCAATTCCTAACCCCAAACCTAAAACCTTAACTGTAACCCTAAACCATCTGCAATGCCAGCCATAACTCTAAACACTGAAACCAAACACTAACACTCACCCAACCAAAACCCTAATCTTAAATACTAACATGTAACCCTAATCCTTAACGCAAGCCTAATGCTAAACCTAACCCTAAGCTCTAATTCTGACCTTGACCCTAAATGCAAACACACCACCAACTGCAAACAAACACAACCACTAATTCCAAAATCCTAAAGCTGACAACAACCCTAAAGACTAATCCATAACAATAAAACCTAACCTAAACTCTAACATGTAATGCTGAACCCAGATGCTGACCTTAACGCTAATTAAAGCCTAAAACTAAGCTTCACCCTAACCACTAAGTTTAACATTAAACCTATGCCATAACCCTAACCCATTAACCCTAAACCTAATCGCTAACCATAGCCCTATCCTGTAACACTAACACTAACCCTAACCCTATGCATACTCCAACCGCAACTCAACCCAAAACCTAACACTATCCCTAACCAAAGCCATCAGCTTAAAAAATAAACCTAACCATAATCTTAACATAAACATCACCATAATCCTGAAACTAAAAGTAGGAATCAATGCTAACACAAAACCTAACATTAAACCTAAGCATACACACTAAACCCTCAACCTAGCCCTCACAATTAACACTAACCCTAAGCTAAAACCTCTACCAGTAAACCTAAACCTAAAGTTAACCCAAAATATTACACCCACCCCTATTTTCACAACTAATCATAACCATAACACAAACACTAAGATGTAAACCTAATCCTAAACCTAAAGTTAACCCAAAATATTACACCCACCCCTATTTTCACAACTAATCATAACCATAACACAAACACTAAAATGTAAACCTAATCCTAGACCTAAATGTAACCCCTAACACTAACCTTAACTCCCAAAAGCCCTAACACTAATCCTAACCCAAATAACCTAGAACACTAACCCTAGCCATACCCTAAACCCTGATATTAAACCTAATACTAAACATTGATTTTAGCCTAATCATAAACCCTAACCCAAACACGTAACCCAAACAGTAATCTGACCCTAGCTTTAACACTAAAATCTAAATCCAAACTATGATCCTATACAATAAATCCAGTCCCAACATTAACCTTAAGCTCTAACCCTTAACCTAACCCAACCCTAAACCTAACCCTAACCCCTTATCCTAGAGTTCTAAACTCTAACACTATGCCAAACCCTAACCCCTTATCCTAACCCTCAACCAACCCTAAACCTAAACCTAAGTGCTAAACAATAACCCTAAAACTAACACTGAACCCTAAACACTAACCCTAATGCTAACCTGAAACCCTAACCAGGACCTGAACTCTAAACCCTAAACCAAATCCTTATTCTTATCCTAACACCAACAGTAAACCAAACCCTAACGCTAATACACTAACCCTCTTACCCTAACCCTTACTGTCGCCTTAGTTCTCACCCTTAGCACTAACCATAACCCTCACCATGGAGTTAACCCAGAACCTAACCCTCCACTAACCCCAACATCTAACTGTAAGCCTATCTCTTACCCTAAGCCTAAGCATAACCTGACCCAAACCTAACTTCTAATCCTGATTCTAACTCTAGCCCTAAACGTTACCTTAACCTCGACAACGGTCCCAAATTCTAATCCTAACCATAACCCTAATCCTACCACCACACGAACCTTTAAGTCAACCCCAGACCTAACCCTCAATCTAACCTTTTTTCTGCAATTGTAAACCCCTATTCCTAATCCCAAACTTCTCTCCCATCCTTAGTATTACCATATCACCCTTCAAAATAATTTTAAATATATAACCTTTGACTCTATCCTCTAACCCCTAATGCCCTTAAGAGTACACTAAACCTTACCTCTCATTAATTCCAATTGAAAATTGAATTAAACAGATGATATCACTAGGACAAAACACTAAATGTTAAGAAATATGACAATTAAAGTCATTATAATGTTTAACCAAAAACTAGTACCTGAAATTTGCTACATGGGGAAGACATTATGCACCTCAATGATTAAGATTTTTCTGTTTGTTTGTTTGTTTGTTTGTTTGTTTTGAAAATTGAGGGTTTTTCAACATTCTGAAGCCATCCCTTTTCAATATACCATGTAAACTAAATCATGGGAAAACAGTACATGTTTATCTCAACTGTTATGGAAAATACTTAAAGTTAGTCAACGTGTTTAATGATAACAACATCCAATAAACTGTGCTTCAAATTTCTTTCACATAACACGTCTTTGTGCAAAACCTGTAACAATCAGCATCTGAATTGTTGGGAATCAAAGTTTAAGATGAGGAACAAAGCATTGATGCTAAATTTCATCACTGTATTCTACACTGTACTAGAATTTCCATCCAAAACAATTGGAAATATATATATATATATGATATATGTAGTATATGTGCATATAAATATTTATATATACACATATATACATATACAAATATTTATATGCACATATATTATTATATATATTTTTACATATAGATATTTATATATAAATATATATGTGAATATATATTTTTCCAATTGTTTTGGATGGATATTCTAGCAAAATATGTATATATTTCCAATTGTTTTGGCCATTCATATGTGGAAAAATAAAAATAAAAAAAGTAAAACTATCTACCCTTGGGTCTTATGATCTCCTATAAAGAAATCATAAGAAACCAACAAGAAATCATGACATCTGGTAAACAAACTAAACAAACATACATTATAAAATATCAATATAATAAAATCTACTTCTGTACACTAGTAATAAACCATATGAAAATGAAATTAATACAACAATTTTATTTGTGAAAACAACAAGCAGCCTGTCTTCCAACTTCCCTGGAACCCATAGGAGCCACAAGCTGGGTGTGGGGGATAGCCCTGGAGTCGAGTCAGTGCTGCTACACTGGGAGCTGGGCTGCACTGGCCATAGGGCTAACCAGAAAGTAGTCAAGTTCCTGGGGAATCAAAGTAGAATTATGTAAGTACGTGGTGGATGAAGAGTAGAAAACCTACAGTGGTTTTGAAAGCCCTAAAGCCACGATGTCAAATGGATATCTTCAGAGTCAAAAATTTATGGTAAAAGGCGAACATGCACGAACATCAACAACAATGAAAGCCATGTTGAGTGGCCCAGGTCATTTTGCTGAGAAGGAAAGTATTGAGGTCAATTTGAGAGACATCCCTTCACAAGTGCTGCCAAAAGCATGCACATATTTTACCTAAATATTTCACTACACCTAAAGCTCCACAGAGATTTCCAAATTCCCATTTCACCTGAAACTGCATTAGAACTGTTGATGGCTGTAACTTTCTAGATTGTATATAAATACAATTAATTGATAGGATAAAATAAAATATAATAAACTTAATTTTTTTCAGTGTTTAACTAACTGTAGTTCAGTTAACATTTATTTTTTATAGATAGTACATTCCCTGTATCAAGGTAACTATAAAATTAATTGCAAAGAAGATTCTCTTCTGTTTTTTGCATAACATAATTGAATTTTTTTTGTACTGTGAACAAACTAAGGACATTTTCACAGAGAAATAAACAAATATGCCAGTTCATAAGTGGTTTTGCCTTATGCCTTGAGTATGATTTTAAAATGAGTAATGTTGACATTGAAAATGATGAAAATTGGCTGGGCATGGTGGCTCATGCCTGTAATCCCAGCACTTTGGGAGGCTGAGGCGGGGGGATCACGAGGTCAAGAGATGGAGTCCATCCTGGCCAACATGGTGAAACCCCGTCTCTACTAAAAATACAAAAAGTAGCCGGCCGTAGTCCCAGCTACTCAGGAGGCTGAGGCCGGAGAGTGGCGTGAACCCGGGAGGCGGAGCCTGCAGTGAGCCAAGATTACGCCACTGCACTCCAGCCTGGGTGACAGAGCAAGACTCCGTCTCAAAAAAAAAAAAAGGAAAGAAAATGATGAAAATTAGGCATAAATTAATAATTGCATTATATGCATCTTCATAACTTAGCCAAAATATTGATTTTTATCTAACCCTAACATAAATGTCTTATCAATGCCTATAATCTCAGCACTTTTGGAGGCCAATGCAGGCAAATCTTGTGATTCCAGGTGTTTGAGACATGCCCAGGCAACATGGCAAACCTTTGTCTCTGCTAAAAATACAAAAAGTTAGCCAGACATGGTGACTGAGGCTAAGACAGAGGATTAATTGAGCTAGGCAGTTAGAAGCTGCAGTGAGCCATGACGGCACTTCTGCACTCCAGGCTGGGCCACACAGTGAGACCCTGTCTCAAAAAGAAAAAAAAACAGTAGAAATTTCTTCTGTCATTTGATAAATCCCAGCATTGTTTAAAAGTGTCTTTTCATTTTGTTTATTTCTACAATTTAAGACACTTTTTCATAACAATTTTTGAAGGTTACTAGGTACAATTTTGGAAGAAGCAACAGAACTATACCCAGATGGTCAATGAGTCAACTATATGACTTATAAGCAAAGCATCCTTGGCAACTGTAGAAACAGAAAGAAAAAAATAATCTGGCAAGGTGTCGTGGCTTAGGTTTTTTAATGTTCTATTTTTTTTTTTTTTTTTTTGATGAAAGAAATCCCTTTTAGGTCTTAGACTAATTATAATTTATAACAATTTAGAAGGTTATACTTTTGTAAACAGAAGTGAAACACTTGTAAAAAAAAAAAATAACTCTTCTGCCCCTCCTCCCCCGCCCCCACCACAGGCATCAGAATAGAGCCCTCCTTTTGACCAGGGGCATTCCTAAATTGGTTCAGGTCCTGACAGGAAAGAGGGACCGACATGCTTCATTACACGCTCCTCCCTTTTGAACTTTAGAAAAAGTTGACCATCATTAACAGCGACCTATACCTTAAGTCTAATAAGAAATATTTACCTCTTATTCTCTCAAGCATGCTACATGGAGGATTCATCATCATGATAAAACTTGGTCTCTACAGCCTTTATTATTTATTGTAACCCAGTCATTCCCATCTACTGATTCCATGTTTTTAGATAATAACTTAACTCTTTCAGCCAACTGCCAAGTAAAATATATGTAAATCTACCTGTAACTTGAAAGCCCAGACCTGCACCATGGCTATTTTCAAGTTGTGCGTCCTTTCTGGACCAAACCAATGTACATCTTCATGCGTTTGATTGATGTCTCATGTCTCCCTAAAATGCATAAATGTAGGCTGTGAATACACAACCTGGAGCACATGTTCTCAGGATCTCCAGAGTAGGGCTGTGTCATGGACCATTTGTCACTCATATTTGGCTCAGAATTCAATTAATTTTATGGTATAATATCAAAGTTTGATATTGTTAGTATATCTCAGCTAATGTAGGATGTCAATCCTTATAAAACAGACATTTTCATTATCACTACCAATGCATTCTCAGTTAAACTATGACTGTCTCAGGAAAAGAAAAAATGTTGCTAACCAGGCATACATCATATATTTAAATTTAAATAATAATTCGAGTTCTAATATGCCTACTTAAAATTTTTCTATATTGTTTCAACTATATACTTTAGTTCTCTAAGAAAAATGAGTCATTAAAGCACGAAAAAAAGTATTGATAGAGCCTGTCACGGTGGCTCCACTCAGCACCTCTCCTTTCTCTGTAACAGACTCTACCCCCAGAAACAAGTCCAGATCATCTGCAAACCACACTTTGGTAGCCGTTAAAATGCGTGGTCACTGCCTCACTCAAGGGACACTTTTGTAAAGTCAGAAGTGGAGGCCAGGACTGGGAAGTAAGGCCCAGGACAGTGCCCCTCATCAGTATTGGGTGCTGCAGACAGGGTGTCTTTTCCTCACCTGGCCACCAGATGTCTCAATGCCATGTCTTCTCCTGGGAGAGTCCTGAGGAGAAGTCTTTATTCTCACCCTGGACGTAGCAACAGAGGTCTTGTAGCAACGGCCACTCCTGGGCAGGTCCAGAAGAGAAGGAGGCTTCGTCCTCATGGTGGATGCGACTCCAGATGTCCCCAAGCTGAGGCCACTGTTGGGTGGGTCCTGAAATGAAGTAGCATTAGTCTGCACCATGAACGTGGCCATAGGTTCCCCAGGTACCCTAAAACAACGGCCTCTTCTGGGTGTGTCCTGAGGAGAAGGAATCTCTGTCCAAGTCACTGTGAGAACACCCTGCCCCTCAGAGAGTTGGTTTGCAAGCTCAGTGCATCTGCCCCATGCCCCCTCCCCCGGTAGTAGCCCTGGGAAATCTTTGAAATTCAGGGTGGGTTAATCCAGGCGGTCATCTCAGGAAGTGGAAGTGAAATAGAGCCAACCTTCCCATACCTTGAATGGATATAAAAAGAAGCAAAGAAGATCGTCAATAGACAAAACTCAGTTGATTTTCTCTATATCAGCAATAATGAATAGAAATCATTGGAATTTGAAATACTTAACCACCATTTACAATACTTCCTACAAAATTGAATCCATTAAGTATAAATGTAACAAAATAGGCAAAGTTCATTCAGAAAACAATCAGTCACAACTGAGAGAAATCAAAAGAAATATTAGTAAATGCATACAGGCCAGGCACAGTGGAACATGCCTATAATCTCACCAGTTTGGGAGGTTACAGTGGGCAGATCACTTGAGTCCACGAGTTAGAGACCAGCCTGAGGAACATGGTGAAACCCCATCTCTACCAAAAATACAAAAATTAAGCTGAGCTTGGTGGTGCATGCCTGTGATCTCAGCTACTTGTGGTGCTGAAGTGGGAGAATCTCAGTGAGCGGAGATCGTGCCACTACACTCCAATCTTGGTGACACGGCAAGACTCTTTCTCAATAAATAAATAAAGGAAGAGATGTGTCTTGTTCTGGAGAAGTACACATGTATTAATATTTCAGTCATATCCCAATCAAATTCCAGGCAAATATATCAACAATCTCTTCCTAAACCTAGAATAGATGAAATAAGACTGAAGAAGAAAAAAGCTAAAGGACTTACACATATGGATATGAATACTTACACTAAAGCTAGCTTAGCAAACAAGAGTGTGGCATTGATGATTTAACAGACAAGTAGTTAAGTGGACAGAATAGACAGCCCCCACACAGGCCCAAGTCAACTGATTTTGTCAAAAATGTAAAAAAAATTTGTCAAAATTGTGACAAACATGTCAAAAAAATGTAAAAAATTTGGAAACGGTAAGTCTATTCCACAAGGGGCAAGAAAACAGCTGGAAACTATATGGAAACAAATGGACATATATACAAATTTCATAGCTAAAAAAAATAGTCAAAAATAGCCATACATTAAAATTTTTCAATGCAAAGTTGTAATTGGAAAATGTCCTCATGGGTTTGGGTTTGGTAATGAGTTATTAGCAAGTCCATGAAAAAAAAAAAAGGATAATAGTGGCTTTATTGAAAGCTGAAATGTCTACTCTGTGAAATACCCTTCTACAGTTGGGCATGGCAGTTCAAGCCTGTAATCTCAGCACTTTTGGAAGTCGAAGCGGCTGGGTCACCTGAGGTCAGGAGATCCAGATCAGCATGGTAAACATGGTGAAAACCCATCTCTACTAAAAATACAAAAAATTAACTGGAATTTCTGGCATGCACTTATAATCCCAGCTGCTCAGGAGTCTGAGCCAGGAGAATCCCTTGAACTTGGGAGATAGGTGTTGCAGTGAGCCTAGATTGGGTCATTGCACTCCAGCCTTGGCGACAGAATGAAACTCTGCCTCAAAAAAAAAAAAAAAAAAAAAAATCTGGTTAAGAGAACCAAAAAACCAGCCACAGATAGAAAAATGTAGCAAACTCACCTGAAAAGTGACTTGTATGCACAAAGTTCACAGAAACTCTAAAACTGACAAAGATAAGCAACCCAAGTCCAGGGTAAAAACCTGAGCAGATACATCACATAGAGATGGAAAACAGGCAGGCACCCCAAACACTGCTGGCTGAAAGCCTGCTGCTTCTGCTGAAGGCTGAGACTCCAACCTGTCCCATGAGTAGCCGCAGTGGCTCCAAAGACCACCCTCACCTACCCGACCTCCGCCCTTCCTTCAGGGCCCAGGGGCCCCCAAGGTACTGGACATGCTGTCCCAGAAAGAGCCAGAGGCTGGATACTTTATATCTCAGCTTTTCTTAAAGTTCTGGAGGCTGCCAAGTGTCCTTAGTTTGGAAGTTTTATTTTTATCCTAAGCACCTTGAGGCACTGACAAGCATTAGGAGAGCTGGTTTTTAACCCACACTTGTTTTCATTAAGAGATAAAAGAATTGATTGACTCGAATTGCTTTTTAGTAAGTTCTTTTAAAATGTTTGGTACAATGCATTGTTATTTTGCTTTCTTGGAGACACAAAACACAGAAAAAGTATTTAGTAAAAACCAAATAGGGAGTCATCATAAATTCATGGATACTATTTGATTTGTTATTTATCCCGACTTTTTTTATTAATTATAATTTAAGTTCTAGGATACATGTGCAGAACATGCAGATTTGTTACATAGTTGTACATGTGCCATGGTGGTTTGCTGCACCCATCAACCCATCATCTAAGTTTTAAGTCCTGAATGCATTAGGTATCTGTCCTAATGATCTCCTTCCACTTGCCCCCTACTCCCCGACAGGCCCCATTGTGTGATATTTCCCTCCCTGTGTTCCCATTGTTCAGTTCCCACTTATGAATGAGAACAGGTAGTGTTTGCTTTTCTGTTCCCGTGTTAGCTTGCTGAGAATAATGGTTTCCAGCATCATTCATGTCCCTGAAAAAGGACATGAACTTACTCTTTTTAGTGGCTGCATAGTATTCCATGGTGTATATGTGCCACATTTTCTTTATCCAGTCTATCATTGATGGGCTTTTGGGTTTGTTCCATGTCTTTCTTGTCTGTGAGTAGTGCTGTAATAAACATACATGTGCATGTTTCCTTATAGCAGAATGATTTATAATCCTCTGGGTGTATACCACATAATGTGATTCCTGGGTCAAATGGTATTTCTGGTTATAGATCCTGGAGGAATCACCACACTGTCTTCCAAAATGATTGAACTAATTTACATTCCCACCAGCAGTATACAGCATTCTTATTTCTTTACAACTTCAGTAGCATCTGTTGTTTCCTGACTTTTTAATGGTCGCCATCCTGACTGGTGTGAGATGATAGCTCATTGTGGTTTTGATTTGCATTTCTCTAACGACAAGTGACGCCGAGCTTTTTTTATGTATGTTTGTTGGCTGATTAAATGTCTTCTTTTGAGAAGTGTCTGTTCATTTGCTTTGCCCACTTTTTGATGGGGTTTGTCTGTTTTTTATTTTCTTGTAAATCTTTTTAAGTTTCTTGTAGATTTTGGATATTAGATCTTTGTCAGACGGATAGGTTGAAAAAATGTTCTCACATCCTGTATGTCCCCTGTTCACTCTGACAATATTTTCTTTTGCTGTGGAGAAGCTCTTTGATTGAAGTAGGTCCCGTTTGTCAATTTTGGATTTCGTTGCCATTGTTTTTGGTGTTTTTGTCATGAGGCCTTTGTCCATGCCTATATCCTGAATGGTATTGTCTAGGTTTTCTTCTAGGGTTTTATGGTTTTAGATTTAACGTTTAAGATTTGAATTCATCTTGAGTTAATTTTTGTATGAGCTATAAGAAAGGGATCCAGTTTCAGCTTTCTGCATATGGCTATCCAGTTTTCCCAGTACCAGGGAATCCTTCCCCCGTTGCTTGCTTTTGTTAGGCCTGTCGAAGATCAGATCATTGTAGATGTGTGAATTACTTTAAGCACTATGGTCGTTTTCACGATATTGATTCTTCTTGTCCATGAACATAATTTTTTTTCCATATTTTTGTGTCCTCTCTTATTTCCTTGAGCAGTGGTTTGTAGCTCTCCATAAAGAAGTCCTTCACATGCTTTGTAAGCTGCATTCCTAGTAATTTTATTTTCTTTGGAGCAATTGTGAATTTGAGTTCGCTCATGATTTGGCTCTCGTATGTCTACTATTGGTTTATAGAAATGCTTGTGATTTTTGCACATTGATTTTGTAGCCTGACCTTGCTGGTGTTCTTTACAAGCTTAAGAAACATATACAATAGACAAGTTCCTTGTCTATTGTTAAGGAGTACAGAGCTGAGAAAATGGGGTACTCTAAAGATACAGCTATGTCATCTGCAAACAGGGACAATTTGATTTCCTTTATTTTTATTTGAATACCCTTTATTTCTTTCTCTTGCCTGATTGTCCTGGCCAGAACCTTCAATATTATGTTGAATAGGAGTGGTGAGAGAGGCCATGCTTGTCTTGTGCCTTTTG
Source organism: Homo sapiens (assembly GCF_000001405.40). Taxonomy (NCBI): domain Eukaryota; kingdom Metazoa; phylum Chordata; class Mammalia; order Primates; family Hominidae; genus Homo; species Homo sapiens. The sequence continues at coordinate 18,795,021 of NC_000024.10, forward strand.
TTTTAGGTTGTCAAAGGGAATGTTTCCAGGTTTTGCCCATTCAGTATGACATTGCCTATGGGTTTGTCACAAACAGCTCCCATTACTTTCTGATACATTCCATCAATACCCAGTTTATTGAGTGTTTTTAGCAAAAAGTGATGTTGAATTTTACCAAAGGCCTTTTCTGCATCTATAGAGATAATTATGTGGTTTTTGTCATTGGTTCTCTTTATATGCTGGATTATGTTTATTGATTTGCATATGTTGAAACTAGACTAGCAATCTAAGGACGGAGCTGACTTGATCGTATGGATAAGCTTTTTGATGTGTTGCTGGATTCAGTTTGCCATTATTTTATTGTGGATATTCACTTCAATTTTCATCAGGGATATTGGCCTGAAATTTTCTCTTTTTGTTGCGTCTCTGACAGGCTTTGGTAGTAAGATGATGCTGGCCTCATAAAATGAGTTCAGGAGGAGTCCCTCTTTCTCTATTGTTTGGAATAGTTTCAGAAGGAAATAGCACCAGCTTTTCTTTGCACATCTGGTAGAAGTCAGCTGTGAATCTCTCTGGTCTGGCAATTTTTTGTTTGGTAGGCTATTAATTACTGCCTCAATTTTAGAATTTGTTGGTCTCTTCAGGGATTCTACTTTTTTTCTGATTTAGTCTTGGAATGGTGTATGTGTCCAGGAATTAATTTATTTCTTCCAGATTTTTTAGTTTATTTGCATAGAGGTGTTTACAGTATTCTTTTATGGTAGTTTGTGTGTCTAGGGATCAGTGGTTACATCTCCATTGTCCTTTTTTTTACTGTGTCTAATTGGTTCTTCTCTCTTTTTTCTTTATTAGTCTGGCTAGCAGTCTATCTATTTTGTTAATCCTCACAGCAACAACAAAAATGTTCTTGGATTCATGGATTTTTGGAAGGATTTTCCTGTTTCTATCACCTTCAGTTACGCTCTGCACTCAGTTATTTCTTTTTTGTGTCAGGTTTTGAATTTGTTTGTTCTTGCTTCTCTAGTTCTTTTCCTTTCTTTCTTTCTTTCTTTCATTTTTTTAAGGTGTCTCATACTGTCACCCACACTGGAGTGGAGTGGTGCGACCTCAGATTACTGCGACTTTTATCTTTTGGGTTCAAGAGATTACCCAACTTCACCCTCCTGAGTATCTGGGATTAAAGTTGTGCACCATTTTGCCCGGCTACATTTTTGTAGAGACAGAGATTCACCATGTTGGTTGTCCAGGCTGGTCTTGGAGTCATGAACTCAGGCTAACTGCCTGGCTCAACTTCCCGAAGTGCTGAAATAACAGGCAGGAGCCACCATGCCCGTCTCTCTAGTTCTTTTCATTCTGACTGTAGAGTGTTGATTTAAATCTGTCCCACTTTCTGATGTGGGCATTTAGTGCTATTAATTTTCCTCTTAACACTGCTTTAGCTGTGTGCCAGAGATTCTGGTAGGTTGTGTCTTTGTTCTCACTGGTTTCAAGCAACTTCTTTCTTTCTTAACGTTGTTATCTACCCAGTTGTCATTCAGGAGCAGGTTTTACAGTTTCCATGTAGTTGTGCAGTTCTGAATGAGTTTCTTAATCCTGAGTTCTAATTTTAGTCCACCCTGGTCTGAGAGACGGTTTGTTTTGATTTCTGTTCTTTTGCTTTTGTTGAGGAGTGTTTTACTTCCAATTATGTACTCAATTTTAGAATAAGTGCTATATGGTGCTGAGAATAATGTACATTATGTTGATTTGGGGTGGAGACTTCTGTAGATATCTATTAGCTCTGCTTGGTCAAGAGCTGAGTTCAAGTCTTGAGTATTCTTGTTGATATTCTGTCTCATTTATCTGTGTAATATTGATAGTGGGGTGTTAAAGTCTCCCACTATTATTGTATGGGAGTCTAGGCTGTGTAAGTCTCTAAGAACTTGCTTTATAAATCTGGGTGCTACTGTATTAGGTTCATATATATTTAGGATCATTAGCTCTTCTTGTTTCATTGATCCCTTTACCATTATGCAACTACTCTGTCTTTTTTGATCTATGTCGGTTTACAGTTTGTCTTAGGAGAGACTAGGATTACAATCCTTTTTTTTTTTTTAACTTTCCATTTGCTTGGAAACTATTCCTCCATCCCTTTCTTTTGAGCCTACATGTGTCTTCACTCATGAGATGGGTCTCCTGAATGTAGAATAACACAGGGTCTTTACTCTTCATCCAATTTGCCAGTCTGTGTACATTAATTGGCAAACTTAGGTCATTTACATCGAAGGTTAATATTGTTATGTGTCAATTTGGTCCTGGCATAGCAATAATAGCTGGTCATTTTGCATACTAGTTGATCCACTTTTTTCATAGTGTTGTTGGTCTTTATATTTTGACATTTTTTTCAGTGGTGAGTACAGGTTTTTTCTTTCCATATTTACTGTTTTCTGCAGGAGCTCGTCTAAGGCAGGCATGGTGATGACAAAAACCATCTACCTTTGATTGTCTGTAACAATTCTATTTTTGTTTTATTTATGAAGCTTTGTTTGCCTGAATATAAAATTCTAGGTTGAATTTTTTTTTTTCTTTAAGGATGCTGAATATTGGCCCCTACTCTCTTCTGGCTTGTGGGGTTTCTGCAGAGAGAGCCGATGTTATTCTGATGTGCTTCCCTTTGTAGGTAACCTGACCTTTCTCTCTGGCTGTCCTTAACATTTTTTATTTTTGTTCAACCTTGGAGAATCTGACAGTTATAGGTCTTCATGTTGCTCTTCTCAAGGAGTATCTTAGTGGTGTTATCTGTATTACCTGAATTTCAATGTTGGCCTGTCTTGTTAGGTTGTGGAAGTTCTACTGGATAATGCCTTGAAGTGTGTTTTCAAACTTGGTTCCATTTTCCCCATCACTTATAGGTACACCAATCAATTGTAGGTTTGGCCTTTTGACATGGTCCCATATTTCTTGGAGGCTAGTTTGTTCCTTTTTATTCGTTTTTCTCTAGTCTTGTCTTCATCCTTTATTTCATTAAGTTGATCTTCATTCTCTAATATCCTTTCTTCATCTTCATCAATTCAGCTATTGATACCTGTTTTTGCTTCACAATGTTTCTTGCGCTGTGTTTTTCATCTCCATGAGGTCATATATGTTCTCCTCTAAACTGGTTATTTTTGTTAGCAGTTCCTGTAATGACTTATCAAGGTTCTTATCTTCCTTGAATTGGGTTAGAACATGCTCCTTTAGCTCAGAGAATTTTGTTATTACCGACTTTCTCAAGTTTACTTCTGTCAATTCATCAACCTTATTCCCCATCCACTTTTGTGCCCTTGCTGCAGAGTGCTTGGAATCATTTGGAGGAGAAGAGGCATTCTAGTATTTTTGAATTTTTAGCACTTTTATGCTGGATATTCCTCATTTTTTGTGGATTTATCTACCTGGGATCTTTGATGCCGATAGTCTTTGGATTGGGTTTTGTGTGTGTGTCCTTTTTGTTGATGTTGATGTGACTGATTTCTGTTTGTTAGTTTTTCTTCTAACAGTCAGGCATCTCTTCTGCAGATCTGCTAGAGTTTGCTGGCAGTCTACTTTAGATGCTGTCTGCCTGGGTGTCACCATCTGAAGTTGCAGAACAACAGTAATTGGAAGATTTGATCCTGAGTTGTACCTAACTGGTGCCAGCCAGAGCTCTCCTGTAGAAGTATCTGTTGAGCCCTGCTGGGAGGTGTCTTCTAGTCAGGAGACACATGAGTCAGGGACACATTTGAAAAGGCAGTCTGTCCCTGAGCAGAGCTCGAGCACACTTCTGGGAGATACACTGCTCTCTTCAGAGCAGGCAGGCAAGAATGTTTAAGTCTGCTGAAGCTGCACTCCCAGCCATCCCTTTTCTCACAGTTTCTTTCCCAGAGAGATGGGACTTTTACATATAAGTCCCTGACTGGGGCTGCTGCCTTTCTTTCAGAGATTCCCTACTTAGTGAGGAGGAATCTAGAGAGCCAACCTGGCCACATCTGCTTTGCTTGCTTGTGTGAGTCCCATGCAGTCCAAACTTCTTGGCAGCTTTCTTAACACTGTGAGGGGAAATCCTTATACTCAAGTCTCAGTAATGGTGATCAACCATCTCCCCACCAAGCTTAATCATTCCAAGTTGACTTCAGACTTCTAGGTGGATAGTGAGAATTTGAAGCCAGTGCATCTCTGCTTGCTGTGCTGCATGGGAGTGAGACCTGATGAGTGAGACCACTTGGCTCCCTGGCTTTAGCCCCCTTTGCAGAGGTGTGAATGGTTCTTTGTCACTGGGGTTCCAGGTGCCACTGGGGTACATAATATTTTTTTGCAGCTATCTCAGCCTCTGCCCAAGCAGGCACCCAGTTTTGTGCTTGAAACCCAAGGCTGTGGTTGCATAGGCATACTAGGGAATCTCCTGGTCTGTGAGTTGCAAAACCTGTGAGAAATGTGCAGGATGTGGACTTCATAGCACAGCCCCTGATGGCTTTCCTTGGCTAGGGAGGAAGTCCCCAGCCCCTCACACTTCCTTGGTGAGGCAACACTCACCTGTATCTGCTGCCTTTTGTGGGCTGCACTCAATGTCTAACCAGTCCCAACGAGATGAACTGGGTACCTTAGGTGGAAATGCAGAAATTACCGGTCTTTTGTTGGTCTCTGTGGGAGCTGCCAACAAAAGCTTTTCTTTTTCAACCATCTTGCCAGATGCCCACTGGCTTTTATTCTTATTTAAAGTGTACACTCTTGAAATTACCAGAAGTTTCACTTGTGATGTTTAAAAGCAAAAAGAAAAAGAACAGGGAGAAATATTTTAATAAATTAGTCTCTGTCTTCAAATGTCAATCAAAATCAGTGCCACATTGTGAAAGGTGAAGGAAAAACTAACAGACCAAAATCATGTGATTTCACACTTTGGCTCACTTTGAAAAAGCAGATTTAAGAAGGAAAACCTCCAGAGTTCTATTCTGTATCAAATATTAAGTGTTGCAAAATATGTACTGAAATTGAAATCAATGGTTTTTTTCAGTTCCCAAAGAAACTAGTTTGTACTGTAGCAATTCCTGTTGCTGCTTTCACATCTGTGGGGGTTCAGTCAGGATGGTGGGGAAAATTATCAGATGCAAACCTTACTGGAATGACTGCGGGGTTGGCATCAGCTCCAGTAATAAACTTGGATGAAGGCAGCCTTTTCCCTTTATTTAAATATGTTAGAGTAGAAACAAAGGAATATGGGGTGTTTGTGTAACTAGCTTGCTTACTTGTGAGGTCTGAAGACTATCCTTTGACTTTCCACAGGTGCTTAATTTCTTTCTAATCAGAAGTCCACACTGTCAATTACCCCTTAGTGGTTTTGACTCAAGCCTTTGTCAATTAGTCGTTACTGAATAAATGCAAGTCTTAGTAGTTGGTCAGGGCCACAGTCAAAAATGTTTACACCACTCTGCCTGCAGTCTGTAAGCAGCCCAAATGCTCAGCTGGACTGGCAAAGCAGAGTATCTGCGTTTCAGAGTACTTTATTCACCCACCATTGAGTCAGGGTCTGTGGGACAGACCCCTGCAGACACCTGTAAAGGAATCACTTTGTTGAATGAGATCTCTACATAGTGAAGTATCACACTAATTCAGCACATTGTCTTATTAGCTACAACTTACTATCTCATTGTAGAAATCATCAATTAAAAAACAGGATCAATGCCACAATAGGTACTAGCATATTTTTTTTAATGTTTACTAAGTAGAGCTCAGACTACGATCAGTTTTCTGTGGCAAAACATATGCATGCTTCTTTTGGCAGCAATTATGGAATAATGAGAAAACAATAATAACAAAAAGCACCAGTCTGAAGATGTCATGTACTGTATGATCGCATTTCTATGACATTATGAAAAGTCTACAGCGAAGGTAAACCGACCTCTGATGTACAGTGGTTTGTAGAGGGCAGGGAGTGAGTTGAATAGGGGAATAGGATGTTGGAAAGAAGTACAAATGGGCCAGTTAGAATTAAGCTCCCTCTGGTTGGTGAGATCATGCTATGTGTTTGGAAGAGCCAGTAGTGTGTAGTACCAGCGTGAATAAAAAGGCTCCTACTCTGCCTGGCGTGGTGGCTTATGTCTGTAATCCCAGCACTTTGGGAGACTGAGGTGGGTGGATCACGAGGTTAGGAGATAGAGACCATCCTGGTTAACACGATGGAGCCCTGCCTCTACTAAAAAATACAAAAAGATTAGCCAGGCATGGTCGTGGGCACCTGTAGTCCCAGTTACTCAGGAGGCTGAGGCAGGAGAATGGCATGAACCCATGAGGTGGAATTTGCAGTGAGTGGAGACTGCGCCACTGCACTCCAGGCTGGGTGACAGAGCAAGACTCTGTCTCAAGAAAAATAAAAGGCTCCTACTCACTCTAGAAGAGAAGGATCTTCTTTCACTACACATTAAACTATTTCAGGACCAATTCTCAGGAAGCCTTTGTTGTATGGGGTAAAAGAATCATAAAATAAAATTCACCAATCTAAACATTTGTAGGTGTATAGGTAAGTGGCATTAAGTATGTTTATGTTATCGTGCAACCACCACCACCATTGCACATTCTCACCAGCAATGCACAGGGGTTCCATTTGCTCCACATATTCTCCAACTCTCCTTTTTTCCAAAATAAATAAATAAATAAATAAAAAATAAAGGCATTCTAGTGGGTATAAAGTGGTAAGCTCATTGTGGTTTAGATATTTGTTTACCTAACGGCTAATGATGTGGAACATATTTTTATGTGCTTAGTGGCATTGAATTTGACAATGGTTTCCTGGGTAGGACAGAGAATGCACAGAAAACAAAAGAAAAAAATAGATAAAATGAACTTCCTTAAAACTAAAATCTTTCATGCTTCAAAGGACACTATCAGGATAGTCAATAGAAAACCAACAGTGTAGGACAAAATATTTGCAAGCCATATATAAGAATAAATGTCTACTATCCAGGATATAGAAAGAATTCTTACAACTCAAGAACAAAAAGACAAACAATCCAATTAAAAAAATAAATTAATTAATTGAAAATACTTTTCTCCAAAGATACACAAAAAAACACATAAAAATTAGCTCAACATCACTCACCTCAGAGAAATGCAAATCAAAGCCACAATAAGACACCACTTCACACTCATTATAATTATTATTATTTAAAACCATAAACTAAAATGTGTTGACATGGAAATGGAGAATCACAAAGGTAAAATAATTCCTCTTCTGTGGAAAATAGCTTGATATTTCTGCAAAAAGCTAAACATAGAATTATCATAGAAACCAGCAAATCCACTCCCAGGTATATTCACAAAACAATGTAAAGTAGGTATTAAAAAAAAGTGTACACATATATTGATAGCAGAATTATTCACAATAACTAAAACATGGAAAAAACACAAATGTCCATCAATAAATAACAGGAAAACAAAATGTAGCATATCCTTACAATGGCATAATATTTAGCCATAAAAAGGATTGAGACATTCATACTACAATGTGAAGATACTGCAAAACCATTGTGTTTAAAGAAGCTAAGCACAAAAGTCACGTATTGTATGATTTTATTTATAAACATATCCAAAATAAATAATTTCACAGAGAAAGAAAACAGATTGTTAATTGTCAGGAGTCAGAAAGAGGACAGATTGGGTAGTAGCTCCTTAATAGGTAGGGGATTTCCTTTTGAGATGATGAAAATAATTTGGAATTAAGAAGTGGTAGAACATGCACATTCCTGTGTCACTGAATTATACCTTAAAAAACAGTTAACATATTATGGGAATTATACCTCAATAAAAAATTCCTATCTCCAGTATTCCATCAGCGGGCTGAAGTCTCTTTCCATGGTGTCCCCTGAGCTTGGGGTTCAAGTCCCTTTACAGTGCAGGACTGCTTGTGGCCTGGGCAGAAACATTCTGGACACATGCTTCAGCAACTATGTCCACCAGCTCCTAGATCTGTTACTGGTGGAAAGTATCGGAGTTACTGGCAGCAAATCCATCTGCGTCTTTAGCAATGTCAGTTCTTGCCTCCTCAGGTGAAAGAGTTCAACTGATGGGCATAAAGAAGGAAAAAAAATCCTGAGGCAAGTTTCACAGCAGGAGTGGACATTTATTAAAAAGCTTTAGAGCAGGAAAGAATGAAAAGTGCACTTGGAAGAGATCCAAGTGGGTGACTTGAAGAACAAGTGTGGCCATTTCTCTTCATTCTGGGACTTTATAGGCTGGCCCACCTTGAGCATCTGGTGCACCTTTTTCCATGATTCTTTCCTAAGTGTGGGCTGCCAGCAGGCACAGTGCCCTCCTTACCCTTGAGAAGTGAGCATAGGCAGTGTGTTTGAGCATTTATATGCATGCCCATCTGAAGCTTCCTCCCTTTTTTTGGTGGAGTGACCCCAGAAAGTCATGCTGTACCATTTCGTCTCTTAATGTGCATGTCTCAGTTCACTCACCCAGTATGTAAAATTTTACTAGAAGCCCTTTTTCCCCCTCCCGGGAGTGTGACTTTAGTTAACACTTTAATGTTACCAGCTGTGTATCAGTAGGAACTTGTCTATCCCTGGCTCTGCTGCTAAATTATTATTTTTAGAAAAGCAATGTGATAACTGTCCAACCATTACCCGATGGCCTGACATTCCTGGTAGGTGGATGGGAGAACTCTCTTCTGCCCCACTCATGCCTGTGTAACTTCCTGTAACAGACCCATTGGCCATTTCCAGCTGCAGGTCACTTTTTCTCTGCTGCCTTTCCAGACTCCCAGTGATCAGTGATGCCTCCTCAGGGTTTACAACGTCTTCTGTATCTTGCTCAACTGTAATCCAGACCTCAAGACATAATACCCATGGGTTGTTCCATTTCAATAAAGGGAAATTAACATTTCCTGAGCACCACCATGTGCAGGTGTCTTGCTCAGGTGAACTCACAGCAATGCTGCAAGGTATGGGTAGTCCCACATGTAGAGGAAAATCCCAGGATCATGTGATTGAGTGACTGACTTTCAATCACACAGCTTCCTAGTAACTTCAAGGTTATTGATTTCATTTTTAAAATAATCTGTATGTCTTTACTGGTATTTTCAGTTTTGAATCACTGTACTCCTGGGTTCCCTTAGGTCTTTGAGAATAGTAAAATGAAGTGAATTGAAATATTGGATAGTATTCAGCATATTTGGATAACAAATTCTTAACATCCACAATTCCTTAGTTTGTGGGTTGTTTACTTGTGTAGCAACCCTCCAGAGCTATTTTTGTGGTCTGCATTCTTTGTGTTGTATATCCACTTAATCTGTGTTCTGTCACCTTTTTGATGGTCTACTATTCTCGACATATTTTTTAAAAACAATCCAAGAAAAAAAAAAAGGAAAAGAAAGAAAAGAAAAACTGCCCAGACTTTGGATATGGACTCTTTGAGGAACTCTAGTGTTTAGCCCAAACTCAGGGAAAAGTGAAAAGCTTTGGGGTCTTCTCCATGCATGCATCCAAAAACCGGCATACTTATATCCTTCTAAATATACCAGTAGGAGTCTTTGTGTGGTGGTTCACATATGTAATCCCACCAATTTGGAAGGCTTAGGAGAACAAATCACTTCAGCCAGAAGTACGAGACCAGTCTTCACAACATGGTAAGATCTCTTCTGCTTAAAAAAATACAAAAATAAGCTGGTTCTGGTGGCCCATGCCTATGCTGTGAGATGCTGACAGGGGAGGATAGGTGGAGTCCAGATAGGCGAGATGCTCAGGTGGCTAAGGTGGGAAGTTCATTTGAACCCAAAGAAGTTGAGGCTGCAGTGGATCACGATCATGCCAGCGGACTCCAACGTGGGCCACAGGGCAAGTTCTGTCTCTATTTAAAACCTAATCCAAAACAAACAACAATAAACCGTGAGAGTTTTTCAAAGCTGATTTTCCGCCTCAATTTTCTTCCCAGACTCTTCTTGCAGGCCTTTTGTTTGTGTACCGCTTGACCTGACTCTTTTTCCTTGCTGCAAGTGGCTCTGACTAGTATATTTCCTTTCCATAAATGCCTCCTGGGAGTCAACTTCTGCCCACAAGAAAGCTCTGAGGTGGGCTAAAGAAAAGCCTCTGAGCTAATAATCTCCAAGGGAACCTCAGACATTTTAAATCACACAACCATAATTCTTTGAGATAAGCTCTCTATTTTCCCCATATGCATCAAAAGCTGCATCTATAATTTAATCTTCTTCACAGTGGCCATGAAGCCATGGAGTGGGTGATGATGGGAAGTTAAAATGACACATACTGTCTCGCCCAGACTTAGAGGTCAGGTCTTTCTTCATTAAACACACTCCTGAGTTATGTTATTAGATTCCAGAGCTCCAAAAGTCAAGTCTGAGGTCTTTTTCTCTTCCTTATATCTCTGCACTTTTAACCCAATGAACTCTAATGACAGCATAAAATAGAAACTTGATTAAATTTGCCTTGCTTTTTAATGTTCAGAGAGGTTTTCTGAGATGGAGTCTCCTTCTGTCCTACAGGCTAGAGTGCAGTGGTCCAAACTCAGCTCCCAGCAGCCTCTGCCTTCCAGGTTCAAGGGATTCTCTTATCTCAGCTTCCTGAGTAGCTGGAATTACAGGCATGCACCCCCACGCCTGGCTAATGTTCTTATTTTTAGTAGAAAGGGGGTTTCACCATTTTGGCCAGGCTAGTCTCAAACTCTTGACCTGAAGTCATCCACCTGCCTCAGCCTCCCAAAGTGCTGGGATTACAGGCATGAGCCATCATGTCCAGACTGTTTTGTTAGATTTTATTTCAGGCTGCTTCCATCATTATCACGAGAGCCATTCTGTCTTTCACATAATAAGAAACAGTTAAGAAATGTACGTTTTTGTTAGTAATTTTAATAGATATAACTTTATTATTTTCCAAATTATTAAGAGCTCAGTTAATTCATTTCACCACGGTATGGTAGTTGTTACAAAAAATTAAGTTCCATCTTCCACCAGTTTAATCTCACAGTCTCTAACTCAACTATTTGAGTGTAAAAATTAACTTTATAATTAGACTATGTAACGTTCAGCTCATGTATTATTATTGCATTAGTGGTGTTTTATATAATTAAATGTAAGGGTGATATTTTAGGACATTATCATATTCATCTTGCAGAATCATACCCTCCTAAGAAGACAGAGTTACACTGGGTAGTTGTAGGCATTTCACTATAGAGTTCAAAACACACTCCTCAGATTTCAATGGGAAATGAAAAGTGAAATGTTCTGACGGTTCTGGATAATATGGCCCTAACCAGTAAGGAGATGGCTTGTGTCTTCTGTGATAAAAAGAACAATAAATAATGAATTACTTGAGATTTCCCTACATGTTTGTTTCCTGTATTGTTTGAGTTTTAAATAATGAAAAATCTAAATAATAGCTGTCATAATAAATTTAAGCAATAAAAACTTTTCAATACATTTTAAATATAAAATATTTATATTTAGTTATATGAATTAAATGGTCAGTGTACATTTCGTTATTCATGTGACTTCAACAGGCTCTCAAGTATAGGGAAGAGTATGCCAAGTTCCCACCTCTAAATGTCTTATAGCTAGGATGGATAGAAATGGAAGGAGTGAATAAAAAATTAACATAAGCTTATCTGCAACTCAACTGAAATCTTGTTTCATAAATAATCTATAGACGTGGTATTCAAATATTTAACACTGAAATTACAAAGTTGCATTTTTTACTATAATATTAAGCACTTATAGAGAAGTTATTATATCTCTGAATTTTAGCTTAAAATGGTGGATATAATAGTAAATAACACTGAAATAGCTCCTCACTGTATACAATAACAGTTAATAGTAAAGCAGAAAGGAAGAAGAATAGAAAGAAAAAGAAAAGAGATGTGTTTTATCCATTGAAAAGAAGAATAATTCTAGACCCTCAGTGAGAAATCAGTTGAAGTAGGAAATAAATTAAGATGTTGATACTATCATTTAGGGAACAATGAATGATGACCTCAACTGGAATGTATAAACAGCAACAAGAAAAAAAATTTGTAAGTGGTATATAATAAAAAAGTTATTGTAGATAAAATATGAAAGATATGAGGGAAAATAATATATTTGGAATACCTCAGTTTTTATGTTATACAGATGATGTATTTTTAGACAAGATAGTGATGGAAGAGAGAGGCATGTAGAAAGTGTAAAGAAGTTCAGGGGAAGTTATCAATTTAGCTATCTTAATCTTGGGGTGCTTGTAAAAAAATAAAAGCATAATGTATAGGAATCCAAAGGTCATAACACTGGTTGAATTCATTAGAACTACAAGTTTAAAACAGAAGAGGCTTTTGTCTCAAAACAACATCAATAAAAAGCCAGGTGTGGTGGTGTGCATCTGTAGTCTCAGCTACTGTGGAGACAAATGCAGGAAGATTTCTTGAGCCCAGGAATTTGAGGCTGTAGTCAGTCCAGGTCTCACTACTGCACTCCAGGCTGGGTGAACATTTTCTTAAGGAAAGAAAAGAAAAAAGGAAGGGAAAAGGGAAATGAGCAAGGGAAGGAGGAAGAGGTATTCTGTGTAGTTACCTTAGTGGTCTCATGAACAGACATCTATGAGATAAAATGAAAGACAGGGCACGTAAAGTTAAATAGAGAAATCAGAGGTAAGTTGAGTCATGTAATCCAAAGCAAAATAGTATTTCAGGAATGAGGGTGTGAATCAGTTCTGTAGATACACATGACTGCTTGAGTAATATGCAACAGACAAGTGAAATATGGGATTTAGTGACAAGTATAAGATATGATTCTAAAAAACAGGGTAAATGCCTGAAGAAAAGAGGGTTAAGAGAAATAAAATTAAACCTTGTCAGGGCAAACTCTTTCCATGAGTCTTGTTATCACGGCAAATAAACAAATGAGTTGAGAGTGCCGTATCTAGGACTAAGACTAACAGCATGTAGATCTAGTAAAGAAAATGATCAAGCCTGGTTTGGTGGCTCACACCTGTACTTCCAGCACTTTGGGAAGCTGAGGTGGTGGGTCACTCGAGGTTTGTTCAAGACCAGCCTTGGCAACACAGTGAAACCCCATCACAATTAAAAATTCAAAATTTAGCCAAGCATGGCAGTACATGCCTCTAACATCAGATACTCAGGAGGCTGAGGCAGGAGAATCACCTGAATCTGGGAGGCTAAGGTTGCAGTGAGCTGAGATTGTGCCAGAGACTCCGTCTTCAAAAAAAATTAAACTAAACTAAAATAAAAGAGTAAGGATAATGATCCTGTAGGTAGAGTGAAGAAGTAATGGTACAGAGAGATAACAAATAATAAGTAAATCAGTCTTTTAAGAAGTTCTGAAATCCAAAGGACAGGTGAAGAGAGTCATAGATAGGAGCAGAAAAATAATACACAAATCTACAGGAGCTTTATTGTTGGTGGTGATTTCTCATGAGAAAGAAACACAAAAGAAAGTGTGAATAAGAAAGTAGTCTCCATTGGTTGGTAGAAAACAAAAAAAAAAAAGGAGAAAACAACAACAAAATAATGTAAATTATATAACATTAAGCTTTAGCGTTCTTCATCCCTTCCCACTGTGATTGTTTCCCCAAGAAATAACAGAATCCAAATAGTCAAAATAGAAGAAACCTTTAGCATATATTACTGTCTATATACATTAAGCCCATTTTATTTTAATTATAATTCATTCTTTTACAATTTTTATTTTAAATTAACAAATGTAAATATTTATGGGACACAAACTGATTTTATAATGCATGTATATGTTGCAAAAGAATTAAATTGGGCTAGTTACCATATCTATCACCTCACATACTTACCATTTCTTTCTTGTGGTAAGAATATATAAATACTACTTTTTAAACAACCTATTTGTCTGAGATAGAATTCAACCTCTGTCTCCCGAGTTGAAGTTTTTCTCTTGCTCAGCTACTCGAGTAGCTGGGATGACATACGCATGCCACCAAACCTGGCTAATTCTTGTATGTTCAGTAGAGACAGTGTTTCCTCATTTTGGCCAGGATGGTCTCGAACTCCTGACCTCTAGTGATCCTCCCACCATAGGCGTTCAAAGTGCCTGGATTTCAGACATGAGCCAACATGCCTGCCCTTTTCTTTATTAAGCAACTTTGAAGTTGACTTATTAACTGTGGTCACCATTCTGTGCAGTGGATCTCCAGAACTCCTTCCTTTCTCACTGAAATATTTTACCCTTTGATGAACATCTCCCCTTTCTCTATCCACTCCTATCACCACCCCTCACTCCAATCTCGGACTCTTTTTTTCCGTGTTTGTTTAGAGTCAGGGCCGTGCTGCATTGCCAAGGCTGGAGTACAGTGGCACAAGTATGGCTCACTGGGTCCTCAAACTTCTGACCCCAAGTGATCCAACCATCTCATCCTCCTAAGATGCTGGAGTTACAGGCATGAGCCACCATATCTGACATATTCACTGTTTGAATGAGTTCAACTTTTTTATATATAATTGTGATCACCCTATACTTGTCTTTCTGTGCCTCTCTTATTACACTGAGCATAATATCTTCCATTTCCATTCACTTGGTCACAAATAAGTAACAGGACTTCCTCCTGTTTTTAAGGCTGTGTAGTATATCTCATTGTATATATGTGCCACACTTTATCTGTCGATCTGTTGATGAGCCCTTGGGTTGTTACTGTATCTTGGCTATTATGAATAACGCTGAGATGAATATAGGACTGCAGCTATCTCTTTGACATGCTAATTTTATATGCTTTGAGCACATATTTTGAAGTAGAGTAGCTGGATCATGTGGTAATTCTATGTTTAATTTAACTTTATTTTTGAAACCTCAATTCTATGACCCCAAAAGCACAGGCTACAAAAGCACAACAAAAAACAATTGGATCATATTACATCAAACTGAAATGTTTCTGCACTGCAAAGGGAAAAGGGAAACAAATAGATTGAAGAGACAACTAAAACACTTGGAGAAAATATCTGCAAACCACATACATGATAAAAGGTGAATAATAAATACATACAAGGAACTCAAGCCACTTAACAACAACAACAACAAAAATTAAGCCTATGAAATATGGACAGAGGACCTGAATTTACATTTCTCAAAAGAAGACATACAACTAGCAAACAACTCTAAATTAAATATTGATTAATTGATTGATTTGAGATGGATTCTCACTCTGTCATCCAGGCTGGAGTGCAGTGATGTGATCTCAGCTCACTGAATCTCCACCCACTGGTTTCCAGCAATTCTGCCTCAGCCTCCCTAGTAGCTGGGATTATAGGTGTGTGCTACTTCACCCGGCTAATTTCTGAACAACTGCATGTTTAAAGATGCTCAACACCACCATCAGGGAAATGCAAATTGAAACCAACAATGAGACCTGCTTTCACACATGTTGGAATGGCCATTACTATCAAGATGAAAAACGACAAGTGTTTTTGAGAATGTAGGGCACAGAGAATGCTTGTGCACTATTGGTAGGAATGTAAATTAATATATTACGTTATTAACCTGATGATTTATTTTTAAGAGAACAGGTTTTGTGCTTTAAGATGCATTAATATGAGTGGTTTTCTGTTAGTCAGTTTAATGAGAAACACTTTGGTTACCTTAAATTAATATAAGTAGGAGCATGCTCATAAGACTTCTCTTTCAGGTTCTCCTTAAGTACAGAATGAAAACTATGGTAAGTACTCTTTCTGAAAAGAAAATATTCGCTGATAATGTATATGCTAGATTACAAACACTTGTTAAATTAAAGGCACATGTTCCAAAAGTGTACCAGGTGAAAAATGCATTATGGGTTTTTTTTCTGCCCAGATTTTGGACCCAGAGGGATTTTTGATTTTGTTTTGTTTTGTTTAAAAATTTGTACAATTATATTGAAGAAAATAAAAATTGCTAATGCATAGTAACAGGAGAAAAATCAATTTTATTAGAAACTACTTCCAAGACTTTGCTGTTTATATTTTTATGAGTATCTTTATAAAGTCATATCCAGCCTCTTTACTCTTTGTTCTGTGAAAGTATATATGTATATTTTATGGATATTGCATACTTTTTATTGATAACATCCAACCCTTCTCCATGAATGACAGTAATTCCTCAGCTGCTTATTTTTATTCTTTTGAGTTTTCTCTAGATGTTTACACAATATCACAGTGCTTCTGGATGATTTTCTGTATGTCCTGGCAATACTTTGTCTGATCACCTTGGATGCAGACACTGACAGAAGAGGAGCATAAAGCCAATGGCTAATAGGTAGGTTATGATGAGCTACATGGCAATTAATGAGTCGCAAGGCTTCAGTAAAATTTTCCCTCCAAAGAACCAAAATACCAATATTATTATCACATTTTCTAAAACCGGAAAGCTGCAGTGTTGGATTGTGTGGTCCACCTCTGTCTCTTGTCAATTATTTTCTTATTTGACAGCTGCAGCTTAACTGATGACCAGCAGAGAAGTTGATGGCAGCTTATACTAGCATGGTTAAGATAAGCATCCATACTGTACCCGCCATGCTGGAATTATTTTCTGTGTTGCTATGAAAATGAACTCCAGTTTTCCAAATCTCCGGCCATGATGCCAAAAATAATACAAAATATATGATTAATAGAAAGTGTAGGGTCCTCAGTTTCAGAGATGCAGGGAAAAATGCCAGAGTCACTACACGTGAGATAGTCACCAAGGAATGCCATATCATGACAAAGATGAATTTTATTACCCATAGCTTAATGGCAGCAAAGTTGTTGCAGGTGTGGATTGCTAGTATGTTGCGGTGAATGGCCCCATACACAACTGATAAGAGGGAACATATAATCAGCGATGCTATTAACGGTAAATATGAAAATGTTAGAGAATAATTTGTATTAGTAATGGCCACTTTCTCTTTTAAACTTGACATGTTAACATATATGCCTCCCAACCCACCTCCTTCAGAAAATAATTGACTTAAAAGAAACAAAAAAAAAGTGCTAACTTTCCATTATCAGGGATTTAGTAAATCTATGCATGCAAAACATATATTACTCCTGGGAAAAACAAATAATAAGGGAATACATATATATTCATATTTATAAACTTCTATACATATTCCCTCAAAGAAAATAGCTGGAACAGATGAAATTAGATAGATACATTCATATCTGATGCTATAAGGTGTGACAGCACATAGAAAGATTTCTCAACAAAGAAAAAATCAAATTACCTGAATTAGACCTTGAAAATGTAGCTTCTTTTTTATAGAAAGTTAGAGTGTAAAGTAAGAAATTACAGAGTAAAATAGGAGGCAAATGTAATATAAACTGTGTTTTAGATTATGGTGATAACAGAAAGTAGGAAATAAGCTGTGGAGTTAAAGTAAATCCTGGAAGTAGAACTGAACAGATTTTGCTGAGTGATGGAATACCAGGTACTAGAGAAGAAGAAAAACTAAAAGTTTTAGAAATTAAGTGTTACATGTGTATGTGCTTTTGTTTGCATGTATGTATGTAATTTTATCAGAAAAATTTTTCATAAGCAAATTAATTTAATTTTGACATTGTTCTGCGAATAATTAGACGAATATGCACAAGAAAGAAAACCAAAATTATGAAGTAGTTGAATAATCAGTTTAAACAATTCTGTACTACATTCAGTTGAAAGAGTAAAACTTCATTTCACATATGCAGGTGGGTTAAAAAAATACACTCTTCATACACAATGAAATGAAGCTAGAAAACAAAAAGAGGCCAAATAGTCATCACTTACCTAAAGTAATTACTCATTTTATAACACCATTTAGAAAATGAATATCAACAGTCCATTTATTCCTTCAGGAATACCCAAAGAGAAACTCTAAAGCAATAACATTCTGAACTGTATTTATGAGAAATAAGACTGAATAAAAATAAATGACCTAAAAATTAAGTCTTAGAAAGTAATTTTAGCTGGGTATAGTGACTCATACTGTAATCCTAGCACTTTAGGAGGCTGAGGTGAGTAGATCACTTGAGCCCAACAACAACAGCAACAACAACAACAACAACAACAACAACAACAAAGAACAACAGTAACAACAAGGAAATACACAAAAAAATGTTAGGGAGGCATGGAGGCACATGCCTGTATCTCAACTATTCAGGAGGCAGAGGTGGGAGGATTGCTTGTGCAAAGGTAGTAGGCATAGAGCTTTTTTGCCTTGGGACTTTTATATCCCTTTCCCCTGACCCCAGCACTTTAGGAGGCTGATACTCAGGGTTAACCTTATAGACCAACCCCGGCAACAGATCAGAAACTATGACCTCAGCAGAATGGACTTCAGTTCCTGTCAATATTCCTGTTGATTGA
Source organism: Homo sapiens (assembly GCF_000001405.40). Classification (NCBI taxonomy): domain Eukaryota; kingdom Metazoa; phylum Chordata; class Mammalia; order Primates; family Hominidae; genus Homo; species Homo sapiens. The sequence goes on from NC_000024.10 coordinate 18,813,307, forward strand.
CTGCAGTAACTTCAGGCACCAAATAAACGACACAGGGCAGACCATGGAAGCTACAGACCTTGAGTGCACCCATTGCTCAACTGTGTGCTACAGATGGAGCCTGGCATTGACTCAGCTTTGCCGGTCAAATTACACCAACCATGAAAGTCTGCTCATTAGTGTTTCCCCTAGTGCTACCAGGGCTGAAGCTATCTTAGACTTAAACACCTTAATTTCCTTCTTCTCCTTGCCCTGAATCTCTGGACAGGCTTACCGTGGAAGAAAGCTTCCAAACACAGCCAAACCATGAACATTGAATTAGGCACCTACATCACTGTGCAGACATTGATGCGTAGTCCCAAGGATTAGGATCGATGAGAGAAAGATGATGGCATCGAGTGGTCAAAATAAGGTGTCAGTGGTGACTGACCCACAAGAGACGGGCATGGACACATTGCCTGACAAGGAATTCAAAATAATTATTTTAAGACAATGCAGTGGACTTCAGGAAAACACAAAGGATTCTGAAATTTATCAGAGAAACTTACCTGAGAGGTTAAAATAATGGGAGAAAAAAACAAACAAAAATCTTGAAGAATAAAACACCACAAAATAAAAAATGCAGTTGACAGCAATGCCAACAGAAATGGTCAAGCAGCAAAACTCAAAGATAGGTCAATTCAAAGTACACAGTCAGAGGAGCAAATATAAATAAGATTCATGAGATTAATGGGATAACATCCAAACAGCAAAGGTATCAGACACTAGCATTCAAGAGTGTGGTAGAGCTGGGCACAATGGCTCATGCCTGTATTCCCAGCACTTTGGGAGGCCAAGGTGGGAGGATCACATGTTGCCAAGAGCCTGAGAGCAGCCTGGCTACATGGTGAAACTGTTTCTCTATTAAAATACCAAAATTAGCCAGTTATATTGGTGGACATCTGTAACCCCAGCTACTCAGAAGGCTGAGTTTGGAGAATCACTTGAACTCAGGAGAATCTCTGGAACCCAGGACTTGGAAGTTGCAGTGAGTCACAATCACACCATTGCACTCCAACCTGAGACAAGAGCAAACCTCCATCTCAACAAAAAAATGTATAAAAAAGAGTAGAAAGCTTATTTAGAGAAATAATGAGAAACCTTTCCAAACTTACATAGAAATATAAATATTCTGCTACAGGAATATCAAGGGCTTCCAATCATATTCAATATCAATAAAAATATCTGCATGACTTAATATAACCTAACCACCAAATATCAAAGTCAAAGAGAGGATACAGAATTAAGCAGGAGAAAGAAAAGAAAATATTATTTCAAGAATGCAAGTATATAAGTAATATATGCATATATATAATACAAATGTTAATAGATCCAAAGACAGATAAAAAGTGCAAGATAATAATAGAAAACTTCAGCACCTTACTCTCTGCAAAGAATAGATAATGCAGACTGAATTCAATAAGTAAGCATTGGATTAAAATGCCGAGTAGGGCAAATGCTAAAAACAGCTACTGAACTATCCATCCAAGAGCTATAAAATAAACATTCTTCTCCACTGCAAACATGGAAGATCTTCCAGGATACGTCATACATTAGGCAAAAAAAGTCACATCTTAACAAATTTGAAAAGATCAAAGTCATATCAAGTATCTCTTCCGAAATCACTAAATCATAAGTATATCAAAATTAAACAACATACTCCTGAACAACCAGTGAATCAATGAAGACAATAAGGATAAAACACCGTGTTTCTTGAGTCAAAAATAGAAACACAACACCGCAAAACCTGTGGGAAACAACCAAAGCAGTTTTAAGAGGGAAGTTATGGCAATAAATGCCTTCATGTAAAACAAGATATCAAATACACAACTTGATGTTTCAATCAAGGAATCAGAAAAACAAAAAGCTAAACTTAAAAGTAAAAAAAAAACAAAGCCCCTAATAAAGAAAATCAGAGCCAAAAAAGAGATACCATAACTGACACCAAGAAATAAATTAATGGTAAGAAATCGAATCAGCTGTAAAAAGTCACCTGTTAAAGATAAGCCCAGGACCTGATGTGTTCACTGCTGCATTCTACCTACCACAAAAAGGAAACTACTGCCACTTTTTTTTAACCTAGTGAAAACAAAAACATAAAAGAAAAAAGGAAGATATGGGAACCGTTCCAACTCATTCCATGGGGACGGCATTACGCTGATTACTAAACCAGACAAGGATACAAGAAAAAAGAGAAAACTATGGGCCACTATATCTAATAAACATAATGCAAAAATCCTCAACACAATACTGGGAAAATGACTTATAATGCACATTTGGAAAATCATTCACCGTGATCAAACGAGATTACAGGGATGCAGGAATGGTTTAATACACGAGAATTATTAAATGTCATAGATTACATCAACAAAATAAAGAACAAAGTCTATGCATTCATTTCGATATATGAAAAAAATGACAAAATTCGACATTTTTCACAATAAAATCTCTTAATAAATCATGCGTGGAACAACTGTAACTCAACACAACAAATGACATAGACCCAAATAACCAGATAACACTATATATGATGAACCCTTAGCTAGTATCACAGTCAGTGAGAGTTAAAATTGAAAGCTTTGCTGTGAAGATCTGAAAGAAGACCAGGATGTTCACTTTCACTACTTATAGTAACATAAAACCGAAAGTCATTAACTAGATAAATTAGTCAAGAGAAAGTGAGAAAAGTCACCCAAGTTGGAAAGGCAGAAGTAAAATTGTCCATATATGCTAATGACATATAAGGGAATCCTTAAACATACCACTAAAAAGTAGTTAGAACTAATTCTGAAAGTCAGTAACGTTTCCGTTTATGAAATCAACATATAAAATTCCATAGCATTTCCATGCACTAATAGCAAAGTATGTATTAAAAAAAAAACTTCAGAAAACAATCTCATTTACAATAGCTATGGGGGATAAAAAGGAGTAAATTTAAGCAAGGAGGTAAAAAAATCTGCATTCTGAAAACTATGAAACATTAATAAAATGTTAAAATGACATAACTAAATGAAAATATATCTATGTTTCTATGTTCGTTGATTGGAAAAAGTAATATGGTTAAAATGTTTATATGAGCCAAAGCAGTGCACAGATAGAATGCAATCTCTATCAAAACACCAATCGCATTTTTCACAGAAATTGAAAAAATCCTAAATTAATACAAAACCACAAACACACACACACAAAAACCCTGAATAGTCAAAGCAATCGTGAAGATGGCAGTGCGGTTGGGGAGTGAACCCACAGAACTGGAGATGTCACAATGCTATAAACCAATACAATAGAACACAGTGAACAAAAATAAATTTACACCTGTATAGCCAACTGATATTCCTCAGAGGTGCCAAGAACACAAAATGAGAAAATGTCAATCTCTTCCATAAGTGGTGCTGGGAAAACAAGAGAGCTACATGCAAAAGAATATAATTAAAACCCTATTTCTCACCACGTACAAAAATTAACTCACACGGATTAAAAAGCCTACTGCAGTGGTGTGCCCCTGTAGTTTCAGCTACTCAGGAGTCTCAGATGCGAGGATCACCTGAGCCTAGGTGTCGAAAGCTGTAGCATGAAACACTTATGCCACTGTACTCCACACTAGGTAATATAGTGAGACCTCACCTATAAGAATATATTTTAAAAAACATTTAAAAATAAAGATGTAATGAAAACACAAAACTGTCAAACTAGTTGAATAAATCACAAAACACATTTAATGACGTTGGTCTGGGCAGGAATGTTTTTTGGATAAGACTTCAAAAGCACAAGCAAAAAACACACAGGCAGAAAAATGAGGTTACATTATACTAGAAAACTTCCATACAGCAAAAATGAAAATAAAATAAAATAAATCACCAGAGTGATAGAATGAGAGAAAATATTTGCAAACTGTACATCAGACAAGGAGTTAATCAAAATATACCAGGAACTAAAAATGATTCAAAAGAACAAGGAAATAATAACCTAATTAAAAATAAGTATCTTCTGTTTTCAAAAGAATATATACACAGAGCTAACGGGTGTGTGTGTGTGTGCACGTGTGTGTGTGTGGGTGTGTGCATGTCTGTGGCTGTGTGTATATATATGTAGGTGATTACTATATATATGTATATACACACACACATATATATGCATATAGTAATCTTAACATTTCTCATGATCACAGAATTGCAAACTCTACCTTCCAGGCTCAAGCGATTCCACTGCCTCAGCCTCTGAAGTAGCTGGAATTAGAGGCACGTGCCACTCGCCCAGCTAGTTTTGTATTTTTAGTAGAGATGGGGTTTCACTATGTTAGCTAAGCTGGCCTGGAACTGCCAACCTCAGGTGATCTACCCGACTCGGCCTTTCAAGGTGCTGGGATTAGAGGTGTGAGCCACCATGCTCGGTCTATTGCAAGAAATTTAAGAAATTTATAAAATTTCATAAGTTGACCTTGTAAAAAAGAAAAAGTTGGCCAGGCACGATGGTACACACCTGTAATCCCAACCCTTTCGGAGGTCAAGGTGGGTGGATCACGAGGTCAGGAGCTTAAGACCAGCCGGACCAGTATAGTGAAAACCCATCTCTACTAAAAACACAAAAATTATCTAGGCGTGGTGGTGTGCACCTGTAGTCCCAGCTACTCGGGAGGCTGAGGCAGGAAAATCCCTTGAACCTGGGAGTTGGAAGCTGCAGGGGGGTGAGATCACACCACTGCACTGCAGCCTGGGTGACAGAGCGAGACTCTGTCTCCAAACAACAACAACTATAGCAACAAAATGAGGTGTGTTTTTACTACATGGAGATTTATTGGTTCTGATATTGTCAGGAGTTTTATTTATTTGTTGAGTTTTTTGGCTATTGTGTTGTTCATTTTTTGTTATTTCTGCCTAAGTCCTTTTCTTTCAGGAGATTCAGTCAATTAAACTTAAATTAGCTCCAGAGTATGGTCCAGAATCACTGCATGCATTGTCACTCAGATTAAGCCTTTGGCTTTGCAGGAATGTTTATTGCCCTGCTAGTGTTACTAATTGCTCCTGCTATTACTAATTTGTATTCGCATAGAAGATTAAATCGTGAGGTTACATATTTTTGCATGTGTTTATAAACTTCTGCACTTACCTTTTTGATGAAAGGTAAGACTTATCCCCATTGCCTCCTAATCATATAAAATGTATATAATTTTTATACATTTTACTATCTTGGAACTCTACATGCACATCTGTTAGTGCTAGTGTTACTAATTGCTAGTGTTACTAGTGTTACTAATTGCTCTTGCTTTTACTAATTGCTCCTAGTGTTAGTAATTGCTCCTCCTATTACTAATTTGTATTTGCATAGAAGATTAAATCGTGAGGTTACACATTTTTGCATGTGTTTATAAACTTCTGCACTTACCTTTTTATTGAAAGGTAACACTTATCCCCATTGCCTCCTAATTATATAAAATGTATATAATTTTTATACATTTTACTATCTTGGAACTCTAAATGCACATCTGAATGAAATTAGTTCTTACAAAATTTACAGTACTCGTGCAAATCAGCATAGTAACAGAGAGAAGTCAGATGGAAATGAACTGCCTAGCTATGTTTTGATATTCCAAGTCATAGCTACAAATTTAGGGATATCTAGAAAATCTACCACTAACGTGTTAAATCACGTCAGTTGACAAATAAAATTTATGAGATTAATTTTGAGCCATACTCTCTTCTCACTCTACTCTCATCCCTTAATTTAATGTTATATTTCTATCCCTCATAACTATTTGGAATGCCCATGAGGCTGAATTAGAATAATATTAAAAGGAACAGAAAAAACGACTGACTTAATCCCATTTGCATTGTTAAAAAACTATCATTACCTTATGACTGATAAAAATTGCATGGGAAAATTTTCAAAATTGTGAAAAGTAAATAAATCTAAACAGAGGGTGCATTTCAGTTAGAGGAACGATGATTATCACTTCCTTAATCTTGTTCGTGAACTATTTATATTCTATTTACTGTTTGGAAACAGAGAATGAGAGATATTTGTGTCACTTACCTCACTATAGGTCCTAAAGGAAGAATGCGCCAAGAAAAAGTAATGCAGCTTTATTTCTTCTAAAGTCTTTGTTGAAAAACGTTAGGGTGATTTGATCCAAAATTACCTGCACAATAATAAAGCTCATGGCAAATGACATCAGAATCTGTCACTAGCTTTTCAATTAATTTCAGACATATACAAAGCATAGGCGCCTCACCACAGCAGAGAACAGCTGAGCAGAGAACGCTGAAAGGAAAACTCATATGGGGTCTGTGCCCAAGGACCATTTCTTCTTCCAAAAATAAAACTCCTCCTGTACTTTCTTTATCAGTCTCTTCAAACACTGTGTCCATTCTCAGCATGCTGCTAATTCAAACTCTTCTTGTCAGTGAATCCAGTATAGCTCAGTATCAAATCCAAACAGAAGAAAACCAGATTCTGTATAATTCACTGTTCATGGAAAATATAAAAAAGTAAATACGGCTCACTAATCACAACTTAAAAATCTATGTCTTGTTTAAGAAATATTAAACCATGACTTGACATAATTTAGTCAATTAAAGCATTTGACATAATTCAGTCAATATGTCCAGTAACTTGACGTACTATTTCTTCAGTACATATTGTTTAAAGGAAATAGACAATAAAACTTGTATGAGGCATTGACTACCCCTTAATACCAAGATGATAGTCCTGTCTTCAAGTAGTAAGAAAAAAGGTGCACATTTCTCCTAAGTTTCCTTTTTGTGACCTTCAGCCAGTGTCTCCTGCTGACATCAACTAAAACAAAAGGGCACAATGTCTAAGCCAAATCTAACCATGATGACACTGAGAAAAGTATCTAACAGGTATTTCTGATTGAGAGAGGAATAGAAAATAGTGAGCCCTTTAAGTACCACTTATTGTTAGTTGTTGGCCATTTTTCATTTAAAATACTGATTCTTGGCTTGATTTAATGCAGAAGTTATGAAGTTATTAATCAAGTAAAGTTATGAAGTTATTAATCAAGTTATTAATGAAGTTATTAATCAAGAAAAGTTTCAATTTAAATAGATATGAAATCCAGATTTGAATGGTTATAGAAGATCCAAATTCTATTTTGTTGGGGGGGGGTAGGGGTGGGGTGAAATAGCTCTTATTAGGTTCTTTGCAGACAAACTGCCAGAGAAATTACTGATATACTGTCAAGGTCAATTAGTCATTATGTGTGGGAAGCAATATTAAACAAAAATGAATAAGAAGGAAGAGAAAAGGCAACAGGACTTTTAACTCAAGTAAATATTGGAACAGAAACCTTTTTCTGACTAAAAAGGTTGTTAATATAATAAAAAGGCATGAAAGGTGTAAGAATCTAATGCAAATTACCAGAGAGAAAACATAATATTTTCCCAGAAGACATTGGTCTTTTGTTAAAATATAACAATGGGAAAAATAGAAGCAGTAGTTTAAGTAAGTGGAAGGGAAGAATCAAGAAGTTACTATTTTATTTTTATTTGATAAGATGTTTATTTCCTGAACTTTCTTTGCATTGCTTTTATTCTCATAACTTATCATAAATATGCTTTCCTCCAATTTGCTAAGTTTTATGCTGCAGAGTATTAAATTCCTCAACTTCTGTTGTTCATTATTCTGATCCTAATCACACCTTTATCTATATGCACTTATTTATTCAAAGACAAAACATTTATCACATTTTAAAATACATCCTCCTGGACCCAACTCATCAATATGATTGATATTTTCCTCTTTTGCATAATTAATTTTATTCTCTTCTTCACTGCCCTGATTTCCTTATCACACATGTATAAAAAACTCCATATTTTATGATCCACAACAAAAAAAAACTGTCTCTTTTGGTACTGACCTTTTTCTCTGCTTTAATTTGCACAGAGAATTTCTATTAGCTATTTCCTTTCCATCAGTTCTTATTCTGCCTCAAGTTTTATCCCACAACAGTGAAGTCATAGTCCTTTCTCAAAGGTCATCAGTGACACCCTAATTGCTAAATTTAAAATTTTACCTTGAATTTCAGGTGAATATTTTTACCATTGATATTACACTCTCATTTGAAAATTCTACTTACCTTTACCAGTCAGGCTTTCATCCCCAACAGTCTACCAAATGTACTATATTTAAAATAATTAGCTTCCCTTTTTGCCAAATATAATAGTTTGTTTTTTAAATTTCTTGTCTTTGTTGTTTGTGTGTTTATTGAGACATGGTCTGCCTCTGTTCTCCAGGCTGGAGTGCAGTGCTTTATCAAGAACTGACTGCAGCCTCAACCTCCCAGGCTCAAGCGATCTTTCCACTGCAGCCTCCAGGGTGACTGTGACTACAGGCCACCCAGACTAGCTAATTTTGGTAGAAACACGGCCTCTCCTTGTATCCCAGGCTGGTCTTGATTCCTGGGATCAAGCCGTCTGCCTGCCTCAGGCTCCCAAAGTGCTGCCATTGGAGGTGTGAGCCACCAGTCCTGGCCAAATGTAACAACTATTTCTTAGTTTGTCTCTTCTTTGAACTATTCCTAGTGAGTTTACTCTCAATCTCCCAGTTATCTCTTCAGTACCATGGATTTCTAAATGGTACTGAGTCCCAGATTGTTATCTCCAGCCAGTCTCTTACTAAAGCCCAAATCATGGATGACTCTAATGCACATACTCATGTTTAACAGACAATTTGATCTCAAGGCTACACACTGAATTCTGATGCTCCTGCCAAAAAACTTTCCCCAGGTGTTTCCCATTTCACCTGATAGTAATTACATCCCGCTGCAAAGGCCTAAAACTGTAAGGTCAACAGTGATGCTTTTCTTTACATCTCATCATTTCTATTAATCCCCAAATTCTGCATGTTTTCCTTTTAAAACGGGTCCCGAATCTCACCACTTTTCCCTGTTTCTCCTGCTGTCACCCAGATACAGGTCATCCACATTTCCCATCTGATTAACTCAGCCTCTTTAGTGATCTCCTATCTTCCACTATTACAACTATTACACTATTACAACTATGTGAGTTATAGCTCAGATACTATAAAATTAGCCATTGTAAAGTACAAATTCAGTGATTTTCACGATATTCTCAACGTTATGCAACCATCACTATTTGTCCTTACCTTAAAAAGTAAATCTACCTATTAGCATTCAATCCCAGCTTCCCTTTGTCCTAAGATAAAACCATGGTCTTTATAATGTAATAAACCACTGCATATTATTTTCTTCTTCTTATATTTTGCTTATCTTCTTCTACCGTCCTCTTTCTTGTTCTGAGCCTCAGTGTAGGCTACAACTTCAGAGGTTTTGCACTCCTTGTTGTTTCAATAAGTTTGCTCAGATCTCCTTTGAGCTTATACTATTTACCTGCTTATAAATGAACCCACCAACCTTATCTTTATTACTTAAAAATAAAATCACTAGCTGTTGTCACTACTTTTCACTAAAGCCAAAATGTAAATTCCATCAGAACATGGATTTTTGTCTTTTGTCAGGTGAACTGGCATAAACAATACTTGATATATTTGCACTTAAATTTATCTATCTATCTATCTATCTATCTATCTATCTATCTATCTATCTATCTATTTATGGCCCGGGGGTGGAGTGTGATTAAATCTTGCTCTGTTGCTCAAGCTGGAGTGACAGGATCTCAGTTCACTGCCACCTCTGCCTCTTGGGTTCAAGCAATTCTGCTGTGTCAGCCTCCTGAGTAGCTGGGAACTCAGGGGCCTCCCAGACCAACTGGCAGTTTTTTTGTTTGTTTGTTTGTTTTTGACATTTTTAATGCAGACGGGGTTTCTCCATGTTGGCCAGGCTGATGTCAAACTCCTGGCCTCAGGTCGTCCACCCGCCTTGGCCCCCCACACTTAATTGTTTTGATTGAACGTGTGAGTAATCATGCCTGGCATGACCTTTATTCTAAAAGGTTCAAAGACATAATATCTGCAACACGACTTATTATTTGGTCTTCTTATTAAACTGTGGAGACTGAAGCAATAAAAAGTTACATAATTTGTCTAAATTATTTATCCTGCTGGTTTTATTGTCAAACTAGATAATTCTGTCTGCTTCTATTTATGTATAACAAGGATTAAAAGGTACATTAAATTCTTCAGGTGTATGCTCCACAATTTATAATTTAAAACGGATATTGCCAACTTCTTTCTAGATTCTGAGTTTCGCCTTCTTATATAAAATGGTTTAACATTTAGGGGCATATTTCTAGGCATTATTTATAAGTAAACCATCATCCACCTACATGGCCATTTCCCCCAGTTTTGCTGTGTAGACTGGAGAAAGCATTCTTTCTTATTCAATTCCAATTTTGAGTTTAGCTCACATTGTTTTTTCAGTTGTTCACTTCTCTGCCACTTTATGTGACTGAGGCCCATTCAATACTTTTGTCTCGTGTTTAACTTGCATCTACATTCCTGCTAAGGCTCGTAGTGCTCAAAACTTTGACCAAGCTTTCAACAGTTTTTTAATTGAGAGATAACTCACAAACTATCACATTAGCCATTTTAAAGTACATACTCTGTTTTTTTTCAGGGTATTCACAAAGGTGTGCAAACATCACCACTTTTTAAATACAGAAGATTTCCATCATCAAAAAAATGAAAACACCTCTGCACCCATTACCATTAACTCCCAGCTTCCCCGTTTCCTAGAGCCCTTGGTATCCAATAAGCCGTTTTCTGTCACTATGGATTTGCCTATTACAGACACTTCATATAAATGGATTCATACAGTATGAGGCTGTTTGTGACTTACAGCCTTCTGTTGCAGATTATCCTCAAGGGGCTATGTATAAGAAACACCCATGAAAGGTAAAGACAATGCCTCCTTCTAAGGCAGAGTTTCCTTTCTTTACAATGCTGGGGTCTCCTAAGCTTGAGATTTCTGCAACAGGCTTGCTATTCTTTCCTGTTATTAAGCCAGGCATACTGAGGCAAAAAAGTTTCAGTATTTTGTCTAAATTCTTTATCTTGGTGGTTTCATTATAGAATATATGGATTTGCATCAATCATATCAGATATATGGTAGGTGAACGTATGATGCCAATGCACGGCAAGGGTAGCATCGGCCTAGGTCTACCTCCACATTAGGAGTTGATGGAAACATTTATATCGTGACTAATGCTACTACAAACATTCCTATACAAATTAGCATAAATACACCTTGATTTTTGGAAAATATGCAAATGTACTCAAATTATTTAAGAAACAGACTGTTTTCTAAAGAAGCAACCTCACTTTATATTCCCACTAGCAATTTGGATGTGCTTCCCAATGTTTCCATATATTCACAAACATCTGTCATTTCTTTCTGATTACAGGCCATTCTATTTAATATACATTTATATCTCTCATTGTGGTTTGCTTTTCATTTTCCTCATACCTAGTTTTCTTTTCACATGCTTAGTTCTAGATTTGATGTGACAATAATTAAAAAGATAAAGGAGCTGGGCATGGTAGCGGGCACTTGCAGTCTCAGCTTCTCAGGAGGCTGAGGCAGGACAATTGCTTAAACCCAAATGACTCAGCTATTTCATTACTGGGTATATAGCCCCCCTTCAAAAAAAAGTCATTCTATTCTAATAATAGGTGCATGTGTATGTGTGTTACAGCACTAATTACAGTAGCAAAGGCATTGAATTACTCAGATGCCCATCAGTAACAGACTGGATAAAGAAAGCATGGCACATATATACCATGAAATAATATGCAGCCAATAAAAGAAGGAGATCATGTTCTCTGAAGGGAGATGGGTGAAGCTGGAAGCCATCATCCTCAGCAAACTAACACAGAAATTAAAAACAAAAACAAGCAGTACATGTTCACAATCAACAATGTTCACATTGAACATTAAAGACACATAGACACAGGAAGAGGAGCAGCATTTAAAAATAAAAAGCTTTCTTTCTGCAGAGGTGAGGTTATAGTAACTTTGAAATGTGTGCTGCGCTTTATTTAAGACATTTTTGTAATTGCAGTTCAGAGTTGCCACAAACTGCATTGAAAAGTAAATAAGCAGTATATCTCAATTCTTAATTGATTTAATTTATTTTCTTTTATTTTTATAAAGGAATCTCACATTGTGTCTTTGGCTGGAGTATAGCAGTGCAATCTTGGCACACTGCAACCCCCTGCTTCCCAGTTTCAAGTGATTATTCTGCCTCAGCTTCTTGATTAGCTGAAATTAAAGGTGAGCACCACCACACCTGATGGGATTTGACCATATTGGCCAGGCCTGTCTCAAGCTCTTGGCTTCAAGTATGCTCCCTGCCTTCGCCTCCAAAAGTGCTGAAATTACAGGTATGAGTCACCATGCCTTGTCCTTGATTGAATTTCTAATTGAGAAAACATCCATCTTGCAAAAACTTATTTTTATATCATCTTTTTGATGACTTTGTTTATATGTCTCATAATTCAAGAAAAATAACGTAATTTTAATGCATTTTCTTTTTTTGAAAATAAATTTACTTCCATTAATGTGTAATTAAAAGAGTAGGTTAATTTAGAATGTTATTTTTCTTTTGGGTAAAACTCTCAAGTTTTAGAAATTTCTTCAAAAATCTAATTTTGGAAATGAATTACATTTATTGATTGTCCTCGGTTTTTTTTAAATGATTTTTCTTTGGAACACAATCCAAAATTGTTTCAAGATATAATGAGATGTTTATGTCAAATAAACATAAAAGTATTTTCTTGAAAAGACATATTTTTCTTAACATATGTTTTCTACTAATAACATGTGATTTCTTTTTCTAACTTACTAGGAATTAATTGATGTTGTTCTCTTCCCTGCATCAAGTTTAACTGTAGTATTTAAGAAGTAAAGAACTGCCAGCAGAGCCAGCTCTTCCAGTCTGTAGCTCTACCATTGCCATCAATCCTGGTTTTGATCTACTTGTGGCACTAGCTATGGGCTGTGGAAAGAACCTCAGAAAGATAGTAGACTGATTGAATGCAATATATTACATAGACAAAGCAGTAACTAGTGAGTTTTTAAATTATAAAGCTGTTTTTCTTCATTAATAATAGTTTACTTTGAAAGTAATTCAATGAAACCCACTTTCATAATACGAGAAGAGAACTTTGGGGTGCATTGTATTACTTCTAAATATCCACGTCAGTACAGCAAAGTAAGTAGCAATGTTCAAATCTTACATGGAACTGAAACTCAGGGTGGGAGGTAATATAAGTAAATTAACAAATGATAACAAAATTTAGTTTATTTCAAGAGAAAACTGAGGTTTTAGAATACAATTAACAACAGCATTCTGTACATAACTTTAATTGATAAATGTGAAATTATATTTATGTTTTTCTCTGTGTGAGCATATTTTCTAGCACATTGTAGGAGTTTTGTACTAAACTCACTGCTTAAAAGATCAGATCTTTATTTGTCTTGTGGCAACCATGTAGAGAGAAGAGTTTTCTTTTTAAAAACACTTTGTATGTTAATTTATTTAACAATTGAATTGACATAGTTATATGTATATTCAAAAGAGGTTTTTTTAAACAAATACTTTCCTTTTTAAACAAACAGATGTTATGTCATTAAAATATGGACCTAAAGGGTCTGAAGTTAAAAATCTATAATAGTCACTTGATTTGTTGTTAATATAAAAATCTAAAGTACTCTTTCAAAACGGCAGTGTTGATAAATGAGTTGTTGTTAATATTAATTTGTCACTTGACGGAAAGAAGAGTAGGCAGAGTTATTATTTTCATAGTACAAGCACTATTTTTTCTTGTTATCTCAGGTTGTGAAGCACTTTTTCAGGGGGAATATCTGCACTCTGTTAGATCTCACCCACCAGAAATATTTGTGGGACTCAAACTGCTGGTGCCACCTATCACATGAATTTTGTGATCCAGCAGCTATACACACACACACACACACACACACACACACACACACACACACACACACACATATATATATATATATATATATATATATATATATATATTCCACTGGAAGCAGTGTTCTCGCAATTGAATGCATAGGTAAAAATATAGACAATGATTTTTTGAAGATGAGAAGCAGAACGGTGAGGTAAATTCTAATTATTAATTTCTGTTACTGTGTTTGAAGATTCTGATAGCAGCTACTCTTTTGTCTCTGAAATTATTGTGCTTTAAAATAATCATGTAGGAAGTATGTTTTCATAATATAGCTAAAATCTCTGAGATACTATAACTGACATATTTATATTATTTGCATTTCAGAAGCTGTGCTTATTTTTAAAATTCTCTCTATATTTTTCCCAAATGAAAGCTTTTTCTGCTAAAGAAACAAATTTGTTCTTCATATTATGCTATGTGAATTTGTAAAAAATATTAGTTAAGAATTATGATCACACTGCCTATGAAAAGTATTCATTTTATAATAAAGCGTAAAGAAGTTAGGTCAGCAGATCACCTATTTAGGATATACCTCCAAATAAGTGAACATGGAATACATAAATTTTGGTAATGTTTATGCTCAAGCCCTTTATTATTATTATTTTACTTTTTGTATAGATATCGACAGAAGGTAAATTTAAAAATCAGTCTAGTTTAACTGTAGTAAATGGTTTTCCTATAATTCTTCATTTTTTCCTTTCAGTGGGCAGAAATAGTTTGTCTTTCAGCTACTAGTGTATCAACACTTATCATTTATGGAAATTACAAAACACACACTTTCTTTTTTTTTTTGAGACGGAGTCTCGCTCTGTCGCCCAGGCTGGAGTGCAGTGGCGGGATCTCGGCTCACTGCAAGCTCCGCCTCCCGGGTTCACGCCATTCTCCTGCCTCAGCCTCCCAAGTAGCTGGGACTACAGGCGCCCGCCACTACGCCCGGCTAATTTTTTGTATTTTTAGTAGAGACGGGGTTTCACCGTTTTAGCCGGGATGGTCTCGATCTCCTGACCTCGTGATCCGCCCGCCTCGGCCTCCCAAAGTGCTGGGATTACAGGCGGGAGCCACCGCGCCCGGCCCACACACTTTCTTTCTCTTTCCTAGACGCAGTAAATTGTATCATCCATGCATCGCAGTCAGGGTAGCTTTACTTTTAGCAGAATCTTCATATAGGATATTCACCAATACTTGGTTAACAGCCACTATTGGAAGAAAAATTGGAATGTAAGTTCTGGTACCATAGTCCGTGTTACCCCTAGGGTGTTGAATTTAACACATATAGAGATGGCTACTCACAACAGCAAGAAGCAATAGAAACAGAATATAAAATTTCAAATTACATATCTTACCTTTGTACTTGGTTGCTTGTGATTTATGTTGTCTCAGCACTGTACTGTGGCATGTATATCTGCCTTTTTCCTTTTTCTATGCAATGAGCTTCTCCAGGGCAGGAACTGGGCATTGTTTATTTCTTCATCACAAACCTAAGACACAATGAAAAGCATACAGAAACCTCTCAGACACTTGTAAACCAACTGTATTTTGCTCTATGGCTACAATCATGTTTTGATTTTAGAGCTTCTGTCTATGCTCTCATTCCTTCCACAACTACGGTTAATAGGCATATTTATTGAGTCTTAATAATACTGATCTCCTCAAGTAAATAATCTTATGTAATTTGGAAAATGCATTATTCTCAAAAAAGATACTGAATCCATCTTACAAACCCTATGTAACGTATTCCCCCAAAGTAGAAGAGGACTCATTTGTCTTCACTCCTGCATACTTGACAAAATTTTACTATTTTATATTACCTGCAGTGTATGTTATTTCTTTGCTACTCTTTTATGATAACTTCTCCGTGAACCCAGTTATAACAGTTCATGTTTCAAATAAGCAATAATAGTAAAAAATAAAAAGTAAATAAAGTGCTTTTAAAATTAAGAGTATAAAAATGTATTTCATTTTATTCAGTAACTTTTGGTATTTGTTTCAACTTTTTTCCTTATATTTATAAAGTTAAACTAGTGCATTACTGATTTTTTTTTTTTTTTTTTGGTCTTTAATGTTGATCCCCAAGATAATTTACTAGAATATTTTTATTAATTTGAAGACAAACCAGAGTTAAGTAAGACAGGAGATAGAAAATCGTACAATATTAATGTCCTAGGACACCTTCAAGACATCTTTGTTCATTTAGCCGTTTTCAAACTGCAATCCTATGTACCCAGAGAGTTTTGGCAACAGTTAAGAGAAATTTTAGGTGAGTGCTTATTTCAGTTGTATAAAAACCTCAATACATTAACTAAACATTAGTCAGAAAAAAGCCTTCATTTAAAGGACAAGTATTAAGTGAAACTAGCCAAAAAATATAAAGGACAAGGATTGCATGTTTTTATTCATATCTCAGAAATAACAAATTTCATCTCATGGAGGTAGAGAATAGCATGACATATTATTACAGGCTGTGAAAGACATTGAGCAAACAAATAAGTGAGCTAGTTAATGTGTAAAAAATAAAGTTAGAAGGAATAGGTCCTAAAGTTTGATTGTATAGAAGGGAGACTATAGGTATGAATAACTTATTACAGATTTCAAAATAACTAGAAGTTTAGATTTGGAAAGTTCTTGAAACAAATATGTCATATATGTCTGAAATGACTAATATACCAATTACCAATAAGCCATTTAAAAATTTGCTCATTGCTCATTGTGTGCATGTATCAAAATAATAGTTCTACTTTGTAAATAGGTAAAATTATAATGCATCAATTTAAAGAAACAATAAATAATGGTCTATTTAAATAAGAAATTTCACTAAAGCTGTCCACTTCTGAATTGTAAAAAGCTCTTTCTCTCCACACGTTGGGGCTTTGTGATCCAAATTCTGATTTTAGAAGTACTGGCACATGTTCTTGGGCAGACTAAGGTGATGAGAGAAAACCCACACATGCCCCTCTTCAGCATTAGCTGGAAATTGTGGTCCAGGGCACTCCTGGATGCCATGAAATAATACGTGCCATTGGAAAGATAATTACTAGCTTGCCTTGCCTGCTTCTTTGACTGAAGACCATAAAATAATTATAAAACTTGCAACACCTATAACGTGTTGGGCAAAGTAAGGAAACAGTCTAATGAGGAAGTGCTCAGAACACTTCCAAGATAACATAAAAAATGGCTTTATAGGAGAAAAACGTTACCAGGGAAGTGCAAGGAGTTGCTCATCCTGTTCAAGAGCAGGTAGTAGGGAATTTTCTAGCATGTAGTCTGGAACCACCTCAGGAATTACTGGATCCCACTGTCACATGGGCAATGCCCTTTGAAGAGCTCCCTATTGACAACAACAACCTGCTTGGTTGATGAATGGCCGTTTCAAGGTGGATGAACAATGTCCTGTTGGCAGGCTTTCACAGAGACCAGAAATAAAAAGACCAATTGAAGATGGAATGAGCAAATTACCTCAATGATTGAACTGCATGCTGTTTTTTTTCTTTTTAAATAAAGGATTAAAAACATTAAACCATGATTTATAAAGGCAATTGTTTGAATTCATGAGTAGTAAATAGTAATCAACGTCCTGGCCATGTGAACAATAGAAAACTGGACTTTCAAACAGAAGCCTGTATGTGACACATGGACTTTCAATGGGCTGAGTCACATCCTGGCATCTTCTTAATAGTACAAATTTAAGGGGTACATTAAAAAAGGACATGTTGGTTCCCATTTGAAGAATCCTCTCCAGGATGATTGGAAGGTGATTAGAACCAGGACATCATGATGTATTCACTTGAGATGGCAACCTTATAGAGGTGCAGCAGTAAAGCAGGAATAGAATTAATCTACACTTATTTCTTTTGTACTCTTTAAGGAACAGAAATTCCCAAATCTAAGTCTAGGCCTGGAGAGAAATGTAGACTGCAAATAACAATAGGCCAAATAGGAAGGCCCATGACATAGTTGGATTACAATGTACCAATATCAGTAGCCCTGATAGTGTATTTATAGGTCTTGACTAATGTAGACTGCATTTGGCATTCATAATGTTCAATGCTAATGTTTACATACTATAAAAAGATAAAAACATAGTATATTCTAACCAGTTCAAACAAACGAATTGCTGTTCCTCACACTGTGCAACACACTTCATATCCTATTGTTTCCAACAATGGGCATAGAGATATTATATTGAATGAAAAAAATTGTATGAATTATTTAAAATCGGAAGGAGCTTATATCTTCAGTAAACCCTACCTCTAACAACAAACACTTTAAAATAACATAGAAATAAACTACGAGCCTTACTGCTTTCAAGGAAAATTGTGACTGGGTAGCAAAGCAGTCAGAAATCTTGGCACACTGGTAATTCAAAATACTGTGGATTCTGATAATATGCACTTCACTGGAATTAGATGAAGCCATGTTTTAAAAGCATCACAAGCATCACTTAGTAAATTCTATCACAAAAGTGCCCCAGTCCAAAAAAAAAAAAAAAAATACAGTCTACCATGCTCCACACATTGTGACATATGAAAAGTGTTCATGTTGGTTTTAATATTTTAGAATTTCTATTAAACATATGGCAATATTCCTTATCTCAACAAGAAATTAAACTATATTAAAGGTGAAGAACGTGTAGAATTATAATCTGCTTGTTTTTTACATTTTTCTGGTTTTAAAAAATAAGGTTTCTGAGCAATAAAGCTGTTACTCTGGGTGATTCCATCCCTTGGCTACATGAACTTGGTGAGAAGTCATGCTAAATGTTACAGCACAAGAAAACCTTTCAAATGATTAACTTAGCCAGGTGCCATGGCTCACCACCTGTAATACCAGCACTTTGAGAGTCCAAGGCAGGTGGATCACGAGGTCAGGAGATCCAGACCACCCTGGCTGACAAGGGGAAACCCTGTCTCTACCAAAAATACAAAATTAGCCACACGTGGTTGTGCATGCCTGTAATCCTAGCTACTTGGGAGGCTGAGGCAGGAGAACCGCTTGAACTCATGGGGTGGAAGTTGTAGTGAGCCAAGATCGCAAACATTGCAGTACAGCCCATGCAACAAGAGTGAAACTGCATCAGAAAAAAAGAAGGAAAGGAAGAAAGGAAGAAAGAAAGTAAGAAAGAAAGAAAGAAAGAAAGAAAAGAAAGAAAGAAGAGAGAGAGAATGAGGAAAAGAAAAGAAAAAGAAAAGAAAGAAAGAAGAAAGGAAGGAAAAGAAGGAAAGAAAGAAAGGAAAAGAAAGAAAGAAAGAGAGAAAGAAAGGAAGAAACAAAGAAAGACAGAAAGAAAGAGAAAAGTGCATTACTCACGTCGTGTCTAGTCTTCCCATAATATTTTAATAAAAATATTTGTTTTAACTTAGAAGTGCTCAGAAATGGTTTTTATTTATATTTTTGGTCAGTATTTGTTTTTTGGTAAATTTTGTATGAAAACTCGTAAAATTGTTAATTTTTACTGTCACTGGATTTTGAGAGAGATTAAATAAATTACTTTATGATCTTATTGAAATATGACACATTTTTATGAACTAGGACAAGGTAGTACCTAATTACAAACAAAATATCAAAAGGGTAAAATAAAACATGACCCCACTTGAAGCATTCTTCTTCTGATCATCTTGCCAAAGCTGCCCTAGATAATGTTTTTCTTAATTTACAGTCACAGCTGATACGTTACAAAATATGTAAGAAAATAATAATTGAAAACCACGTAAGTAAAGATGAAAATGAGTTCAAAAAAGAAAAATAAAAACTTTATTTATTTACCTATTGATACATAAAGCCTGTTGGATGAGGATATAATGGAGCATATTCTGTTGGAGAGGACTTATGCTCATCTAAGGCATCTTTGTCATCTGGCTTCAAATTCTAAATATTTAAAAAGACTGATTTATTTGATTATAAAAGTAACTTTGTACCTTATATTTAATTTTCTTCATTTAGAATAAACGTTAAGAAGTGCAAAAAAGCTGGCATCTTTAATATGTTTGCAATGCCTGCAAATGATTTGTAATACAGGGAAAAATATGAATTATTTTAGCTACATAATTTCTAGACCATTTCACACAAGTCATTTCCAAAAGGAAATACTTTCTAAGACCAAACAAACCAATGCTAACCATTTAATAAAATAAATATTTTTAAGGGCAATATTAATACATAAACATTGGCTTACACATTTAAAAATTATTTCTCTTTTTCCCAGATTTATCTGCTGCCCTTTGGGGCTTCCCCCTGCCCACTCATCCAAAGTTTGAAAGCTTTTGTAAGTGTCATCCTAGCACTATTTGATCTTTCTAAGAAATAAACATTTGATGTTTTATTTTTGTGTACTGGAGGAGACCATTTTTTAGACACATGGAATTGTTTCCAGTATATGGTCTTCTTTCAAGTTTCTATATCCACTAAACGAGTCAATTTTCTTTCTTTCCTTTCCTTTCCTTTCCTTTCCTTTCCTTTCCTTTCCTTTCCTTTCCTTTCCTTTTCTTTTTCCACGTGAAAGTGCAAACACAGTCATTACTTCCACAAATTATGCAGTTGAGTTTCCCACACTTGGGGAAATCGTAGGAGTCAGCACATCCAGAATGCAATAGATCAGCCTTGCCCTGGGAAAGCCACCTTCATGATCACAGTATCTCCCCTGGCAGAGAAGTATCCATTTTCTTTTTAAGACTTCCATTATCCTTTGAAAGAAAATACAACTATAAATATAATAGAATTTAGAATAATTTTCAGTATGATTTCAATCATCCATGATTATCATCTTCTAAAAAAAACTTCTTGATTCTGACACAGGCTTCTACAAAATTGTAAGAAAAAATGCTATGGTAAACAATGAAACAGCTGCTAAATAAAGCTACCATACATTTTATGCACTGATATGCTCATTTCTGATAGTGACTCTCAGAGCGTTCTGTTATATCTAACAGCCATCATCGGTCTTCTGGAATTTTATTGTGCTCACTATGAGCTTTAAAAGTAAACAGATGAAAAGAATTTGTAATATCAAGTAGTAGCTAATATTTTATTGCCTAATATATGTCATTCAGAACAAGTTTTTGAGGTAAACTAATTAATATCAGAGTTAGTTTCCTAAGCAGGTAGCATTAGTAAATCCATTTAACAAATAAAAAAACTAATTACATTTAGGAGAAATACTTTGCAAAATACTACAGATTTAGCCAGTTGAGGAGCTAGCTAGCAATCTGACTCAAACATCTGACCTCTTGGCATATTACCAGTTTAAAACGTTTTGGCTAAATATGCTATCTATGCATTACTACAAGTGAATTAAAAACAGCAATGCTATATTACTTTTTATAGTTCTATTTTTTATTCAGATTATGCTCTGTGGCCCAGGCTGGACTGCAGTGGCATGATGATAGCACATAGCTCAATCAGTCCTCACACTCCAGGGTTCAAGTAATATACTCCTGCCTCATCCTTCCAACTACTTGGGATTACAGAAATGAACCACCATATCCAAATCTCCTCATTATTTTCACTAAAGATCATTAGACTTTTAAGACTACCTTTAAAAAAAATAAAAAACTTACTTGATATTCACTAATTGTTCAGAGACAACATTTTAGAATGTAAAGCAAGAATCCCAAGATTATAAAACAGGGATATAAATTGGCAGTACAGAATAGATTTCAATTCTAATAGTATAAGAGCACACTCATGATAGGTAAAGCAACTTACAATGGCAATAATAAAAGTTGCCCGATTTGCTAATGATCAGTCATTTTGTTTCAGGGCTAGCTAATTTACAACATATTTACACTGCCAACTGTCTGCTATTCTTAGGAGTCCAATCTAAAATTGCAAAAAAAATATGACTTCTGTCTTTTTTGTCATTACCAGGACAGATGAATAAAATTGTTTTTTCTTCTCTCTGCCATGTATCTTACTTTATATAATAAGAATATATTCCAAGTCAAAGACCAGGCTTTTTGTTTTTGCCATGGGAGCATTTATAATATAAATTTCTTTTGAAAAAGGTGATTTTTGTAATCTAATTATTTCAGTAAAGAATAACATGGATAGGCTTCTTGTAACACTTACAGTACACATTTAATTATCTCATTCTCTTAAAAATTATAATAAAGTGAAAATCATTTCATCTGCCACATTATCAATAGTATCAAATGTTTTCATGTGCAATTTGGATTAATATTATCTTTGCCTATATTTTTATCTGCCACCTTGAACAGTGGTTGGTACATAGCACTTGTTGATATATATCTGTTGAATACCACTTATTGAATAGACTAAATATTCGTCACACAGTACATTTCAAGCTAATCTTAATAAGGAGAATAATAAATTCCTACATCAAACCCACATTAATCCACAACCACTATTTTACACATTAACCCAACATGGATACCTTTACTGTAATCACTTCCTTGGATGAGATGAGGCTAAGATGTGATTTAGCCTTACTTTAGAGCAAATACAAGAAGTCACACAGTAAACAATATATGACAACAAACTATTTTCAAAATGGTATAAATTAAATCCCATTGATAGGAACTATTAATGTCATTCTACTACATTAATTAATCTGCTTGAAATCTATGATAGTGGACCAAAGAACAATTAGAACATTTTAATTCTTAAATTCTAATATTTTCAGTTCTTTAAAATTTAAGATTATCATTTGCTTTTAATCATTGTGTTCTACAGCTTTATAATAACTTTATTAGGTTTTCAGTGTGCTTATTATGATGTCTATTCAGTGAAAATTGTGTGTGTTTTTGTGTGTGTGGGCATGTGTGTATAGAGTTTCCAGATATATAATATGATTGTTTCTAGAATCCTATAACAATAAAACTTTGCATTTCCTGGCGGAGTTGTGCAGCTAATTCTGGTGCAATTCTTAGGCTTATTTTAAAGCAAATGACACAACTAAGAATACTGGAAGAATGCTAAGGATCTGTTTTTAGCATAAGCACAGTTTTTTAAAATTATGATTTTTCTCAAAACCAGGCTGGTCAAGACGGTGAAACCCCATCTCTTTTAAACATTAGCCAACTGTGGTGGCAGGCGCTTGTAATCCCAGCTACGCAGGACGCTGACCCAGAGAATTGCTTGAACCCAGGCGGCAGAGGTTTCAGCGAGCCGAGATTGTCCTCCTGCACTCCAGCCCGGGTGACAGAACGAGACTCTCTCCCAAAAAAAAAAAAAAAAAAAAAAAAAAAAGAAAAAGAAAAAAAGAAAAAGAAAAAGAAAAAGAAAGAAATTATTCTTCTTACATACTAATTTAAACTACTTAGAGGCTACGGATTGCTTTTAGATAACTTAATGTTATCTACCATGTTAACATTAACTTTTTTAAAAAAAGTTTCCATTCTAAGACATTCCTTCCAATGACTTTTTTCATTATTACATCTATAGTAACACATGTATCCTTTTAGATGATTCCAAATTCTGGACATATGTATCCAACTCCCCATTACAATTTTTTATTTGGTTTCCCATATGTTTCTAAAATGCAATCCGCTCGAAGAGGTTCTCCTTTTTCTGTCAGTAAATTGCATTACTATTCCTTCAGCTTATCAAATCACATCCGGGGCGTAGGTGTTGTCTCTTTCCTGCTCCACTTCCTCAAATATCCAATTACCGACACCTGACTATACTAACTCATAAAGAGCTCATAAATCTGTCCACACATATGTTCTGCATTGCCGTTTTTGTAATATAGAGCACCCACAAAGTTTTTATACAGATAATTTTGAATACTTCCTTACTGTGGTCTATTGTGAAACTTTCTATGCTATAGCCTGTGAGTTGTTACAAATGTATGCCTTTTGTGATTCTCTAATGGTTTATCAAGTCACAGTGAATATCTCACATAAATGCTAGAAAAGCCAAGTTATGTCAATACTAAGTCTGTACCCACTAACTACTTAGAAAAAAAAATTAACAAAGCAACCCTTTTCTACTGCAAGTGCTTTTTACTCTCCAAATTTAAGACACATACTCCCTACAACAGGCAGCAGAGCCCTCTGTATTTTGTTTGTTTGTTTGTTTATTACAATCCTTTAATATTATCCCACCTGGACTGTTTATTCAGTACTGTATTTTCAAAATCATAATTAGGAGGGATTCAAAATACTTTATCTGAAATTCGAAAAGCTCAAGTAAGCAAGGCTTTTAAAAATAAGGTTGTTATGTAACTCAATTTCTGATGTAATAAAGACTTAATTGAGGGAAGCTATTTAAGTCTTCACCCATAAAGGGAATATTCATTTCTCGTCATAGAAACATTAGTATGTTTCATTCTTGGGTACTTTGGGGGCCTTACAGGGAATGGTACACGATGCGATGCAACTGTGTTGACTCAGTTTTCTCAAATTTTAAAAATTCCTAATACCTAAAACACACTGCCTAAATGCCTTAAGATGTATAAATGTATAATGAACTTCCTCAATTAAAATTAAACTTAGGTTATATTATAAACCAATCATGGGTTTTGTAAAAGCAACTAAAATCTCAAGTTAAATTGTGCAAGACAAAATTTTTGTGAGTTCTTGAGTATGATACTTTTACATTCAAAATAATTATTGTGTTTATGTTTGTATAATATATGCTCCTACTCTACTAAAAGTATCCCAGCATCTCAGAGGTAGTCAGGCAAGGCTGAGGAAAAGAAAGCACAGAGATCGTTAGAGCAGGAAGAGTAAAGGGTAAAATGTATTTCCTCTTGAAGGTAAATATTAATAATACAAATAACACTTTCATTACAGGAATGTGTGACCATAGAAATTAGTTTTGATAGGAAAATATTTGTAATTTAAACAAATTACTTAAAATGATCTGCTAATTGTCTGAGTCATTCATATAAATATGACCTAATATTTATCAATATCACTGAGATATTATCTAGTAATTAAATTTTAAATAGATCCATAAATTAGTAATTTTGAAATGTTGCACTAACATTGAATACAGTACAAATATTTTTGTTGTACGTTTCTGACAATCTATCCATGCCTTTAGGACTACTGTGCAATAGGCTGATGTGAGGAAAATCAGACTACCCTAAGAGACATTTACTTAAACCTGCATTTCTTAATTTATGCTAATAGCAACAAAAATTTTAAGTGAATTATTTATTTACATTATCACCAAATTTCTTTTTCTTTATTTTAACAAAAGCATACATATGCGCTAAGTTTCTCATAGATGTCATTTTTAAACCTGAAAAGCAAAACAACTAATTGGTATCCCCTAAGGATGTGGATACCTTTCCCAAGTTCTAGAAATTCTGATTTAGATAGTGTGGGATATGACCTGGAAGTTAGTACTTTTCAAAAAGCAACATTAAGAGATAACATCGGCTGGGCACAGTGACTCAAGTCTGTAATCACAGCACTTTGGGAGGCCGACATGTGCAGATTACAAGATCAGGAGTTTGAGACCATCTTGGCCAACATGGTGAAACCCCGTCTCTACAAAATACAGATATATATATATACATATATATTTAACCAGGCGTGGTGGCACACCTGTAGTCCCAGCTTCTAGGGAGGCTAAGCCTGTGGAATCACTTGAACACAGGAGGTGGAGGTTGCAGTGAGCCGAGATCTTGTCCCTGCACTCCAGCCTGGACACAGAGCTAGACTCCATCTCCAAAATAAATAAATAAATAAAAGAGAGAGAAAGATAACATCAATCGGGCACAATATCTAATCTTAAAGATTACCAGAAAAATAAAACAAATGCATAAATAACCTAAGAATACATGAAATACATTAAAGTTACACAGATTTGCTATGCATTTTTATATATATATATATATGTATCTATATGTATATATGTATATGGAATATTGCCTGTACTTTAGGACACATTACATGTAATAACTTGATTAAAAAATGATTCTCATTTTATATTTAAAAATAAAAACATCATTGATATAACATGAAAATGTCTTACCTAAACTGGCATACATTACAAACAGGTAAATACATTTCTGTAAATAAAATCCCTATGATCTGAATCTTTTCTTCTAAGGACGTTAGGTACTCCTCTTAGTAACTGATCACTCTTGCTCAAGTTGTTGCATTTCTGTGAAAAAGAAGTATTCATTGGTGTAATAGAATCAAGATTACAAAACAGCTTCTATTTGAATAAAAAGAGTCTCGTTCTTATAAAGAGCAAACATCTAACAAAGAAAATGATTAAATACAATTCCTCTTTGAGAGAGAAAATAAAGAGCTGTGGTAAATTTTATTGTATATTTTTATGCTGCTATAATTAAAACAACAACAACACTTCCACAACTTCAATAGAATAATTTAAACCATTTAGTGATTTATATTATCAGTAATTTTAATTTTCTATTACAGTTTTCTTACTAAAATACCTTTCAATTTAACCAGTAGAAAAGTAAATTTAAGAAAATATAAACTTCAGTGATTTCCTAAATAATTGTGAATATTCAATACACAAAATAATTTAATCTTGTTTTTCAGAGGGCTGAGAAATCACTATTTATTACCATAAAATAATTTTTAAAACTCACAGGTGTTATAATATATGTAAGCATGCATTTGTGTATGGCAAAGACATCAAATAGAATCATATAAATTTTCTGATTTGAATTTGCAGACAACAGAATTTACATCTAAGTATATAATTACTCCAAAAAACAAAACAAAACAAAACTAACAGCTGTGCAATTACCTGACTAGAAAGTGATAGAGCAGGAGCACCTTCATCTTGAACAAATACTGCCACATTAACTTCCAGCTCTCTTTTTAGCCTCATGCATTTCAAGGAAATCACTTCTCTTCTTACTACAAATAATAAGCACATTCCTTTCCCTTCAGGTGCACTAAGATACGGAAGCTAGAAGCAGACATGGGGGACATGCCTGCAACTCTAGAAAGCTGTATGAAAACAGACACACAACACTCTCTGTCAGATAACCACAACAAAGAGACACAGAGGCAGTCCAACCCTCTGATAAGCACTGTGAGACTGAATCACGGAATACTCTTAGTCTGTTAACAGAGTGTGGCTCTGACTTAACCTGGCCAGCCGCCCCTCTCACACTGATTAAAAATAAACCTGTCCCTGTTGACTGTCAAGCTACCCTTCAGGTTTCTCTCCTCTTTCTTTAATCCTTACATTGGTTGCTGATACCCAGGACCGGTATTGGTGGCAGAGGCTCCCTTACATCCCAGGAAGCTGTGGGCAATGGCAGCTTATCCTAAGCAAACTCCTGGATCCTGAGAGTCTCTGGCCACCTGCCCCATCTTTTTGCTCATTTTACTCTTCAAGCGATTTGTGTGAGAAGGACAACTGACCTGAAGGAAACTGCAAGGCTCAGGCCAGGGCTCTAAATCCCTCAAGTCTCAGGAATCCACCCCTAACACTGGCTCCCTCTTTCCTCTCTCTTTCTCTCTCTCTCTCTCTCTCTCTCTCTCTCTCATTCTCTTACTCTCTGTTCCTCATATATCGCTAGTCTGGCAGTCCCTTTGCCAATTCCAACTGGAATATCCAAAAGACAACACTAATTCAGCCATCTGGTAAGATCTGCCTTTTCCTGCCTTTCTCGTGGTACCATAGAAAGTCCAGACTGCTGTCCACTTCCTCAAAGGACCAATGGGATAAGCTCAAGGAAATCGTGGGGACATGAAGTGCTTTCCCAGCATAAGTGTCCTCTTTCAGAAGGAGGATTCCGGGTCTCTGTCTATTGTCTGGGGACATCTAGTACAAAACAGAGCTATCGTAAAATACCTTTATAGCAAATGCAGCTTCCAACAAACATTAATAGTTAAGTATGTGAATGTACAAATTTATCATTCAGTTGTACACATAGGAAAGGTTTAGTATTACTGACATTTACAAGAAAAACAGACAAACAAACAAACTTAACAGGTTTTACATTAACGTAAAAATTGCCAAAAGTATATTATAACATGTATTATAAAAGTATTATAACATGTAACTGAAAGTGCTAAACATAAATTTTCATGCAAGGTGTATAAAAACAGTAAAAAGTTAAAAATTGTAAGAAGACATAAAAATGTACATTTTGATTAAAAATGTAAAAATAGGTTTCGGGAGACACTGAGCTAGCTTGAAGAGTTTTTTTTTTTTTTCATACCCCAGTGGCACCTGAAATGTCAGAAAGAAAGAACCATTCACTCCCTTGAATTGGGTGAAGCCATGGAGCCAAGTGGTCTAGCTCAGTGGATGTCACCCCTATGGAGTCTAGCAAGCTAAAATCCACTGCCTCGAAATTCTTGCTGCCAGCACAGTAGTCTGAAGCCAACCTGGAATGCTTGAGATTGGTGGGGACAGGGATGTCCACCATTACTGAGGCTTGAGTAGGTGGTTTTTCCCTTTACAGTATAAACAAAGCCACTGGGAAGTCACCGCAGCTCAGCAAAGCTGCTGTAGCCAGACTGCCTACCTAGATTCCTCCTCTTTGGTCAGAGCATCTCTGAAAGAATGGCAGCAGCCCCAGTTAGGGGCTTATAGACAAAATTTCCAACTCCCTGAAACAGAGCCCCTGGGGGAAAGGGTGGCTGTAGGTACAGCTTCAGCAGACTTAAACCTTCCTTCCTGCTGGCTCTGAAGAGAGCTGCAGATCTCCAAAAGACTGCCTCCTCAAGTGGGTCCATGAAGCTCATGACTCTTGATGAGGAGACACCTCCCAGCAGGGATTGACAAGCACATCATAGAGGAGTGCTCTGGCTGGCACCTGGCAGGTGCCCTCTGGGATGAAGCTTTCAGAGGAAGGAACAGGCAGCAATCTTTGCTTTTCTGCATCCTCTGATAGTGATACACAGGCAAAAATGGTCAGAAGTGGACTGCCAGCAAAGTCCAGCACACCTGCAGCAGAAGGGCCTGATTGTTAGAAGGAAAACTAACAACAGAAAGGCATAGTATCAACATCTACTAAAAGGATTTCCTCTCTATATAGGAATACACATATATACTACATATTCAAGTTTTATTTTATATATATAAATTTATATATATATAATGTTATATATATATATTGAATATATATATATTCAAAGGTCACCAACATCAAAGAATGAAGGCACATAAATGAACAAAGATGAAAAAAGAAATCGCAAAAAGGCTGAAAATTCCAAAAACGAGAACACCTCTTCTCTTCCAAAGGATCACAACTCCTCGCCAGCAAGAAAACAGAACTGAATAGAGAATGAGTTTGAGGAATTGATGGAAGTAGGTTTCAGAAAGTGGGTAATAACAAACTCTTCCGAGCAAGAAAGAAAGTTCTAACCCAATGCCAGGAAGCTAAAAACCTCAAAAAAAGGTCAGGGGAATTGCTAACTGGAATAAAGAGTTAAAGGAAAAACATAAATAACATGATGGAGATGAAAAACACAGCACAAAGACTGCATGAAGCATACACAAGTATCAATAGCCAAATCGATGAAGTGGAAGAAAGGATATCAAAGACTGAAGATCAATTTAATGCAACGAAGCATGAAGAAAAGGATAGAGAAAAAGGAATAAAAAGGAACAAACAATGTCTCCAAGAAATATGGGACTATTTGAAAAGACTAAACCTACTTTGTTTGTTAGTTTGTTTGAGATGGAGTCTTGCTCTATCGCCCAAGCTGGAGTGCAGGGGAGCGATCTCGGCTCACTGCAACCTCCTCCTCCCAGGTTCAAGGGATTCTCCTGCTTCAGCCTCCTGAGTAGCTGGCATTAAAGGCATGTACCATCATGCCGGGGTAAGTTTTGTAATATTAGGAGAGACAGAGTTTCGCCATATTGCCAAAGCTGGTCTTTGACTCCTGGCCTCAAGTGATCTGCAGACCTCAGACTCTCAAAGTGCTGAGATTAGAGTCATGAGCTACCATGCCCAGCCCAATTTCAACTTGTTTTATAAAATTTCTGTGACATCCTCCACCTTCCCTTCACCCACAAAATGTTAGAATTCCAAAATAGGGGCCTTTGAAGAATCTCCAAGGAACACTTGTCCCAGGGACCCTGAGGAGGTAGCTACTCAGAATTAGATGACAGATTACACTGGGAAATTGAGGACAAGAAGAGAACCTAGGATAGTTTCCAAATGTCTAGCTGAGGGGAACAAACAGAATGTGGCCTCTCTTCTAAGATGCCCTGATCCCAATCTGTAAAACTTGTGAGTATGTTAGGGCTCATGACAAAGACAAATTACGGTTGCTCATCAGTTGACCTTAAGATAGGAAGATTGCCCAGGATGATCCACCTTGATCAATGCCATTAAAATGGCCTTAAAGGTAGAAGATGGAAGCAAAAGAGGAAAGTCAGGAGGAAGTCACAGAAGAATGGAAAAGCAATGTGATATTGATGGCTTTGAAAACAGAGGATGGGGCTATAGCTAAGGAATGCAGGAGGCCCCTAGAAGCTAGAAAGTACAAGGAAACAAATTCTCCTCTAGAGCATCCAAGAGGGACACAGTCCTGAGCACACTTAGATTGTAGCCCAACAAGTACCTGTGTTGCACTCCTGTGCCACAGAAGTGTAAGATGATACACTTGTCTAAGCCACTAAATTTGTAATAATTTGTTACAGTGGCAGTAGGAAACTAAAATAGGCCAAAGCCAGAAAAACCTGTAGATATGAGAGAAAAGGAAGGAAACTCAAGGAAGTGTCAGCAAATGAGTAGAAGGCACATTATCTTAAGAGACTGGGGACAAAGGGAGTTCATCTGCCGGGGGAATGCGTTTCAAAGCACTGTAGATAAGTTGTTGCACAGAGGCAATGAGGCATCAAGGTGAAGATATCTGCAGCAATATGGAAATGAGAGTGTGAGAAAGGGGTGGTTCCTCTCCACTGTGTATCCCCACCACTAATACAGAAATTGGTACACAGCAAGTGTTCAATGCTGGCTGAATGGTACTGGAGGGTAGTGGCATAGCCTGCAGCATAGACAGTGCTGAAATGCAAGAATGACAGACATGGCAAGATTTCAGTGTTAAGTAGACTCAACAGAGCAAAGAGCCTTCTGAAACTTCTCATGCTGATGTCTCAGGGGTTTCAGAGGCTCCATGATGAAGTTTATGTTCAGGTGGTCGACAGCAACTTTGTGAGAAGTTACTGAAGTTTTTTAAGTTACCTATGAAGAAATCCTGCATAACAAGAAACTGGGCTTGCTGGCTGATGAGAGGGAGCCAGGACCCTTATTTGCGACGGAAACAGCAGCTGTCTCTGATAGGTGGGCAACCTGGTCTTTGACAGGGAGAAGTCTAAAGAAATCAACTTGGTGATATGAGGAGATCTCCCAATACCTTAACTTTAAGGAGTCTACATACACTAACTAGTAATCAACATACGCATGGGACCAGACATCAGTGAGTATAGAATCAAAAGGCTAAAAGGCCTCCAGTGAGTGGAAGTATGACACACACACACACACACACACACACACACACTATATATATATATATATATATATATATATATATATATATATATATATATATCTATCTCAGGCTTTGGGGTTGACCGTAACTTAGTCTAGCTAAGCATTTAAATCAATAACTTGAATGAAGACAATTTATCACATTTAAAAATAACACCAAGGGTTTATTTATTAGAATTCACTAGAAGGCAGAAATTAGGATTCAAAATGATCTCTGTGGCTAAGAGAGTGGAATGCAATTAACAAGATAGAAGTTAAGCAAATAGTAAAGAAAGCCCTGTGCTTTGGATTAGAAATCAACTGTACAACAATAGGACAAGGGAAACCTAGATTAAGAACAGTTCACCTACATCAAGAAAAGTGTTAACTTACTGCAAGCTCTATAAGATATAAAAGTCTGAGAGTTTGGTCAAAAAGCTAAGGCAATTCTAGGTGGTATTAAGAGCAAGATCGGGGAGAATGTTCATGCTCTCTTAGGGGAAGAAAGTGAGTTCTGGGAATCATATCATCTTTGTGGAAGAAACTCATTTCTGGAAATCTATCGTAAATTAATCCATAACTCTGACCTGTGTGTGTTATAGGTGAGGGGAGGGCAAGATTTATGCTGGGGAAAGCTCTGGAAAGAAGACAAAAGCAATTGAAGGAACTGAGGATGTTTAAATGGTGCTGAGAAGACCTTTTTGGGGTGGAAGGGGAGCGGGGTATGGCATAGTACTATCTTTAAATACAATAAGCTGCCTAATGGAAAAGGAATTTGGCTTGGAATGGCAAATGAGTTTCTTCTCATGAGTGAAATCTAATCAACTGGTATTGACTGCCATGAACTGGGGTTGAGAAATTTTCTGAGACTAAGTGTGGAAAGAAAAGGGGAAGAATGCTGTGTAGAAAAGAATGTAGGAAAGAATGCTGTGATCATTTATCCTTGTCTCATATGGATTTCAAGAAATACAGTACCTACCTGAGGCTGAACTTGACAGACTTATTCCAAACCGTTACATAGGTCAAGCCCAGGGTTGCTCAGTTGAAGTCACTGAAAACTACAATCTAATGGGTGGCTAGAAGACCACCAGTGGCAGAGTAAGAGCATGCTTAATGAACTTGGAAGTCCCTGCTCTTAGTTTAATTTGCAGGACAATGCACGACAAAACTCATGGACTGTCGTTCCAAACACATCCCTTTTTGTAGCTGGCCTCTGTAGAGACTCTACAGAAGAGCTTCTGGAAAAACTGTTCTTTCCTGCCAACAGCAGTGTTTTCAGTCATCCCATAGACCTGGGGTCCCTGATCTAGCATGGTACATGTCTGTTGCAATAAGGAGGGGCAGTTTGAACACTGTTGATAGGTGTCTAATGTGACAATTTTCTGTTAATATTATAAGCAATTATCCCACCTTTGGGAGAAGTTATGCTAGTTTTTGAAGAGCATTTTATCTAATTGTATTCATATATTCAACTGTGTGATCAAAAGTGGGAGTGCGGTCGGGAGTGAGGGGATCTTCAGACACAATCTTTTTATTTGCTTGTTTGCTGTTGTTGCCCAAGCTAGAGTGCAATGGTGTGATCTCAACTAACTGCAACCTGCACTTCCTCGGATCAAGTGATTCTTCTGCTTCCGACTCCCAGAGAGCTTGGATTACAGATGTTATGCCACCACACCTCGCTAATTTTTTTGTATTTTTAGTGGAAACCGGGTTTCACCATGTTAGCTAGGCTTGCCTGGAACTCCTGACCTCAAGTCATCCTTGAGCCTCCACCTCCCAAAGTGCTGGGATTACAGGTGTGAGCCACCATGCCCAGCCGATTATTATTACTTTTTCTACAGTGGACTGGTGATACTACCTAACAACATTTACAAGCTATCAACCTACTTTTAGAACACTGCTTTCATCATTTCATTATCCCATTCAAAAGCCTGGATGCATCTCAACTACAGGATCATGTACTGGTATTCAAAGCAGACTCTCACATTGGTCATGTCTTTTCTCAGCCCTATTGTTCCACCTCCACTAGAGTTTAGTTGTTTATTGTTTCTTCTTCCCCAAATCCACTTTGACTGTATCCACTTCAGAGCTACTATTATTTCTCTCGTCCTGCCTGGAATGTTCTCCCTGATTCTGCCTGCAACTCCTACCTATTTTTTAAAATCCAACTAAGTCTCTCCTCCTCAATTATTTCCACCAAAAACCTATAGGTTCTCCACTTCCTAAGAAGTCCTGTCACTCATACTGCCTCTCAAAGACTTTAAGTTTCTCACAGCCAGTGATCAAAATTCACTGTACACTTCTTCAATGCTGTGTACAAAGCTGAAACTGATCAAATTTGGTCCTCACAGGACTTAGATACTTTTTCAGGCTTATATTCCCAGCATACAACTCTGGACTCAGGGTAGATTCCTCACTGCCCCCAGAAGGGCCTAGATTTTTGTTTGTTTGTTTGGTTGGTTGGTTTTTATTACTTTATTCATTTTTCCCCATCCCTGCCATGCTATTCTTTTGACCCACCACCCAAATCCTACGCATCAAGACCCTGAAGAGTTTACACTTTTTCCAAGAGATGATCTGAATCCCTTCCATATTCAACCACCTCTCCTTTAAACTCATTACTCAATTTATATATATATATCTTACGTAAGATATATATTCATATATATATATATCTTACGTAAGATATATATTCATATATATATATATATATTTCTTAGCTCTTGCTCAATTATCTGGCTGTAACGTGTTCATTATTGCTTCTGAGAGGTTCGGTTGCTTTTCTTTTTATTTACATGTAAACATTATGAGGTCAGGCTCGCCTTTCCTCACAATACACAATGGTGGCTACTCAAAAACATTTAGCTTTGTGGATCTCTACCCTAAGCCATCTTGCTTCCAAGAGTTCATCTGGCAATGTCTGGGGACACTTTTGGTTGTCTCGCTTGGAAGAGAAGGTACTATTGAAAAAATAGAGACCAAGGATACAGCTGAATCTACAAAGCACAGGACAGCCTCCCAAAACAAAGAATCTGCCGGCTCCAAAAGGCAACAGTGGCTCCATTAAGAAACCCTGGGTCAGCTGAATATTTGGCTGTTAACCACCAAAGCAAAGACCCCAGGAGGGCAGAAACTTGCAGCTGGAAGTTCTCAGTGAGTGGATGAGCCGGCCAGGGCGTGGCAGATCTGATAGGGCTACCCGAGGGAGGGGTGGAGATATAGCACCAGCCTGTACCGTCAGGCAGGGCCAGTGAACTCCCACAGGGATTCAAAATGCCTGTTTCGACTCACTCCATCCTCTACCTGAAGCGACAGGCCAAGGAGGGAAAGACAATCTCAGTCCCGCTGTGAAGACCGGCACCCGGCTGCTTCAGCCGAGAGCCCCGGGGGCAGATTTTTGGATACCCTGGATATGCTCCCTCGAGATAGGGGTGGAGATTCTGGCCGGTGCTAGGCCACCAAATGCATGTGCCATGTATCTTCAGACCAGGAAGACTGTACTAAGTAGGTCCCCAAGAGGGGCAGGATGCAATGCGACAGCTGTAATCTCGCGTTGTTTTTCAGTCGTTCACCTTCCCTCTACCCCCCAAGTAACCTGTAACCATTTTGTCTTCTAATCCAACTAGCTCCCCATGTCTGTTGAGTCAAGATGAGCTGCCCAAAAAGCTAGATGAAATGTTGATGAATGTGGGTGTACTGGGCACACTCAAAGTATCGGATTTAGATTTATCTGTTCCATAACTTTTAGAAGTCTAACCTGTAATAGGTAGTTCACATTTAAATTCATCCAATGATTGGGTTTCAAAACTCTACCCTGAAACATTACGGTCTCTTTGAAACCATTGAGAAAATGTTACATTTGAGTCGACTTAAAGGAGAATGTTCGAATAATTAATTGAGCTGCCAGTAAGACAGGAGCAGAAAGCATTTATATAATGAACACATTTTAGTAAGAATAGGCCTCTTTTATAAATCTGGTTTACAGGTTCCTAAACTAACAAGTGGGTTTGTAATGCGTTTGGATGTGGGACATTGGCAACATATAGATAAAACTAGTGTTCTAATAGTTCAACTGGAGAATGAACACTTTCATCTTTAAACTATATTGATATGCCTGAATATTTCATTTGGGCAGCAAATATTTGTTAGTATACTTTATATTTGGATTAACAGCTAGGAACAGGATTAGCTCAACGTGTTTTCATTGCAATATGCATTCCATAAGCATATTTTACATTTAAAATATGTAGATATATACTGTGCATATATCCTTTTTAAATATAAGTTATATGGTGTGAGCATTTCTCTGTTTCCTTAAAAGTTTCTTGAAATCCTCATTTTTAGTGGCAACAGTCTTATCTTTGGATATTTTTGTAACACACATAGCAGTCCCTTGTTGTTAAATATTTTGGTTATATTTTGCAACAGTCCATAGAGGTGGGATGAACTAGCAGAATTTTTTCCTATACTTCATATCCCAAGCATAAGCTGCTGAAATGGACTTCTAGGGAAGTGAAGGAAGAGTCTGCAAATGGGTCTGGCTAACCACCCGTTTCACTTGGAAGCTGAGGAAAGAAACATTTTTGTAGAACACACTGACCTTCTTGTCTCATGGGGTACGGCTTGCGTAGGGGAAGATTCCTAATTTCTGGCCATGGATCTAGAAACATTATGGAAAGAAAAGGAAGTTTTCCAATGAATGTAACACATCTTTGTGTATCTCTACTGAGACAATCCTACTGAAATTATTTTACCTTTTTTGACTTCCTTCCTTCCTTCCTTCTTTCCTTTCTTCCTTCCTTTCTTTCTTGCTTTCTCCTTTCCTCCCCTTCTCCCTCCCTCCCTTTATTCCTTCCTTCCTTCCTTAATTGTTTTCCTTTCTTTCTTCCTTCCTCCCTTGCAAGACACAAATTCAAAACCACCCAATTCATGAGTCGATGCACCCTGTATTGAATGGAGAGTTGCACCCTCTGTCCATTTCACTGCAAGGGAACTCCCTCTTACTAGGAACCCCTAACTCTTTAGTGGCTGATCACTAACAAAGATATGGCTATGCGTCTTCACTTTCTGTTTTCTTTCCAGAAATTGGTTTAGCAAAAGAAAAGGTAACATATTTCCTTTTCTGTTTTTGAACTTTTTATTAACAGTTTTTTTTTTTCAGCTGAGTGTAACATGCTGCATTATAGATAATTGCTTTTAAACTAGGTCCACTTCTCATTCCTCTTTGAATTTCCATTGTACCTGCACATAATGCATTTGTTATATAACAAGTGATTACTAAATTTGAAATTAATTTATTGGTATCACATTTAGTCTTTTGTAAAATTATGATCTACAATCTCTAAATGTTTAAGAGCTCAAATTGATTTATCTATTTTCCATGTTTTTTAATAAGACTCTGCCCATCTGTTGAATGTCTGCTCTGAATTTGACACTGTGATAGACACACGACAGATGTTTCGTGTGTTACAGATGAGGAACCAGACTGTGAAGAGTTGAATCAAGTAACTTAAGTGATGTAATCCTTAAAAATCTGTAAATTTTCCAAATAATAAAGTGACTGTCATTTTATTTTTTAATACATTTCTAATTATTTTAACGATATTTCTTCACCATTATGGTTAAACATTTGTCCCAGTTTATTATTTTAAAGGAAGATGCAGCAAACTTTCCCTGTGAATGTGTGTGTGTGTGTGTGTGTGTGTGTGTGTGTGTGTGTGTAGACTGTTTTTTAGAGCAGGTTTTAGTTCACAGCTAGGTTGATGGAGAAGTACAAAGAATTCCTATACACCCACTGCTCCTACACATGCACAGTCTTTCCCACTGTCAACATCTTTCATCAAGGTGGTACATTTGCTACAATTGATAAACCTTCCCCAAAAAGTCTTTATTGCCAAAGTCTATCGTTTACATTAAATTTCACTCTTGGTGGTGTGTATATGTTTTTACTTTCTTTAGGTTGTGTATAGTTATCTAAGAGTTTCATATTCCAAAGTTTTAAGGACACGAGAAGCTTAGTATGATAATTATTTTATTTGACATGGAGTATTACCCTGTTGCTCATGCTGGAGTGCAGTGGCCTGATCCAAGGCTGCCAACTTCACCTCCTGGGTTCAAGCGATTCTCCCACCTCAGCCTCCGAAGTATCTGGCATGACAGGTGCTTGCCCAAGAACCTGGCTAATTTTTGTATTTCTAGTAGAGGCGGGGTTTCACTGTGTTGGCCAGGTTTGTCTCCAACTCCATATCTCAAGTGATCCATTTGCCTTGGCCTCCAAAATGCTGGGAATACAGATGTGAGCCACAATGCGTAGCCTTAGTACAGTTTTTGAATTCAAATTTTAAATGTGCTGAGTTTCTTCATACACAACCAAATTTTACTTATCAGCCTTATGAATGTATTTATTTACATACTTATTTTTTAGAAGTAGGGTCTCTCTCTGTCACCAAGTCTGGAGGGCATTGGCATAATCTCAGCTTACTGAAACATCTGCCCCTCCTGGGTTCAAGCAATTATGCTACTGCAACCTTTCAAGCAGCTGGGATTACTGGCACACACCACCACATTCTGCTAATTTTTTTTTTTTTTGATAGAGTCTGGGTTACTCTTGGTGGGCAGTGTTGTTTTCAATCCGGAGCTCATGTCATCTCCCCTCTTAGGCTGCCCAAGTGCTGTAATTACAACTGTGAGACACTGTGCCTTGTCTGGAATTCTTTTTTGATATATCTTTCTCTAACTTTCTAATAATTATATACTTCTACTTATCGTGTACTTAGCAATTGTAAAATTCTTATAACAGGAATTAATCCCACTCAAACAACTAAATGGTTTCTGCTAACATAAAATAACAATGTAAAATATTTTCTTTAAAGGAAATCCAGTTGAAAACATATTCATGTTCTTAGAGTAGACATAATTATTGATATATACTGTAGCAGAAATATGTATAAATGCTTGCCCAAAATATCTGTTTAACAGAATTTTAAGTGCACTTTAGTCATGATTGTAAGGACAGTGAAAATTTAGTTTATTTACATTTTTAAATACTACTTTTAAAAAGTTGTAATTGAATAACATTTGATGTAAAACACTTAGAGATTAATTACATGATCAAGAAAGAAATTTTATTATTTTAACTCAAACTTTTTGTAATTTATCTAATAGTGTAAGAAAGAGCTTGTATTTTGCTTTGTTAGCATAGTTGTAATCTTATCTTTTCTGAAGGAATTTTCTTAATCTCTTATTCATAAATATATTATAACGTATCATTTAAACATTGCTATAAAACTGTGTCTAATTAGTAACATTTTATTTTCTTAAGGTATTTAATATGCAGGATTGATTGCACTCTATAAAATTCACCCTACTCCCAGTTTCTAGAAATCACTGGTAAGATTACTTAGTTTATATAATCTACTTCGGTTTGTTAATTATAACTGAATAGCTTTATAAAGGTAAACTATTTCCTTTTAACAGGTCTCAGGATCTGATAAAGAAAACCAAAAATATAGGAGCCTACATATTTGTAAACTATAGCAAGGTTTTTCTATGTACTTTTCCTTATAAAGTAATAAAGCTAATTTTGAGGGAGAAGAGTAAGAAATTTAATTAGATTTAAATTACATGTTTTTCCTTGCTGACCATATCTTACTTTTTAAACAATAGTTCACCTGTTCTGCAGGTCATTATTCCCATGTTTTCATTTTTGTAATAACTTTCAGATAGTCAAATAAGAAAACTTCAGACGGTATCAAGGGCCCTACAGACACACTGAAAGATACTGTTTGTAAAAATATCCACTATTGGGAACACTTCTTAAAAAAAAACAAAAAACAAACCAAAAAAAACTTCAAAAATCTGACTTTTAGGCCAAGTGTCTTTGTATACTAGGTATGCCTCTCAAGTACAATTGATAGAGTATTAACTGTATTAATATGTCATTAAAGAAGAAAATATGTGTTCAGTAATGTGTAATATAACTTCTGTTATATATAAGCACCATCCAC
The DNA here is from genome assembly GCF_000001405.40 of Homo sapiens. Classification (NCBI taxonomy): domain Eukaryota; kingdom Metazoa; phylum Chordata; class Mammalia; order Primates; family Hominidae; genus Homo; species Homo sapiens. The sequence continues at coordinate 18,852,631 of NC_000024.10, forward strand.
TGTAACTCTTTGTGATGGCGGAAATGTCTTTATCTATACTGTTTAATGTGGTAGCTGCTAGTCTCATGCGACTATTGAGCAATTGAACAGTAGCTAGTGTAACTGAATAATTCAATTTTTAATTTATATTTAATTAGCTCCATGTGCTTATTGACTATCACAATGAACAGCATAATTCAAAGGTATATAGTTAGTAGCTATTGCTTAATTTTTACTTCAAAAGAAAAGGAGATATTACAGAACAATCTATGGGGCAGGAAAAGTGCCTCATGCAGGACTTTGGGAGGCTGAAGCAGGAGGAACACTGAAGGCCTGGAGTTAGAAATCAGCATGGCCAACACAGTGAAACCCCATCTCTACTACAAATTCAAAAATTTGCGAGGTGTGGTGGCAAGTGCCTTTTATCCCAGCTATGCTAGAGGCTGAGGCAAGATAATCACTTGAACCTGGGAGGGGATATTTGCAGTGAGCTGAGATCATGTGACTGCACTCCAGCCTGGGTGACCTAGCTAGGTGCCATTTTACTCCCCACCAAGGAAATAAAGAGAGAGAGAGAGAGAGGGAGGGAGGGAGGGAGGAAGGAAGGAAGGAAGGAAGGAAGGAAGGAAGGAAGGAAGGAAGGAAGGAAGGAAGGAAGGAAGGAGAAACTGTGGTAACACTTCTCACACTTCTCATGCTGTGGCACCAACTTTGGGGGTCTGTCCCTTGCAGACCCCTGAACCCGCAACGGATGAATAAAGTACACTGAAACATAAATATTCTGCTTTGCCAGTCCAGCTGAAGCTGAGTGTCTGAGCCACTTACAGACTCCAGTAGAGTTTTGTAAACAGTGGCAACAGTGGCCCTGACCAGCAAGTGAAACTCACACTTATCAGTAAAGATTAATTGACAAAGACTTGAGTCAACATCACTGGGGCAACACTGACATTGCGGACTTCCCTAAGCACTTAAGCACCCAGGGTACCTCAAAGGTTAGTCTTCAGACCACATGAGTAAACAAGCTAGCTGCATAACCTCCCCACATTCCTTTGTCAGTACTTTAATTTATTTAACTAAAGGTAAAGAAAGTCACCTTCAACCGTATCTATTACTGAGGTTATGCAAAGTCTCTGGCCTTCCAAGATGGTTTGTGGCTATTACTATAATTATCTTTAATATTTTTCCCCCCAGACTGACTGAGCCCCCTAACAGGAAAGAATCTATACATTTACTATATTACATTATCTTTAGAAATAGTCTTTCTATCTTTACAGAGTCTCTTTACATCCATCTCATTCAGAAAGATATCTGGGTGACAACCCTTACCAGCTTTACCTAGCATCCCAGTAAAATTTCTGGAAGTCAGAAAAATGATGAGTAGTGCTAGTCATCCTAGTGGCAAAATTTGGATAGAACCCTTAGCTAACAATAAAATAACTTCTGGTAAATTAAAATCATTTTAAAAAGCAATGGCTTCTAATTAAACAACAGAAAACTTATAGGAAGATATATTGTACTGAACTGTCTTCTGCCCCCTGAGTCAGAGACCTGTGATCTTATCCTATTTTAGTATATCTACACTCAGGAGATGCTAAGCTGTAGATACTAACAGTACTTTCCTCCTAGACTCTAGTCACCCGTTCTTCCCCCTCTTAATATTTCGTTTGACAGCCAAAGATACACAGACAATGATATGCACAAATTTTGGATGAAGAAAGAAAATTTGGACACTGACACTTTGCTTTCTGAAAGTTAAAATCCTTATCTATAATTGGCAAAAGAATAGACACATACATCAATGGGAACAGATATAGAGAATCCAGAAATAGATTCACACAAATATTGTCAATTAATTTTTTTTAACAATGGTTCAAAGGCAATTCAATAGAGGAAAGATAGTCTTTTGAATATGTGGCTCTGAAATAATTGAATATTCATGTGCATGGAAATGAACCATAAATCTAAATGTAAATTGCAAAACTATAAAATTTCCAAATAAAAACAAGAGAAAGTCTATGTGATCCTAAGTTTCATGATGTGATATAACACCAAAAGCAAGATACATAAAAGAAAAAAATTGAGTTAGACTTAATTGAAATTAAAACATCTCTGTGGAAGACACTGTTAAGAGAATGAAAAGACCTACTGTCAAACCCATAAAGTTTTACATCACCAAGAATAAACATTAGTGTTTGCAAATGTTGGTCTGCTGATCCCTGGATAGAATGCAGACTGTGTCAAAACAATCTAACTGTAATCCACTCACTGAAGAGGATGGGGATGGGGATGAGGTGCTGAGCGACTAATGTTTTTAGTTTCAAGAAACTAAAAATTTCAAAAATAATTTACGCTTCTCGTTTAAAGCAAAGTTTCAGATTATTTGGAAGGATATAAAGTGAAAGCAAACTAGCAATTTGTGCCCATGTTTTCTAATCTGACTCTCAACTGATAACTACAATTTTAATAATTTTGTTTCTTGGTTATTTTTGCAGAATTGATGGAGTTTAAAACTCTATGTATTTCTAATTAAAACACACAATCAAATAAAATTATATTATAGATCCTTTTGGCAATTTGCTTTTTCTATCAACCAATATATCTATCTGTAGCAGTATATTGAGACTCATTATTTTTAAAGTAAATATTTAACCCCCTATTAATGGAGATTGAGTTGTCTTATTGTATGCTTTTTTCCAATAGAGGCAACCAGTATGCAGTGTGCACGCTCTGTGTGCTTGTAAAAGTACAGCTGTGTGAATTCATGGAATTGGAATGAATAGATTACTGCATTTTGAATATATGTAAGCACTGACACATTCCTCTCCCAAGTGAATGAGCACAGCTATACTTCCACTCCATTCCCAACATTAGCATTATCAAAAGTTTAATCTTAATGGTGTTATAGGGAAAATAATGGTTTCTTCGCTTTATTAATTTGCATTTATGATTTTGTTCATGTTTATTCAACATCTGATAATCTTGGTTATCTTTGTTTGACATTTTATTTTTTCTACAATCTGTCCATTTTTTTCACATTTTTCAGTTTTGTTTTCTTTTCTTTTAACTGATTTGTAAGAGCTCTTTAACGATATTACAATGTTGTAACTTTAGTCCTGCTTATGCCTCCATATTACTGCAACTAATTTTTGAGTGTATGTTTTTCTATTTTATGCCACATGTAAATTTTTAAATTTTATGTAGTGAGATTGATGAATATTTCTCCTTATTGTTTCCAGGTTTTGTATCATGCTTGGGAAGGACTTCTTGAAGATTTATTCTTAAAAGCTATTACCAGACAAAGCTGCTCATTCTTGTGATCCCAGCCCAGGCAGGAGGATCACTTGAAGCCATGAGTTTGAGATCAGCTGAGGCAGGCAACATAGGAAGACCCTGTCTCCACAAAATAAATGAATGAATAAATAAATAAATAAATAATCTGCGTGTGGTGGATGTTGGTAAATGCCTGAGTATTTTCAACACATAGAAAAGTTGAAACAATTCTAGTCAACACTTACATACCTACCACCTAAATTTCACTATTACATTTGTATTATATATACTTCATCATTTTTATCTGTCCATCTATTCATCTATCTTACTTTTTTTTTATATTTCAAAGTAAATTGATGACACGTATGCTTTCCCCTAACTATACTCTTTACTTTTGAACCAGAAATCTGACCTCTTACACACCTGATCATGCTTCTGTGTCCTAATTTTATGTGTTACTTTTTAATAGCTGACAACCTTCAGCTTATTGATGATCAACTGACAGTTGCTTACCCTTAGAATACAAAGTTTGAGTCTTTAGAAACAAAGCTAAATGAATATAAGAGAGAAATAGAAAAGCAACTTCTGGCAGAAATGTGTCAAAAGGTAATCTGTATCATGTTGCAGTTAACAAGAGTCATGTTTTTGTCATCTAAAGACTTAATCTTAGGTATATTAAAAAATACTTGGAACTTTTATTAAAAAATGGAGTACTTCAGTGTTGTGCAAATCAATTTTTTCTGATGAGATTTGTTTATGCCTTTGGATTGAATTCTACAAATACAGTAAATGATATAAAACTATAGATTAAATAAATATAACGTATTTGGACAGAACATTAATGTAGAGCCTAGCTGTAGAGAGAGAATCTGTTACTGTTCTTATAGTATAACGATTGGAGCTTTTATTTTTTTGTAATAAATTTGCAGTTGAATTTTTCATGGAAGTGATAAGAGTATGAGACAGAATTAGCTATGTTCTGAAGTTTTGAGAAAGCTTGTCAAGCAGAATCTGAAGCCTTCATTCCTTGAGAAAAGAGTATCCTTGAGAGAAATCAAAAGCACCAAGAAGTTGTATTTAGAAAAAAATTTACTGAATGGCTATTTTCTACAGCTATTACTGGATTGACTCAAGATCCAGGAATGAGATGTTTCAAATGATGGAACAAGGCCCCTGAAGAGCAGTAGGGACATTGGCGAAGAGTGCAAAAAAAAAGAATGATGGGCCTTGAGAAGGCTACACCAATTTGTGTCCTTTGAGGCTGGTGGAGAGACAAGAATTGAAGAGGTGACCAGTCAAGTTGGAATTATGAGAAACATAATTCCGCTCACTCTAAAATTTTCTATAGCATTTCTGGAAATAGTGGTTGCTTCAGCTATAAAGATGCTTCATCTTCTCAGGCAAATTAAGGAGACAGATCAAGGGTTTCAGGAGCAACTTGGAGGTGCAGAGTAGCTCTTATGGATAAGGTAAGAACAGCTTTTTAAAGGAGAGTGCACCGATTACCTGTACTGATGGCCCAGCTGTGGTTAGGGTAACCAGGAATTGAGAGAGACAAAACCACATGTTTGTAGGTGAGTTTTCTGTTCTACCTCTGGGAAGGAATTTTAAGGGTCTCTCTCTGCTGCCCCTTTCAGTGAGGGTGGAAAGATGGAGATACGCGGGAAGTGGAGCTTTGCAGAGCATACTTCATTTTCCTTGAGAAATGCAGCCTATTTAATTGGAGATTCTGTGGTTCTCCTGTGTAGTGAAGGTAAGCAGAGAAGATGGCAAGTGGCTGGTAACCTAGGGGAAAAGGGAGGTTTGGGCGGCAGTCTCAGTGATCAAGAACTAGATCTGGAGAGATTGGCAGGTGGAAGAATAAAGATCATCCAGGAGTGCAGATTTGCAGAGTGAGGTATCAGGTGGAGACTGGAAATCAAAGGCAGTGGGCTGACATTGGATGGAGACATGAAAATGCGCAAGAGTAAAGATCCCTGGGGTGAGGGAGTCACCAGGGCCCCAAGGGTCATCCATGTGGCCATTTGATCTCATCACTGGGAAAGTAACTGCAAAGGAGATTAAGATGATGAGGAGTGGCAGGGAGTTTATGTTGGCTGCTCCTTTAAGATATCTTATTCCTTTTCCAAGTGTGTGTCTTAGACGTGACGGTATTTACAGCAGTATTTCAAACATACATCTAAAACAGCTGCTGCTAGATGTTAAAAGTAGAAAAGATTCCCCCTAGTGCCCACACTTGCTTGAAGCTTCTCAATGAGACATAGTTGTTTAATGCTAAGGGCACCCACTCTAAAATTTTCTATAGCATTTCTGGGAATAAGGCTTTCTTCAGCTATAAAATTGAATATTGGATGCATAGATATTTGAGGTGATTACATTGTATTTAGACTAATAACTTCATCTTCAAGATAGGTGACTGACTAGAATTCTGTTTATTCAAATTAGAGTATCTGAAGCCTTTGAGGAAGATTCTCATTCTCATAAAACCCAACATGACTGTGTTTCCTCACCTGGAATGTCAATCTCCTCCTCTCCTTGATAAAACCATAGTGTCATTCAAGGCCCAGCTTGGATGTCACTGTTGTGATGCCTTCTCTGACTCCCACTGAGCAGCTCATTTATGGCTCATTCCTACATGCAGTCATTATTACCTCAGTTATAAAATTATCCTATCTTAGTTTGATTGTTTCTCCCTGACTATACTGTGAGGTCTTCAGAGAGGAGGACTGTATCTGTCTACATTTTTATATCCATTCCCAGTATGCTGCTTGATATATGATACATAGTTAATAAATTTCTGCTCTGTGAAGACATAAGTGGAAGGTTGGCTTATTCATTTACTGGTTCATATGAGCTTGCTAACTCTGAGTCACAATGACTCATGAACTAAAACATTCAGAAAGCACCATCACAAAAAATGATGGGGATTTTATTATTTTGGAGTTTTATTTCTAAATGTACATTTTATTTATTTTTTTCCCTGAAGAACTTACCAGATTTTAGTTAAGGGGACCAGGTATGGTGGCTCATACCTGTAGTTTTAGCACTTTGAGGGGCTGAGATGGTGATCTCATTTGAGCCCAGCGGTACACCACCAGCCTGGGCAGTATGGCAAAACACCATCACTACAAAAAAATTAGCTGAACTTGGTGGTGTGTGTTTTTAGTCTCAGCTACCTAGAAAGCTGAGATGGGAGGATCCCTTGAGTCTGGGAGGCAGAGTTTGCAGTTATCCGAAATCACAACACTGGATCCAAACCTGGGCAACAGAGCAGAACCCAGTCTCCCCAAAAAATTACACAAGGGACTGAAATATGTTAATTAAATAGCATAAATTACACAAGGGGTGTTAAAATATATGGAAATGTAGTTTAACAGAAATTGAGAGACTAAATATTTATGAAGCTGGAATAGATAGTTGAGGAATACATTGAAGTGGATTTTTTTTCTTTTTTTTTTGAGATGCAGTTTTAATCTTTTGCCCAGGCTGGAGTGCAATGGCACTACCGTGGCCACTGCAACATCTGCCTCCCAGTTTCAAGTGATTGTCCTGTTTCAGCCTCCCAAGTAGCTAGGATTAGAGGTGCCCACCACTGTATCCAGTTAATTTTTGTAATTTTTGTAGAAATGTGGTTTCACGATATTGGCCAGGCTAGTCTCAAGTTTTGACCTCAGGTGATCGGCCTGTTTTAGCCTCCCAAAGGGCTAGGATTACAGGAGTGAATCACCGTGCCCAGCTGAGTTGGAATAATTTGAAGGTAAACTTGTTATTCTCAATTTCTGTATATTGGTTTTTGGAATTTAGGAAGCACTATATTTATTTAAATTTGTTATGTTTTCATTAACTTGCTGCCTAAAACTTAATGCCTTTTTTTTTTTTTTTTTGAGACAGATCTTGCTCTGCCACCCAGTGGAATGCAGTGGCATAATCTTGGCTCACTGCAAATTCTGCCTGTCAAGTTCAAGCAATTCCCTTCCTCAACCTCTTGAGTAGCTGGGATTATAGGCATCTGCCACAACACCCAGCTAAGTTTTGTATTTTTAGTAGAGATGGAGTTTTACCATCTTGGCCAGGCTAATCTTAAACTCCTGATGTCATGACCTACCTGCCTCAGCCTCCCAAAATGCTGAGATTACAAGCGTGAGCCACCAGAGCCAGCCAAAATTAATGCTTTTTACAGATTGAAACAAGAAAATTCATGCTCAAAGCCTTCTTTTACTAAAAGATATAGATTTGCTAAGAGAAGGAAAAGCAGAGCTGAAGCAGACAGTTGAAGATTTTGGATTGCCTGTATGCATGATTATTTTAGACATTCAGAATGATGAGATTAAAAAGAATTACTAAATATATATCTAAATGTTCTAATGTTTATTGCCAGGTGGAGTTGTTTTTTATAAAGGTGATATCACACAGCATTAGAAGTTACACATTAAGAGAAACAAACACTAGGGCTGTGCTTTTGAAATATTGAACATTAAGATGAAAGGCAGAATGAGATGCTATCACCAGGCTACAGTAACATCAAACAGAAAATTTGGAGAAGCTGTTAATACTTGAACAGGTCATATGTTTTTAAAGTTAACTTCAGTCCTCCTGGTTTGATAGTTTTGTGTGTTTATGTATTGGAACTGGATTTCAAATATCTAGGCCTGTGGCTTTTACCAGTTCTGTGCTCAAAAAAAGGAAGTATTGTGGTTTGACTTGACTTGTACTGGATGAAAGTGTTTCTCAGTGCTATTCAGTTTTTCTACGTGCTCACAGATGTTTCATCCATATGTTACCTGGGATTGACAGCAAGGTCACCTGTCTATAGTTTGCACAAGAAGTCTTTTCCATGGGGAATGTGCCGTTAATTGACACCCATAGATACTTTAGGAATTTTTGCTCATTAAAGAATTTGTCTCCATTTTATTTAATGTTGTTTTCTCACTTCTATAGGTTTGATTTTTTTTATTTCAGCTAGCTGTGTACCTTACTCTCATTTTGGCAATAATGAAAAGGTAAATTAATCCAGAGAGAGAGAAAAAAAAAAAGAGAAACAACATTTAAGCGGAGAGAGTGTGTCACTTTTTTCACCCTCAATTTCTCTACTTCTTTTCCATTCTTTCAGCATATGTACTAAATTCAATGTAGTTTACCTCTTCATGGCTTTCCAGATAACCAGCAGAGGGAGCTAATACCTGGAGTCTTTAACCGTTCTTAGACTAGTCAGTGTTGTGCAGTACTTCTTAGGATGGCTGGATCTCATCACCTGTGAATCCACCTCCCTGGCTAGGGAATTGGTACAATTGGTGATTTGAAGTCTCACTATGAAGATCATTTTATTCTTAAGCGCTTGAAAGCCCTGAATGACCCATATCTTTTGCCCTCTCTTTGGGAACTTGATGAGTATTCTTAAGCACTTGAAAGCCCTGAATGACCCATATCTTTTGCCCTCTCTTTGGGAACTAGATGAGTATTCAATCAATAGTTTTTTTTGTTTTGTTTTTTTTTTTTTTGGTAAGTTGGTGGTGGTGGTGCTGTTTTGGTTTTAAGAGACAAGGTCTTGCTATGTTGTCCAGGCTGGTCTGATACTCTTGGACTCAAGTGATTCTCTTGCCTCAGCATTCTGCAAAGCTAGGATTATAGTTGAAAACTGGATACACCAAACTTGGCTAAAGCTGATAGAATATTAAGCAAGAAAAAAGAATTGTACCTTAAATATCCATGAGATTATTAATTAAATTCCAGACTTACAAACAGCATTATAAAAGATTCAAATACATAAGTACACTTTTTTTTTGAGATGGAGATTTGGTATTGTTGCTGAGTGCAATGGTGCAATCTCACCTCACTGTGAATTCTGCCTCCCGAGTTCAAGCGATTCTCCTTCCTCAGCCTCTTGAGTAGCTGGGATTACAGGTGTGTGACAACATGCCTGGCTAATGTTGTACTTTTAGTAAAAATGGGGTTTCACCATGTTGTCCAGGCTGTTCTTACACTCCTATTATTAGGTGATCCACCTGCCTTGGCCTCCCAAAGTGCTGGGATTACAGGCATGAGCCACAGCTCCCAGCCATAAGTGTGCTTTTATTACTTTGTAGCTAATATCATTCTTTCATCCCAGAATTGATTCGGACCATTTATCACCTTTAACTATTGTTAAGTGTTAATTGTCTTCTATGAGAAACCACTTCTTCATTGACACTCTTCCACTCCCCTCAGTAAGAGACCCTCCCACTCTTCTCAGTCATGTGTCACAGGCCCCTGCTTCTGCTAGTTTCAACACATTGTAACTAGGTCAGTTCATAAAATACACTGAGGATTTCTGGCTCTTTTCTTCTACTTCTCAGTAGTAATTGTCATGTAGCAGTTTTAGTTGGTTGAACTAAAAACATGTCACGTGATATTCTTCCTAAATTTGTTAACTCAGCTTTTATAGTTTATTTACTTTATGTTTTTTTACTAATTTCAAAACCCAGAAACTCCAGGAAGAAAAACATAAAAGCATGACTGAGGACTTAGGAGATGGGAGCACAATACAAAGTGTCTTGAGGAGAACGATGACTGAAAGCTGAAGAACAAACTTCTAAAGTAATTGCTTGGCACGTTTGAAGAAGTAATACGTTTAAATTACTTTGGTAGAAACATAACAAAAACTATGGAAGTATTCTCTGATGAACATCTTATGCAAACTTTAATGTTTGAAAAAATACATATGTTTATCAATAGCCAATACTTTCCTGCATTTGAGTTAGGGTTGTTTTTAAAAGATAAGGTATAGAAAAGCACTTCCTCTGTTCTTCTTACTCATGGCTTCTTGAACATTTATTGAGGGCTGTGATTTGCTTTAAATTTCATGGTACATCGTGACTTGCTCAGGTTGCATAGTTGATAAGCTGTAAAGTTTGAATTATAATCGCTTTTCCTCTACCCCACTCATACTGCCACAATGATGGGGATATCTAACAATGTATAAATTATACTTAGTGGTCTGATTGTTTGTCAGTGAACATGTGCCTTGTATTCCTTGATGATTCTGCAAAGCCAGAATCAAAAGAAAAGAGCTAAAATTAACTAAGTAATTGATATAGGGAAAGGAAAACATGCACAAGTATGGTTACTTTGGCTTTACTTTGACCTTGTGTATCAGTGAGTAACACCTCAGTGCTAAGACACTATGTCCATGTGGTAAATTTTCAGTGCATTCAAAAGCATCTTACACATAAAAAATGCTCAGTTAATATTTGCTGTTAATGTGTTAGGAGGAAATGACTCAACTCAGGTGTTCTGGGCATTTTATTGGCCTCTTTTTATTGCCTTCCTCATAATTTATCATGGATATTCCATTACACAGAGCTTGCAAAGGTTTCTTGAGGTTATTCTATTAAAAAAATTATGTTTTTTAAAAATAGAACACTTCTTTCATAGATTCTGAATTCCCAATATATTCTCAATATATTTTGATAAATCTGTAGTTGTCAAGAAGTTGGCCACAGCTTATTGCCTCTGGTACATATTACTCTTAGCCATGAGAAACTTTATTTTTTACATATGAAAATGATGTATTTTACCCAATTTTTTGTCAGTTTCTATATTAAAATAGCTAACATGAAGTTTCTGTAGTTACTGAATTTTTAGGAATACATGTATTAAAGTATGTTTGTTAATTTTATATAGTTATGGAGCTGGTGAACTATTTGGTATCATTGTGACAGCTTCCACGGCCTGCATGGTGTCTTTCTGGCTTTGGGAATTCCCGTATGACTTTGGCAAGTGTTGGAGTTTGGGGACTGTTCACCACAGGAGTGTTTCTTTATCCTTTTGGAAACAAAAGACAGCTTATAAAAGCTGGAAAAGAAAAGTAAAACTGAAAATGTGCCTTCGGGTATTGCTACTTCAGATATAATGCTCTTAGCACCTGGTTCCCTGGACTGTGATTGGTCCCTCGGCACAGAATTCTTTATGTTTGTTTGGGCTGGGCAGATAGTACAGGTGGGCAGATAGTACAGGTGGGTTGAAAGTGGCTGTCTAATTATCATTTGGGATTGAGTCTGTTGTGTGCTGTGTAACTTTAATTTTCTTCCTCGCTTTTTGGGTCAGTTGAGACCAACTGGGAAGTGATGCTTTCAGTAACCTTATGGCAGCACAACCCTCCATTTTGTATGATTGTGCTTTACAACATCAAGGCAGAGTTTTACTGGACATTTTATGTTTGACGTTCATATGCCTGGCTTTAGTACTGAGGGACTTTGATGTTCACACAATGTCGTGTTCAGTGCCCTCAGGTACACTTGTACCATAGATAAGCTCGTACATTGATATTCATCTTTCTGGAAAGACAACTCAGAAACTTATATTTAGTCGTTCTGATTCTCAGGTATCAACTTGAACTAACAGATGACTACATCATTAGAATTAATCGACTGAAGATGAAAGGAAGAATAAAAGTGATGTTTGGATGCGGTAAGAAGCCATAGTTTTCAGTTGTGATACAGGTTATCAGCTTCCCAATTTGGGTCTGTTTCATATTCTTAAAAAAAAATACGTCACACTTCATTGTCTTGTCTATAGTTCACTTTTTTTTGTAATTTTAATTATGTAAAAATTAACAAAATGGTTTTCACTGACTTTTGAGAAACCATTATCCTTAATATTTTATATAATCAGAAAGGCCAGTTTTTTTTCTGTATATTTTATTAAACTTTATTTGAATATATGTTGATAAATCTATAATTATCAAGAAGTCGACAGCAACTTATTGCCTCTGATACCTATTACTTTTACCCTTGAGATACCTTCTTTTTCACTTAGGAAAATTTTAACTTCTCTGTCTCCTGTGACATAGCTTCTTATTTTGTTGGCTTCTAATGTATTTCTTTATTTATAATATTTTTACTGTATATATAACCTCCTGGAATCTTGTATATATTGCCCTTGAGACTGGAAGGTGAGTACTTTCTCAATCTTCATATATTTTATATTTCAATATATTCCTAGGAAATTGCCTGTAAGGAGAGGTGACGTTTTGTTGGAATTTTCAGTTAGACTATTGGGAGTATACCAAAGTAGTTATTTGATGTTGTCCAGACACCCAGTGTGTGGTTTCCCCTTTTACTACTATCTTGTGGAGACTAACCCTTCTTTTATAAATTACTACCATCATCTATGTAACAAATTTTGCCTTGATATTATATCTACATAGATTCAAGTTAAATAAAATGAAAATGAGAAAGTAATACCTACAATACAATAACAATATTGTCTTTTACAATATAGTAACAGACAGATCTTCTTCTTCAAGGAACTTAAAACCTCTCTGGTTAGCAGGTGTAGATGGTGGAATTTCACCACATAGATGACAGTTATAGCTTCACATCACCTGTTAGCTAACAGGGCTTATTTCTTACTTGCCTGTGAAAGTTTTGTCCCCTACACAGGCTATTTCTATTACAAAATAATGGTCATTAGGTCTGACATACTGGCCATAAATATTAAATAGCTTTTGTATTTACCAGGAAAACATTATGGTGTTTAAAGGGCTCCTTCTTTCAGGAAAACCTGTTTACTTGCAAGAGGAGAACACAGTTACTAATTCAAAAAGGAGGAACTCAATGAATCAGTAAATTTTATGTAAGAACTTGACGTCATTGTTCAGCATATTTTTTGAAATAGATTTTAAGCAATATATAAAATTTTAGTTATACGTAATTTATCCAAAGTCTTCCTCTTGATGTTTAAACTGCCATTTCTATGGCGAAGAAGGGGATGACTAAAGTTAATTCAATAGTTCTTAACTTCAGTCAACGCCATATAGGAAAATGTAGATAGTGCTTTGATTCTTAGAGTGCTTCTTGCATCTTATCTGTGTGTCTAATTTCTTGTGTGCCTTTGGGCGGTCCTTTGCGTATTCCTCAGCTGTAAACTGTAGGATATTTTCCACACTACAGGGTTGTAGAGGGAATTCAGTGAGCTAACTTATATGCCTAATTCATAGCAGGTGGCCAATATTATTACTGCTCTGTTACTACATCAGCCTTGTCTCTCTTTCCATCAGCAGCAGCTAAAAATTTCTGTCGTTACAGCGTTATCTCACAGATTAAAACAAAATGTATTGCATTTATCACACGCCATTGCTTCCTTAGTTTTCTGTTTATTCTTGTGCTTGCTGTCTGAAGATGAAGCTGGAACTTTAGGCACTTAAAACATTTTAAATCTAAAGTTTATTTTGCAAGTTTAACTTACGTGAGAACTTTGTAGGCCTTCATATGCAAATATGAGATATAGTATACTAAGAAAAGAAAAGCACTACACAAAATGTTATTTTTGTTTGTTTGTTTGTTTTTTGAGACTGAGTCTCATGCTGTCATTCAGCCTAGACTGCACTAGTGTGATCTCGGCTCACTACAATCATTACCTCCCAGATACAATCAATTCTTGTGTCTCCACCTCCCGAAAAGCTGGGATTATAGCCATGCCCCACCACACCAAGCAAATTATGTATTTCTTTTTTTACTTTCTTTCTTTTATATTTTTTAAGATGGAGTCTCAGTCTGTTACCCAGGCTTGAGTGTAATGATGTGAACTGGGCTCACTGCAACCACTGCCTTGGGGTTCAAATGATTGTCCTGCTTCAACCTCCTGGGTAGCTGGTATTACAGACACCCACTGCCATGCCCGGCTAATATTTGTTGTTTTAGTAGAGATGGGGTTTCACCATGTTGGCTAGGCTGCTCTCAAATGTTTGACCTCAAGTGATCTACCCTTCATGGTCTTACAGTGTGCTGGGATTACATGTTTGAGCCACAGTGCCCTGCTGTATTTTTAGTAGAGATGGAGTTTTCCATGTTGTACATGGTCGTCTGTAACTTCTGAGTTCAAGCAATCCTCTCATCTTGGCTTCCCAAAGTGCTGGAGTTACAGGCGGGACACACCATGCCTGCACATTTTTACCTTAACTTTTCATATTTAAAACAAAGCTATATTTCTATTATGAGTGATTGTTGTTAGGTTCTTAGCTGCTTCTGAAAAATGGGGTGATAATCTTAGAAGGACTTGCTTCATGGGATGTGGTCCATAAAACTTCCTCTGCCCCAGTTGTAGGGCAGAAGACAATTTCTGTTACTGTAGTTTGGCCTTTTTTTGCAGAGATTCAGACATCTGTTTACTGACCTTAGTTAAATTGTGACACTATGCCTAAAGGAGCCTGCAAGCTTTTATTTTTGCTCACTATGAAGTCATCATTCAATTGTAAAATTTCCTTTTTAAGTTTCAGGTTGACTTAATGTCTGTCAAAGCACAGTCTTTGGCAATAACAAAACAAACATATGCTGAATGAAAATGTTTAAGAGATGGATGACTATTTACTACTAAAAGAAGAAAAATTGGAAGAGAATAAAATGAAAACATGCATCTCCTAAACCATATGTCCACCCCCTAGGTTCAAGCAATTCTCCTGCCTTTGCCTCCCAAGTAGCTCAGACTGCAGGAATGCACCACCCACACCCGGCAAATTTTTGAATATTTAATAGAGACAGGGTTTCACCACATTGGCCAGGCTGGTCTCAATCTTTTGACCAAAATGATCCACCAGACTCACCTCATGAGTTGCTGAGATTACAGGCGCAATCCACTGTGCACGGCTTGCATGTTTTAGTGATTCATACTAGGTCAGTATTATAAAACTATGCTTTGTCCTTGTAAGGGGAGGCTTAAATTGGGAAGATTTATAAAATTAAAATTTCTGGATTAAACTCTGCTAACCTGCCTCTAGGTGGTATCAAGACATTTTTTGCCCTCTACCTGCTGATTGGGTTTGGCCAGTGGGGACACCAGCCTACGCATACAGTGGCACTGGACTTGCTGCTGTGTCTCAAGGCCAAGTGACGTCATAGTTCCTGTGATGACATCTTTCAAGTTCTCTGCACCATCCGCCTCTCTCCATTGCTGAGAATTTCTCCCTCCTTTAAATCTCACTCCCAAGGAGTGCTAAGAGTGTCATCCTGCTACTATCCCCGGGAACTCTGCCATCTATTGTGAGTACCTTGAATAAGTCACTCTTTATTAAAAAGTTCTTAGATGACTTTGATTGTGGGGCCCATCTAATTTCTGCCTGGATCCCAACTGCTGCTGGCGAATGCACAGATTACATTGAATCTCGTGTCTGTCATCAAAAGGTAGACCAGATAGCTCCTTCTGTGCATGGTAGAGGTGAGAAAGAGGTTTTCAGATTAATTTGAGAATGTGAGTTCTTTTTTTCTCCACCATTGTGCATTCCACGAGCAATGAATGAATTCCTGTTTTCCCTCCAGCAAATCATTTGTCATGTTTTAAAAATGGTTTAGCCGTTCCAACAAATATAAATGGGCCATGCTATCTCATTGTTGTAATTTTCAGTCCCTTAAAGATATATGAGTTTGAGCAACTTTTTGTTTGCTTTCTGTCGGTGTATTTTCATTGGTGTGTTCAGCTCTTTACTCATTGTTAATTGGGTAGTATATCTTAATTTTGAGTTTCAAGATCGGTGTATTTTCAGTGCAAGTTCTTGCTTAGATCTGTATTTTGCAGATATTTCTTTTCAGTCTTTTGCTTATCTTTCTATTTCCTGAATAAGATTTTACTCAGAGTACAAACTATTAATATAAGAAAACTAATATTATTAATTATTTTTACCATTACTGATCAGCTTTGGTGTCATTTGTTAAAACTTATGACCAAACCTGAGGTCACATAAATTTCTTTCTGTACTTTCTTCTAGAATTTGCATAGTTTTACATTTCCAGTTAATGGCTCCTTCACCATTAAAAAAAAAAAAAGAAAAAAACAGGAAAGGGGGAATTGCTGGCAAGACGTCTGAAGAAAAAGAGCTCCAGACTGCAGCTCCCAGGGAGATTGATGAAGAAAGTGAGTGATTCCTGCATTTCCACCTGAGGTACACTGTTCATCTGATAGGGACTGGTTGAATGGTGGCTGCAGCCCATGGAGTGTGAGCTGAAGCAGGGTAGGTCATCACCTCTCCCGGGAAGCCTAATGGGTCGGGAAATTTTCTCATTTACACAGGAGAAGCTGTGAGGGAGTTAGCCTGAGGAACCATGCACCCTGTGCCTAAAATGTGCTTCTCCCATGGTCTTGAAAACCTGCAGACCAGGAGATTGCGTTTGGTAACTGCACCATGAGGGCCGTGGGTTTCAAGCACAAAAATGGGGTTGTTAGAAAAAACAATGAACTAATTGTAGGAGTGTTTTGTTGTTGTTGTTGTTGTTGTTTTTATTACCCCAGTGGTGCCTGGAATGCTAAGGAGACAGGACTGTTCACTCCCCTGAAAAGGAGTGCGGAGGCCAAGGAGCCAAGTGATCTGGCTTAGCAGGTGCCATCCCCGATGGTGGCAATCCAACTATGGTTCACCAGATTGAAATTCTCGCTGCCAGCACAGCAGCAGTCTGAGATCTACCTGGGACACTGGAGCTTGGTGGGGGGATGGGCATCTTCCGTTGCTGAGGCTTGAGTAGGCTGCTTTACCTCATGGTGTAAACAAAGCCTCAGAGAAGTTTGAACTGCAGCTCAGCAAGGCTGATGTGGCCAGACTGCCAGATTTCTTCTCTCCGGGTAGGGTATTTTCGAAACAAATGATAGCAGCCCCAGTCAGGGGCTTACAAATAAAAACCCCATCTCCCTGGGACAGAGCACCTGGGGGAAAAGGAAGCCATGGATGCAGCTTCAGCAAACTTCAACATCCCCGCCTGATGGCTCTGAAGGAGCAGCACACCTCCCATTACAGTGCACTGGCTCTGCTAATGGTCAGAGTGCCTTCTCAAGTGGATCCCTGACCTCTGTGTATCCTGACTGGGAGACACCTCCTGGCAGGGGCCGACAGACACCTTGTATTGGAGAGCACTGGCTAGCATCTGACAGATGCCCCTTGAGGATATAGCTTCAGAGAAAGAATAGCCAGCAATCAATGAGACAGAAAATTAACAAGGATAGTCAGGACTTGAACTCAGCTGTGGACTAAGTAAACCTAATAGACATCTACAGAACTATCCACCCCCAAATCAACAGAATATACATTCTTCTGAGTTCCACATAACATGTATTCAAAAACTGACCACATAATTGGAAGGAAAACACTCCTCAGCAAATGCAAAAGAATGGAAATTATAGCAAAGAGCCTCCCAGACCACAGTGCAATGAAATGAGAACCCAGGATTCAGAAACTCACACAAACCTGCACAACTACATAGAAACTGAACATTTAGGAGCAGGCTGTAAATCATTGCTGGGTAAATAATGAAATAAGGTAGAAATAAAGTTGTTCTTTGAAACCAATGAACCTTTACTGTTAACCACCCCTTTACTCTATGCTTCTGTAAGTTTGACTGCTTTTATTTCTAGGTATAAATGAGATTATGTAGTATCTGTCTTTGTGTGCCTGGCTTATTTGACTTAACATAATATTTTCTGGGTCCATCTATGTTGCTGCAAAAATCGGATTTCATTCTTTTTGGGGCTGAGTAGTATGCCATTGCAGATGCATAACATAATTTCTTTATTAATTCATCCGTTTATGGACACTTAGGTGGATTCCGTATCTTGGCTATTATGAATAGTGCTGCAATAAACATGGGATTGTACCTAGGTATTTTTCAAAGAGTAAAATTTCAATTAAGGCTATTTATCAAATATTAAAACTGAGATGATTTAATTGCTTAACTAAAAATTGGATGGGTTTCTGGAAAGATGGTAGTGGTAGTAACTGCATAGTGTTTATCTATTGCCAAATTCCCACCCAAAAACAGACAGAGCAACTAGAAATCAAACCCCCTAATTCATGGACAATACGGCCAGCAAACTAGATGCCAGAGTATCCCAGAACCACAAACACATTGGAGTCATTCTATGCCACCAGCAGCCCCTTTGTATGAAGTCAGCTGTCAGCTGTCTCTGTGAAAAAATTTAGGTGGTGCTTTAGTTCTTTAAGAATTTAAAAATCACATACATATCAAAATATGATTTTTATATTAAGGGATGAAGAGGAAGAGTTGGTATATGAAATGGGTGCTTGACATTTCTATAATTGTTGTGTCTTAAAGCTTGTGCTGGTTGCTGGGGCACTTCAAGATCCATTCTGATCATAAAATATCTGGGATGATGCTGTTTTACATCTCTTTGATGCTTTTCATACTACACCCAGCTCTGGAAACACCTAGCTTTTAGCCATATAATTATATATAATTATTACATATAAGATAATTAAAAAATATATATTTTTAATTATAATATAATTAAAAAATATATATTTTTAATTATAATATAATTAAAAATATATATATTTATAAATACATATATAAATATATAAATATATAATTATATATAAAATATATAATATATAAAATATATAATTATATAAATATATAATTATATATAAAATATATAATTATATATTTATATAATTATATATAATTATATATTAATTATATATAATTATATATTTTATATATTATATTATATATAAATTTATTATATATAAGATTATATAAAATTATATATAATTATAATTATATACAATATAATATATAATTATAATTATATAAAATATATTTTATATAATTATAATTATATATAATATTGTATATAATAAATAAATATATAATATAATTATATAAAATATATAATTATAATTATATAAAATATATAATATATAAATATATAATTATATAAAATATATAATATATAAATATATAATTATATAAAATATATAATTATATAAAAATATATTTATATAAAATATATAAAATATATATAAAATATATATAGAATATATATAAATACATATAAAACACACACACATATAAAATGTATGTGTGTGCATGTGTGTCTGAGTGTGTGTAAACACACACTATATACATATCATATATTCAGATTTTAACTGTAAGTCTATGCTGCTATACATATAATAAAACATGTGTGATGTGTCCCATTGGGCTAATTTATATAAAGCAATCATAAAATACATAAGCAGAACCAGTCTGTTTTCTTTAAGAGGGATCTCATAGATATATTCCACAGAATAAAGATCTAACACTCTTAAATGATAAATTGCTAGGTACTCCCAAGCAATTAATATAAAATGAAGCAGAATTTATTTTTGACAGTTTTTTTTTGTAGAGTCATTACTGTATCTAAAATAAAAATATTTGCTCTGATGTTGAAGTGTTTATGAAGAACCTCCATGTATCCGTGTACCTTCTTAGTTGCCTACACAATCTTATGACCCATCCCTAACAAATTAGGAGGCATATTAGCTTTTGTATTCTCTATTCTCACTCTGGCAGTGATGCCCATGCGTCACACATCTAAACAACAAAGAGTGATATTCCAACCATTAAGTCAGGGCTTATTCTGAATTCTGGGTGCATCCAATGACAAACTCTACCAGTAATAAGCAGAAGAACCCACACAGACATTTGCTCTGTAACTATGATTTTTTTTTGCATTGGCTTAACTAATTGGAGAGACCAATTTCTGAAACTTTTAAAGAATAATAAGAAAAGTATACTGCGCAGTAAAATTCATTTACCTGACTTACCTATTCGTGAATTAAAGTAACTATTTTAGTGGAAAAACAGTCACCTGATACAACAAATTGTGATGTCAATATTTTTATTAGGTATGGCCTCTGGTGTTTTCTTAGTCCATTTGGGTTGCTATAGCAAAATACCAAAGATACTGGACAGGTAATAAACAACAGACATTTATTGCCCACAGTTCTGGAGACTGGAAGTCCAGTATCAAGATGCGGCAGATTCAATGTCTGGTGGGGACCCACTTTCTCATTCATAGACAGAGCCTTCCCTCTGTGTCCTCACACTGTGGAAGGAGCAAGCGAGCTCTCTGGAATCCTTTTTGTAGGAGTGCTCATCCCATTCATGAGGCTCCACTCTCATGACCTCATCACCTCCCAGAGGCTCCACCTGAAACTACAATTGCATTGAGGTTTAGTATTTCAACATATACATTTCAGAGGACACATTTGGAGTTAGATTTCCACATATGAATTTGGCTAAGGAACAAGAATTCTGCCTATAATTGGTCATAAGCAGACAAGTATTTTAAACTCATCAAAACAAACATAGATATTGGTTTAAACGTATAGATAGGCCAGATGTGGTGGCTCAGGATTATGCCTGTAATCCCAGCACTTCAGGAGGCCCAGGTGGGCAGATCACCTGAGGTCGGGAGTTTGAGACCAGCCTAACCGTCACGGAGAAAACCTGTCTCTACTAAAAATACAACAACAACAACAACAACAAAATTAGCTGAGTGAGGTGGTGCATGCCTGTAATCCCAGCTACTCAGAAGGCTGAGGCAGGATAAGCACTTGAACCCAGGAGGAGAAGGTTGTGGTGAGTCGTGATTGTGCCATTGCACTGCAGTCTGGGCAACAAGAGTGAAACTCCATCTCAAAAATAAACAAACAAACAAACACGTAAAATCTAGATAACTGCTGGATTTCAGAAAGTGCTAGAATCAAGACATGGCAGGAGATCAAAGAATGATTCTCAGCCTCATGCCTATGACTTCCTGATTCTTTACTATTTTTCATCCTTTTTCTAGAAAATGTGACAGAATGTGCACCTCCACAGCTCCTGGAGCAATGAGTTCTGCCTCCCTCCACCACTGGAAAAAGTCATTTGATGCACCCAAGTTGTTCCACTCTTAGTCAGCTGGGTAAGGCTAGAGGAGAGGGTCAGATGTCAGTCATGGAGACTTAAGAACTGCACTTGAAAACAGGGCCGTGTTTCTCAGAGATGAAGGAAATGCAAAATTGCAGAATGCTATTGACTGAATGTTAGTGTCTCCTAAAAATTCATGGTGAAGAGCTAACTGCCAAGGTGATGGTATTTACAGATGGGGCTTTTGGTCAGTGATTAAATTTAGATGAGACTATAAAGATAGAGTTCCCATGATGGGACCAGTGTCCTTATAAACAGCAGAAGAGACCAGAGCTCTCTCTCCCTTTCCCTCTCCACTATGTGATGACAAAACAAGAAGATGACTATCTGAAACCTGGGAAGACAGCCCCTACCAGGGACGAAATCTATCAGAACCTTGATCTTTGACTTGATAGTATCCACCAAAACTAACAAAAATAACTCTCTCTCTCTCCCCCACCCCTTTCTTTTTAGAGATAAGGTCTTGCTCTGCTGCCCAGGCTAGAGTGCAGTGGCATGCATGACCTTGGCTCACTGCAAACTCCAACTCTGGGCCCAAGCCATCCTCTCACTTTAGCCTCCCAAGTAGCTAGAACTACAGGTATGTGTGACTATGCCCAGCTAATTTTTAAAAAATTTATAGAAATGGGGTCTTTCTATGTTACCCAGGCTTGTCCTGTATGCCTAGCCTCAAGCAATCCTGCCTTAGCCTCCCAAAGTGCTGCGATTTATAAGCATAAGCCACTATGCCCAGCTAAACCTCTTTTGGAAGAAGCCCAGTCTATGGCATTTTGTTCAAGCACCCTCAGCACTCTGAGACATAAATGAGGCAGACACCCTTTCCTGCTAAACTGAACCTATCCCATTGCCTCCTGCAAGTCATAAGAGAAGGGTATGTGTTGGGCATTTCCATATATGCTCCAGAGGAATTTGCTAATGATAACCCTGTCATAGGTGCAAATAATCTGTCTCCTGTTCCTCTGTTTGACTTCAAACTTCCTCCACACATTAACTTCTTTGTATTTCCTAGAGGTGCTGGTGATATTGACTCCTATTTCACTCAAATAGGATTTTCAGTTAAAGAATAGATATCTTCCTTATCATCACTGTGATGGTCAGCTTTATGTGCCCATGAGGCTAGGCTACTGGGTCTAGCCTTATAATTAAATATAAATTTAGAGGTTGACATGAAGTCATTTGCTAGATGTGATGAAGCCCCTTGTTTGTTGATGTAAAGTAATGGAGATTATTCTATGTGATCTTAGTGGGTCTGACTCTGTTAGCAAAAGGCATTAAGAATAGAGGTGCAGCTTCCCTGGCTGGAGAAGATTCTGCTCATGGACAGGAGCTTCCACTCACTTCTGAGAATTCCAGCTAGCGTTTCTTGCCTTATAGATTTCAGGAATGCCTCATCAGCTCCATGATCACATAGCCAATTCCTATGTCTTCTTTTCTATCTCCCATTGCCCTTGCTGGATTACCTGAACTGACACATTCACGTTTTCGTAAAATTTACTGCGAAAGTCTTACCGTCTTGCAGCTTCCTTGCAAAACTGTAACTTCCCCAAAACCACAACCTTGCAGCTCCATTTTTTTAAAGTAAATGTTCCTTTTTCATACTTTGTTCTTGTGGGAGGATACATTGAGATGTGAAACATTGTGTTTCAAAATGAATGGGGGATACGATTTGACTATGTCCCCAGCCAAAACTCATTTTGAATTGTAGCTGCCATAATCCCTACCTGTTGTAGGAGGGACCCAGTAGTATATAACTAAATCATGGGGGAGATTTCCCATTCTTGTGGTAGTGAATAAGTCACAAAATATCTGATGGTTTGATAAGGGGTTCCCCTTTCTTTTGGCTCTCTTTCTGTCTTGCCTGCCACCATGTAAAACGTGCCTTTGGTCCTTCTTTGCCTCCTGCCATGATTGTAAGGTGTCCCTAGCCATGTGAAACTGTGAGTCCATTAAACTTGTATTTATTTTTTTGTTTTTTGTTTTTTGAGACAGAGTCTAGCTCTGTCACCCAGGCTGGAGGGCAGTTGCGTGATCTCGGCTCACTGAAAGCTCCACCTCCCTGGTTCACACCATTCTCCTGCCTCAGCCTCCCAAGTAGCCAGGACTACAGGTGCCTACCACTGCGCCCAGCTAATTTGTTGTATTTTTGGTAGAGATGGGGTTTCACCATGTTAGCCAGGATGGTCTCGATCTCCTGACCTCATGATCCACCCGCCTCAACCTCCCAAAGTCCTGGGATTACAGGTGTGAGCCACCACACCCAGCCACCTCTTTTTCTTTAAAAATTACCTAGTATGTCCTTACAGCAGCAAGAGAATAGACTAATACAAGGGGAAATCCTGAAAATAATGAAATTTCAATGGACTTATTCACAACTCATGATGCCCAGTGGTATCATTCAAAGACCTAACAAGGTGGGTTCTGGACAGATGCTGGAAACAGGATCTTAGCTTTTATATGTGAGATCTGAGATTGGATATAAAAGACCTCAGAGGCAAGTGACAGGCTAGGCCTTAAGTTAGTCATGAGTACACAGCTATTCATTTATCATTCTGCATTCTGCTGTGCATTGCAGCAGATTGAATGCTAGCTCCCAAAAAGTATGCCTGTGTCCTAACACTGGCAACCTGTAAATAAAATTTGATTTAGAATAAGGGTGTTTGCAGATATAATTATATAAATAATCTTGCAATAAGATTATCCTGAATTAATGTAGACCCTAACTCCAGTGACTGATGTCCTTATAAGAGACAGCAGAGGAGACACACACAGACGAGAAGGCCATGTGAGATGGAGACAGAGAATGGAGTGGTGTGTCCACAAGCGCAGGGACTCCTGGAGCTACTAGGAGCAGGGAGAGGGGTGAAGGATATTCCCCTAGTGTCTTCAGAGAATGGATGTCTCTGAGTCACCTTGATCTCAGACTTCTGGTCTTCAGGACTGGGAGAAAATTTATTTCTGTTGTTTCAAGCTCCTGGTTTGTTGTACTTTTCTTATTACAGTCATATACACATAGCTTATGTTCTTTTACCTCCACATAGAGTTAAAAAAGAAGAAACATTAAGCCTGAAGTTACAACTACATGATAATTTCTCACTGGTTTTCCAAGTGGTACACTCAAGAAACCCAGGATGTTTCTGGGAGAACCCTCCACAACTTTCTTCATTCTAACTTGATTCTCCTCCCTGTCTACTATGTTAAATGCATTTTCTGAAGGCAAGATGAAGATGGGTCCTTTTCTGAGGCCTCTCCAGATCTTCTATTAGAAAAAATAATTGTAATTGGACCAGAGTTTCTTGGGACTTTTCATGTGTCTAAGTTTCAACTAATTTTGAATAAACATTGCAATTTATAATTTTTAATTGAATGTGGCAGTGTCCTCTACTTAGCTCCAAAGTTTCATCTGTGACTTTAGAATATCACTTAACCCTGATGACCCTTGATGTCTTCATCTGTAAAATGCACTTCACATGAACTCACCTCATTTGATTTGGAGATTTAAAGAGTAGCTGTAGGGCATGTTGTACAACTTTTAGAAACTTTCCGAAATGTTAGCTGCATTTCATTATTTAACCCTCCACTTCCATCTTCCAATCATCTCTTCGGAACATGCTGTGGCTGTCAAAAAAAAAATCTTTCTAAACTGTGGTTTACCATTATTACCATGGGGTAATAAATACTCAACAGAAATTTCTAGCCAGTACCAATTCCCAACATGTTCTTTCCTGTGAACAAATATCCTGAAATGTCATTGGGAAGAACAAAATTCACTTTATCTTAACCTGATAAGCATATATGTCTTTAGCAATGGGAGTTATTTTCTTTTCTTTTTCTTTTACTTTTTTTTTTCTTTTCAGACAAGATCTTGCTGTTTCACCCAGTCTGCAGTACAGTGGCATGATCATGGCTCACTGCAAGCCTGCATCTCCTGGGCTCAAGAGATCCTCCCATCCCAGCCTCCCAAGTCACTGGGACTATAGGTGAACACCACCATGACCAACTAATTTTTGTATTTTTTTGTAATGGTGGGAGTTTGCCATGTTTCCCAGGCTGGTCTTGAACTCTTGAGCTCAAGTGATCTGCCTACCTCAGCCTCCCAAAGTGCTGGGATTACAGGGTGTGAGCTACTGCACCTGGCCAGAGTTATTCTTGAATTGTGAACCATAGTAACAAACAGAAAATAATCTTAAATGTCAATAATTTTCAGTGATATTTCTGGAATTCATGGATCTTTCTGTTAGAACTGCATGCCTTATTCTGTCTAAAGCAATAAAGTTCTTTAAATCTAAACATTTTCATAAACACTCGTGGGAAGTTAGAGATGCGATAATTCCTAAAAAGCCTGCATGGCAAAGATGCACACAATGTCAATATGGAACAGACATAGAACATAATTGAACCAATCCTATTAGTACTCAATTTAGCAAGGTTGCATTTTTTAGAACTAAATTTTTCATAGTTGCAGGCAGAGTGATGAAAGATGTTGGCAGACAGCCTCTTCATATAGACATCAGGAAGTGAATAAACCAGCATGAATTGATACATAATTTAAGAGAAGGTAAAGGACATAGTCAGCATGCAACAAAATGCTGAAACCAAAAAACCTCCTGCACATGCCTGGAGCAAGAAGGGTTGCTTTTGACTCTTTCTCCATCTCAGCACTGATAGGTAGATAATCCCAAGGCCTCCTGGTGTTATATCTGAACAACAGAGTTACATGCTTTCTTGCAAAGTGTCAGACTATCCACGAGTTATTTTACATTACTCAAACAAAAGTCTATGGTAACACAACACTTCTAAACTGTTAAGAAGAGGGCTTTAACCACATCTTCTAGGTTGATGAATTAAATGGAGTAGGGAGAAGATAAGAGATTTTCAACTATGCTTTTAAAAAAATTGCTGTAGATACCTTTTTAAACTTTATGCAGTCTGAATTTTGTCAATATCTGACAAAAATGAACTTGAGAGCAAAAATTTTCATGCACACAATAAATAAGCAAAATAAAAAATCCTCTAAGCCCAACTTTCTCATTACATAGGGAAATGTGTCTCTTCGTTAGAAATCTCCATCTTAGAAAGCTGAGCTCTGCACTGCCCTACCATAAGGGATACTTACTGTGGTTATCCAAGTCTCAGAACTTGAGGCTTCTTACCATTTATTGTCTGTTTGCAGCCCAAGATAAACTTTTCTTCCCCAGAGACAATGTTATGTGCTGAGGGACTACAGGTCAGGCAGAGTTCCTAGCAAATCATCTGCTTTTTTTCCTTTCTATTTTATCTTCATTTATTTCTATTATACAAAGTATACCACTCTGACAGTCTACTGTATGCATGTGTCATCCCCTAAGCTGTGCTGGTTGAATCAAAAGGATAAAATTGACTTATTATTTAAGGGAAAAAAAATGCATGAATTGATGAAACACATGGATTGAATTGATGAAACAAATGCCATTGTTTGGCATTCTACACTTCGCAGACCTTGGCATATTTCTTGGTAGGTAGCTGGACCTTAAATACTCAACCAGACTTTTTGGAAAACAAAGTTCACAGAATATATACCTGTTCTGCTCCAGTATTTTCTCTTTGGAGAACAGCATTTCTATAGTTTTTAAACATAGAACAACAATTTTTAATTTTTCTAGCTTCCAAAAGAGGAAACAGAGCAAACTCTGGCTGCAGAAGACCCAAGTATAGGCAGCCAATATGGAAAGAATTTTGGCAATCGTTGATAGTTCATTTGTTAATGATTTCCTTTGCTCTTGCAAATCTGAGTGTTGTCTAAGGTAATTTTAAAATGCACAAAATTGTGATTACACTATGCGAAACCAAACACCATTGTGTATTAGAATTCAACTTTGTGGCAGACGAGTCATTCAATGTATGCCAGAACAAAATTCACATCGCCAAGGGAGAGCGAGAAGAAGGAAAGAAGAAGGGAGGGTGGGAAAAAGAAAGGAAAGAAGGAAGGTGGGAGAGAGGAAGAAAGGAAACAAAGACAAAAAATTGTTTAAATAGACAAAGTAATATCCAGCAGGAGTGAAGTAATCTTAGGTTTGATATTGAAAATTAAAATTCAAGTGCTATGGCAGCATCCTAGCTAGTAGAGATGCCCCCAAATAGAGGAAGAGTCTGAAATTAATAGATTTCTGTGTGCATTCAACCCCACTTAGGTATGTGATCATGACTGGCTTCTATTGAGGATGGCTGTATATCTTCACTTTTTCAGCATATCTGGGGGGATATCCTAAAAAATAAGAAGATACAGAAATAAGAAGATCCATAGTAAAAATAGCACATCCTTGATTTTTGCTTTTATTTTATTTCTCACCTTGCTACACATGTTCATCATCATTTTTTTAGAGCCCAGTCTGTATATTGTGAAGTCTTCCTTTCTCATTTCTAAATTTGTATCTCTCATCTCAGCTTGAGAGGTGACAGTGTGCTGGCAGCCCTCGCAGCCCTTGATGGCTCTCCGCGCCTCCTTGGCCGCGCTTGAGTCCTTCAGCCCGCCGCTGCCCTGTGGGAGCCCCTTTCTAGGCTGGCCATGGCGGGAGCCAGCTCCCTCAGCTTCCTGGGAGGTGTGGAGGGAGAGGCGTGGGCGGGAACCCGGGCTGCCGCATGGCGCTTGCGGGCCAGCAGGAGTTCTGGGTGGGCGTGGGCTCTGCTGGCCCTGCCCTGGCAGCGTCAGGCCCACCCGCAAGCCCCAGGCAGTGAGGGGCTTAGCACCTGGGCCAGCAGCTGCTGTGCTCGATTTCTCGTGGGGCCTTAAGCTGCCTCCCGGCAGGGCAGAGCTTGGGACCTGCAGCCTCCCATGCCTGAGCCTCCTTCCACCCCAACGTGGGCTCCTGCATGGCCCTAGCCTCCCTGATGAGCCCTCCCCCTGCTCCAGGGCCACGGGTCGCATAGACTGCCCAAGGGCTGAGGAGTGCCTAGGAACCGCAGAGGGACTGGCAGGCAGCTCCATCTGCTGATGGGTGCAGGATCCAATGGGTGAAGCCAGCTGGGCTCCTGAGTCTAGTGGGGACTTGGAGAATCTTTATGTCTAGCTAAGGGATTATAAATACACCAATCAGCCCTCTGTAGCTAACTCAAGGTTTGTAAACACACCAATCAGAACCCTGTGGCTAGCTCAGGGTTTGTGAATGCACCAATCAGCACTCTGTATCTAGCTTAAGGTTTGTAAATGCACCAATCAGCACTCTGTGTCTAGCTCAAGGGTTTGTAAACACACCAATTGACACTCTGTATCTGGCTAATCTAGTGGGGAGGTGGGGAACTTTTGTGTCTATCTCAGGGATTGTAAAGGCACCAATCAGCACCCTGTCAAAATAGACCAATCAGCTCTCTGTAAAACAGACCAATTGGCTCTCTGTAAAATGGACCAATCAGCAGGATGTGGGTGGGGCCAGATAAGAATAAAATCAGGCTGCGGGAGCCAGCAGTGGCAACCTGCTCAGGTGTTCTTCCACACTGTGGAAGCTTTGTTCTTTTGCTTTTTGCATTAAATCCTGCTGCTGCTCACTCTTTGGGTCCACATCGCCTTTATGAGCTGTAGCACTCACTGCGAAGGTCTGCAGCTTCACTCCTGAAGCCAGTGAGACTACAAACCCACCGGGAGGAATGAACAACTCCAGATGTGCCACCTTAAGAGCTGTAACACTCACCACGAAGGTCTGCAGCTTCATTCCTGAGCCAGCGAGACCAGGAACCCACTAGAAGGAAGAAACTCCGAACACATCCAAACATCAGAAGGAACAAACTCTAGACATACCACCTTTAAGAACTGTAACACTCAATCGCGAGGGTCCGTGGCCTCATTCTTGAAGTCGGTGAGACCAAGAACCCACCAGTTCCTCACACAAGCTCACCACTTTTGATGTCCAAAACACTTTGTTATGAAACTTTAATTTTCAACTTGCTTACATTGGTAAAACAAACTAATGAATTCTTGTTGAAATGAGTTGGTTACTTATATAGGAATTTTTATTAGGAGGTTTTATAACAATACCTACAAATCACTGCTATTATGCGTTATTTACTGAGGTCAGAAATGACCCTATAATCTGGAAGTGGATCTTCTAACAATCCATTCCAGTGATGCTGAGTGTCATGTTTTACTTCTAGGTAATACGTCTCATTGGAATACATTTTGTTTGCTCTATGAATATAAAATGTGGGGCTCTTGTGCAAGAGAATGAACTTTTGAACTTCACAGACCAAGTTTAATTCTGATTCTGTAGATGGTAACACTGTTAACAGTAATTCTCTGAGCTTCAGTTGCTCCATCTGTAAGGAAGGGGATCATGCTAGGCATCTGATAGAAATCATGTGAAAGTGGCAAGGCACGGTGGCTGATGCCTGTAATCCCAGCCCTTTGGGAGGCCAATACAGGCAGATCACCTGAGGTTAGGGGTTGGAGACCAATCTGGCCAAAATGGTGAAAACCTCTCTCTACAAAAAATAAAAAAAATTAGCTGGGTGTGGTGACACACACCTGTATTTCCAGCTAACTGGGATGCTAAGGCAGGAGAATTGCTGAACCCTGGATGTGGAGGATGTAGTGAGCTGAGACTGTGCCATGGAACTCCAACCCGGGTGACAGAGTGAGACTCTGTATAAAAAAAAAAAAAATGTCAATGTCTCATTTTCCTGCCGCCTCTAGAGAGCTAGCTATCATCATTTGGCATATGTATAAATACCTACAGACAACATGTGGACAATTGGATGCGTTTCGCTGATAATATTATATGGTACTTATATAGTATATAATGAAGGTTTGGTGTGCATCACAGTACATAGAGATCAGTAATATAATTCTGTGTGTCTTTCTTTATAAATGATCATACCTATACAATGGCTTGTTTAGCCATCTCCCTACTAACGGATTTGAGGTTGTCTATAATATTTTGTTTTTATACACAAAGCCCTAATATAAGGGTAGATTTTTCTCTGGTTATTTGCAATAGTCAATTGTCTATGGTGTTAATTAACCTTTTAATTTTTTAAAAAAATTCAATTACTCCTTACTGGTAAATAGAAAAGCAATTGACTATTCACATTAACTTTGTATTCTGTGATTTTCCTATAATCAGTTATTCCAGGCGTTTTTGCTGTCATTGTTAATTCTTTGGGATTTTCCATATAGATGATCATATTATCTACAAAGAAAAAGACAATTTTATATCTTCTTTACTGGTCTATATAATTTTTATTTCCTTTTCTTGTCTTGTTACATAACCTAGAAACTCCATCACACTTTGAACTATGAATAGTGAGAGGAGACATCTGTGTCTTTTTCTTGGTCTGAGGGAGAAAATATTCAATTTCTCCTGATTAAGCAGGATATTAGCATTAAGATGTGTGGAGCTATTCTTCATAAAATCAAGGCATTGAGGACTCTACTTCTAACTTGCTCATAGTTTTTGTTTTCCATGAATTGGTGTTAAATTTTATCAAATGCTTTTTCTGGCTCAGTTTGTATGATCTGATGACTTTTCTTCTTTAACTTGCTGCTTACATTAATTGATTTGTAAATGTGAACCAGGCTTGCATAGACAGGATACACCTCACTTTGTCATTGTGTATATATAATTTCACATATGGTAGAAATCTATTTGATAATATTTATGGTAATAATTTTTGCATCTATGTTTATAAGAGACATTGGCCTGTAGTTTTTCTTTTGTGTAATGTCTTTATCTGTTTATCATGTAGAATTCTATTTTCTATTACTTATGTTAAGAATTTTTGCATTTATGTTTATGAGAGACATTGGCCTGTAGTTTTTCTTTTGTGCAATGTCTTTATCTGGTTTTGGTATTAGGCTCATACTTGCCACATAGCAGGAGACAAAAAGGGTTCCCTTTACTCTTATTTCATGGAAAATATTTAGAAAATTGGGATTGTTTCTTATGAGCTGGATTGCTACCCTGCAGTTTCCATACATTAAAGTTCTGACACAAAGTACCTCAGAACTTGACCTTACTTGAAGATAAAGCCCTTAAAGAAGCCATAAGTTAAAAAGAGGCCATTAGGATGGGGCCCTTATCCTGAATGACTGGTATCCTAATAAACAGACACCAGGTGGTTTGCACATAGAGAAAAGATGATGTGAGGACACAGGGAGAAGACAGCCATTTACAAGAATGGAGAGAGTTCTCAGAAGAAACCAAACCTGTAGACACCTTAATCTTAGACTTCTAGTGTTCAGAATTGTGAAAAAAATAAAATTATGTTATTTAAGCCACACATCTTGTGGTATTTCATATGGCAGCCAAGCAGACTACTGCATGTTTATTCTTTAGAAGTTCTGTAGAATTCTGTAGTTAAATTAGGTGACTCTGGTACATTTTTGGAAAAGACATTAATTAGCAATTCATTTTCTTTATAGCTATAAGCCTATTCAAATTATCTATTTGTCTTTGTATGAGTTCTGACAGTGATGTCTTTCAGGAATTTTGTTCTATTCATTGAAATTATCAAATTTGTGGGCATAAAGTTATTTATAATTTTTTGTTACATTTTCATGTCCATGGGATCATTCATGATAAACCCTCTTTCATTTGTGATATTACCAAAGTGTGCCTTTTCTCTTTTTGCTTGGGTAGTATACATAGAAGTTTTTTATTTATATTGATTTTTTAAAATTACTTCTTTTTTGGTTGCTGATTTTTTCTGTGGGCTGTTTTCAAATTTATTTTTCTCTGCTCTGATTTCTTTCTTTTCTCCTACTTGCTTTGAATTTAAATGTATCTCCTTTTCTGTACTTTACTAAGACAGAAACTTAGATTATTGATTTTAGATTTTTTTTCTAATATATGCGTTTATTGGTTTAAAATTTCATTTGCACTCTGTATGTTTCGGTAAGTTATATTTTTATTTTCATTTAATTCAAATATTTAAAACATTTTCTTCATTACACTTTTTCTTTGGCCCATGTGTTTTTCAAGAGAGTATTATTTTATTTTCGGATATTTTAGGAATCTCCATCTACCTTTGTTATTGATGTCTAGTTTAGTTCTATTGTGGTTTGAGAATATATTTTGTTTTGTTACAGTCTCACCAATGCGCCACAGTGTAGTGGTCTCATTGTTTCAGGTATCATCCAAAATTCTTTATCTTACGGCCAAGAAAATTAAGGCATGTGGACACAAATGGTGAGGCTGGAGTGAAAGTTTAATAAGCAAAAGAAGAAAGCTCTCCACAGTGGAGGGTAGGCCTGAAAGAGGATAGCCAAGTATGAAGCTGAGTCTGGGGTTTTGATGGACTGGGAAGGGGAGGAATGTGCTGACTGGGCTGCAGACTCTATTCGAGAAAGCAGCACTTAGAAAGAGGTATGAGAGCGTAAAGGACCAATTGGAGACAGAGGTGAAGGCTTGGCCCAGAATCTTGTCCTGGGAACAATCAGCAACTGAAGTGATGATTCACCCTATGTAAATGTAGACTTAGCCTACAGCCAGTTACAGAAATGTAAGCATATGTAAAATAGGTGAAAAGTAAGATACTAAGGCCTGCCCAGGAGAGAGAAATTTGTCCAAAAAGGAATGGAATTTGTTCATCTGGGTTCACAAAGTGAACATTTCTATTCAAGGCATGGGCTCTTTCTTATCTGGGGCCTGCAGTTTGATTTTCAGGCTGTTCTTTGTTTGAAGAAATTTTACCAAGAACCTACCCTAACTGCATGTGTGACCAGTTTTTTACTTTCTCCTCTCTTAGTATGATTTCTATTTCTATGAATGTGTTAAGTTGTATTGCCCAGAATGTTTTGTGTATTGGTGAGTATTCTATGTGAGCCTGAGAAGAATGTATATTTTGGTTCTGTTGGATGACACATTCTATATATGCAAGTTAACTCAAGTTAATTGATAGTGCTGTTTAGTTCAACTACAATTTTTCTGATTTTTTTTTGCTGTTTCCTCTATCAGTTACTGACAGACGGGATTTTAAATCTATAACTACAACAGTGGATTAGTCGGTTTCTCCGTTTAGTTCTATCAGTTCTTACCTCATGCAATTTTATACTCCTGTTTTTGGTGAAACATATTTGGAGTTGATATGTTTTCTTTGAAAATTGTTCCCTTTGTCTTTACAGTATTTGCATGTTTATCCTTGATAATTTCCTCATTCTGAAGTCTGATTTGTATGAAATCATTAAGTACTCCAGATTTGTTTTCATTAGTGTTTAGATGGCATACCTGTCCCTCTCTTTATTTTAACATGTCTGTGTTTTTAAATTCAAAATGAGTTTCTTTAGACACGTATAGTGGGTTTTATTTTCCTTTAAATTATAATCACATTATAATCTTAGTCTTTTAATTGATGTACATAAACATGAGTGTTTAAAGTAATATAGTTGAATGAATTTTTAACATGTTGGTAATCATTCAATTTGATATATTTTTTATTTGTTTTTTGCCCATTTTCAGCTTTCTCTGCTTGAGTATTTTTAAAAATTATTTTTATTTTTTGTATGTACATAGATGTATATGTTTCTGGGATATGTGGGATATTTTGAGCAGTTTAAACAATCTTATTTGTCCCTTCTCTTGGCATATATATTAAACTTTAAAACAATGTGGTATTTTCCTGAACATTACTAATATATCCTTTTAGCTAATACAAGTCACCTGTTGAATACTATGATACTGCTTCCTGGACAATGGAACTACCTCTCAAGAGTATTCTTAATTCCACCCTCCCATTACTTATGTAATTACTGCTATGTGTTTATTTTTATTTGCATATATGCTATAGTCTCTTAATACTTATAATACTCTTAATACTCATAATTGCTATTATGATTACTTTAAATTTCTATCTGTTTAGTCATAGGCAGAAGATTGAAACTATACTACTTCCTTACCCCATACACAAAAATCAACTGTAGATGGATTAAAGACTTACATATAAGACCCAAAACTATACAAACTCTGGAAGACAACGTACTCAATACCATCCTAGACATAATAATTGGCAAAGATTTTATGACAAAGATGCCAAAATACATCTCAACAAAAACAAAAGTCGACAACTGGAATCTAATTAAGCTGAAGAGCTTCTGTACAGCAAAAGAATCTATCAACAAAGCAAACAGACAACTTACAGAATGGGAAGAAATTTTTGCAAAATATGCATATGACAAAGGTCTAATATCCAGCAGCTATAAAGAACTTAGACAAATTTACAAGAAAAAAACAAACAACCCCATTAAAAAGTAGACATGAACACATGTTTTTCAAAAGAAGACATACATGTAGCTGGCAAGCATATGAAAAAAAGCTCAGTATCCCTGATGGTTAGAAAAATGCAAAACAAAATGACAATGAGATACTATCTCACACCAGTCAGAATGGCTATTATTAAAAAGTCAAAAAATAACATATGCTGGTCACGTTGCAAAGGAACATTTATACACTGTTGGTGAAACAGTAAATTAATTCAATGACGGTGGAAAGCAGTATGGTGATTCCTCAAAGAGCTAAAAACAGAACTACCATTCCATTTGGCAATCCCATTACAGGGTATATACCCAGAGGAATATAAATCATTCTACCATAAAGATATATGCACACAAATATTCACTGAAGCACTGTAGACAATAGCAAAGACATGGAATCAACCTAAATGCCCACAAATAACAGACTGGATAAAGAAAATGTGGTATATATACACCATGGAATACTATGCAGTCATAAAAACCAATGAGATGTCTTTTGTGGGAATGTGGGTGAAGCTGGAGGTTATTGTCCTTAGAAAACTAACGCAGGAAAAGAAAACCAAGTAACACATTTTCTCACTTATAAGCAGGAGCTAAATGATGAGAACACATGGGCACAAGAAAAGAACAACAGGCCCTGAGGCCTACTTCAAATTGGAGGGTGGGAAGAGGAAGAGGAGCAAAATAAATAACTATAGGTTACTGGACTTAGTACCTGGATGATGAAATCATCAATACAACAAATCCCATGACACAAATTTACCTATATAGCAAACCTACACATGTATCCCTAAACCTAAAATAAAAGCTTATAAAAGAAGACTAGGACTTAATTTTTTAACCATCTTTATTCCATCTCTAACACTCTCCCTTTATTGATGGAGATCCCAGCTACTGCATTATATATTCGGCACCATATTTTTCTCCCTATAGGGCCTCTTTTAACATCTCTTGCAGGGCAAGTCTCTGGCATTGAAATTCCTCAGCTTTGTCTGTCTGAAATATATTTTATTTTGCTTCACTTAAGAAAGATTATTTAACTTGATCTAGAATTTTAAGTAGGTGTGAACTTTTTCCTTTCCATATTTTAAATATTTCACTTTTCTCTCTTTTTGCTTGCATAGTTTCTAATGAGAATTCTGCTGCAATTTATTTCTTATCCTATTTGGGAGAGAGAGAAGGAGAGAGAGAGAGAGAGAGAGAGAACTCTGGCCTATTTTAACGTTCTGTGTCTGCACAATTTGCACTTTGATAATAATTTGTCTAAGTTTTTGTTTATTTGCTTGTTTTGCTTCATTTTGGATATTTGATCCTGTTTGTTATTTTCCGAGCTTCTTGTATCTGTAGTTTGGTATCTGTCATTAATTTTAAAACAATCTCAGTCATTATTGCTTCAAAAATTTTTACTGATTCTGTTCTCTTTTCTCTTTCTGATAAAACAATTGTGCATTCACTGTACTTTCTGAGACTTTACCTTGTGTCTTGGGTGTTCTGTGTCCTATTTTTGATTTTTATGATTTTCTCCTTTTTTGTATTTCAACTTGAGAAGTTTCTATTGAGTTGTCTTCCAGTTCATTGACTATGTAGTCTCCTAATGAGCCCATCAAAGCCATTCTTCATTCTGGTTACATGTTCTTGATACTTAGTGTTTTCTTTTGATTCTCTAAGGAGTTACATCTCTGCTCTTACATTACCCATCTGTTCTTGCATGTTGCCTACTTTTGCCATTAGAAACACTGACACAGTAACCATAACATTTTAGATTTCCTCTCTGGTAATTTCTTCTGTGGTATATGTGAGTCTGGTTTTATCCTTCAGCCTGTGTTGTTATTATTATTATTATTATTATTAGTCTTTTAGCACTCTTTACAATTTTTTTCTGAGAGCTGAATAAGTTGTATCAGGTAATAGGAATTGAAGTAAATAGTCCTTTAGTGTGAGTATTCAGGTAAATCTGTCCAGTAGTGATGCTGTGTCACTATATTTCTGTTTCTCTCTTATCTGTCTATCTATCTATCTATCTATCTATCTATCTATCTATCTATCTACCTATCTTCTATCTACCTATTATCTATCATCTACCTATTAGATATATCTGTCTATCCATATCATCTATCCTCTGCCTATCATTTATTATGTATTTGTCTATTATCTATCTATCTATCTATCTATCTATCTATCTATCTATCTATGTCAGAGGTGTCAGATTCCTCTGGTATTCTTGTGCTTGCTACTGTCTTGACTTTCCTAGATAATTCTTCTTGGAAAGAGTTTGGCAATTTGGGCTCTTTCTGCTGAAGTTCACTGTTACTAAAGTGGAGCCCTTTTACTGTGGTGATCAGGGTAGAGGAAAAAAGAAATCCATAATCTTAATATTAAATTTCAGTTGTTTTTTTGTGGGGAGGACTATAGTTCTGAGCTGAGAACTTTAAAAATGTTTCTCCAGTGATAAGCATTTATATTCTCCTTTTTTGTGAGGCAGGAAGATTAAAGGTTGTCTAAGATGTGAAGCATGATTTTCTTCTAGTTGGATTAAAGCTGAGTAAAGCCATTTTCCCTAAAGCAGGAGGTAACTTGATTATTTTTTACAGTGCTTTCATTTCTCAGCCCCTTGAAGAGCCACAAGGAATCTGTTTGGAATCTTCATAATGAAAACTTGGTGGAGTTTCTGGAGGTAAGGTCCATTAGAGTTACGGCTCCCCTAAAGAGAGTTGACTCCAGAAGTTCCTTACTCTCATGCTATTCCAGTCAGCCTCTAGTAATTGCGCAAACTT
The DNA here is from genome assembly GCF_000001405.40 of Homo sapiens. NCBI lineage: Eukaryota > Metazoa > Chordata > Mammalia > Primates > Hominidae > Homo > Homo sapiens. The sequence continues at coordinate 18,889,578 of NC_000024.10, forward strand.
CCCATGGACATGTTTCCCTACCAATTAAGGATTATGTGTCTTCTGCTCCAGGTGAGCTGACCTCGGCTGTGCATCTCTGTATTCACCTGTCTCTCCAGTTTTCTGAATGGCATCTTTCTGTGCCATTAGTTCTCTGAAGGTTCTAAGCAGACTTGCTGATTTTACTTTGCTCAGCATTTTTATTCTGACAAAACAGAGTGTCAGCTTCTAAGCTCTCTACCTGTCATAGCTAAAACCAAGTTGTATTTACTATGTTAGTTTTCAAGAGGTCACAATGTCAGCCTCAGTGATCATGGGACTTCTGGAAGTCACATAAAGGGGGCTGAGGGCTGAGGTGAGACCTGGTCTTAACAGGGCAGAGACCAGAAATGGAAGTCACAGAGAGGGAACTGGAGAGCAACATGCCATCTGGGATTCACAAGGAGAATTCATGGGCAGAAACTGAGAGTTGAAGTCCCATCTCCACCTTCGTGGAGAAAGGTCACAGTTCCAGGTCATAAGTCAGGCATTGGTGACACAGGTCATGGATGGAGATCACAGGTCAAAGTTGAGGAGCATATTTCAAGCTTAAGGAATTATTCACACATCAAATACGAGGAGCAGTGTCCCATCTGAGTTCACAGAATGGAGCCTGGATTTTATAGGTCAGAAATTACCCTCAGAGTACACATTTAAGGGTCACAGAGTGGTAATCATGGATAGAGTAACAAGTAAGAGTTACAGAGTAGGGATCTGAGATGGAAGACCAATCTGAGGTTCACAGGTCAGAGTTCAGAAGAAAGAAGACCAAACTGGAGTCACAGGTCAGAGTTTAGCAGATGAGGGAGGAGTGCATCTTGGGTTCAAAGGTCAGAGTTCAGGGCCAAAGATCACAACTGCAAGTTAGAGCAAGAAATGCTTGGCTTCTTGGTAAGGAGACAACTGATGCAGAGAGTTGCTGGGGCCATACCAGTGCTCAACTCTCCCTATGTGCATTTGCTCATTGACGTCCTGGCTCAAACATGCAAATTATGTGCAGTCACTGTAGATGCCACCCAAATCCTCAAATTCTGCTAAACTTCTGGAAAATCAAGTCAGATGAGTGGGTCTGACATTTCCGGCAGTGGGGGGGGTGGGTAGCAGAATATTCAAATCAGAAAATTATCTTTATTTTAAAGATGTATCAATTAATTTGTAGTTAATCTTCAGATATTAGCATTTTGAACAAATTTTGAGCTGATTAGCTCATTTTAAAACACAGACTTTTTTTTTCTTTCCTTTCCTTTTCTTCTCTTTTATTTCTGTTGTGTCCAGCTAGTGTCTGCTTTGTATTGTTTTGTTTTGTTTTTGTCCCAGGGATCTATGAGGAAGAATTGCCTATGTCATCAATAGGAAGCACTGAGGACTCCACAAAACTCCCGGTTCTCAGGTTTGCTACAGAGGGAGCAGAAGGCCACTGGGATGTTGGGTTCATATACGTGAAATCATAAGGTGCCAGTTCCCTAGGTTCCAAAACCCAGTCTAAGATCGAAGCGTGCTTGCACGTGATCTGAGAAGGCAATGCTAAGAGAAAATTCTTAAGTACAATACTGTTGAGTTTTACAATAGCAAAGAAAACGAAAGAGCTTGAGACTTAGCAAGTGTGTAGTGATGTGAAGTAAAAGGAGAGAACCTTGCTGCAAACACAGTTTTGTGGACAGTTATGTAAAGGAGTTGCCCGACACTGTCCTACACAGAGAAACTCTTTGTCTGGGAGCTTACAGGAGGTTGTAAATCGCATATCAAGAGGGCAAGAGGAAAGACTTCAAGGATGAAACCTTTTCTAGCACTGAGATTATCTAGGGATGAGAGTGCATACTTCTCTGAGAATTTATTCTATTTTTGGTCAAATGCATACATTGTTAAAGGAACCATGATAGACTTAAACACTGGCTATATGAAACTTGCACCATTATAAAGGCTCTCCTGATATCTGAATAAATATTGATATGTTTTTTGAAAAAGAACTTATAGTATAGCAAAATAAAATAACTAAAGGAAAATGCATAACCTCTAGCTGTTGTAAAGAATTAATTGGAACATTCATTGCTAACACAGAGGTTGCATATTTCTTGGATAAGATAAATTTCATAAAAGTTACTAAGTCCAAACACAGGCCACCAAGAGCTAAAATATGGTCTGAAAACTAAATAAGCTCTACCAAAAATCCTGACTTATTTTTCTACTACTGTGGCAGAATTGGCTCCTTTAAAATCTCAATTTTTAACAGAATTTGTTTATTGCATGGGAGTGGTTAACAGTGTCAATGTTGAGCTGACTTCACATTAACGTGCAGTTCAGATACATGGAGTTTTTAATTTGCTATTATATAATGTAAGATTTCTTGAATCTGAAATGTATACTGTAAATATGCTGAGGTGCATTATAAACTAGAGTTTGGTTAGATGAGAACATATGTGTTTACATAGACTTTTAAAACCCTCTTTTTATGTTATTTTTAAGCTCATCAGTTACTTAACATTCATAGATGCAATGGTATTTAAGTATTACTATGGATGTTTCATTTCTACTTGTAATTATTTGGGCTTCTAGACCATAACTTTTAGTTTATGCTCAAAGTTTTCCATGAATCAGCATAAAATATTCCTCTCCCAGCCTTAAGTGGTGGCTCATGCCTGTAATCCCAGCACTTTGCGAGGCCAAGGTGGGAGGAACGCTTGAGGTGGGGAGTTTGACACAAGACTGACCAACAAGGAGAAACCTCGTCTCTGCTAAAAATACAAAAAATTAGCTGGGCATGGTGCTGCATGCCTGTAATCCCAGCTACTCGAGAGGCTGAGGCAGAAGAATTGCTTGAACTGGGGAAGCAGAGGTTGCAGTGAGCTGAGATCGTGCCACTGCACTCCAGCCTGGGCAAGAAGAGTGAAACTCTATCTCAAAAAAAAAAAAAAAAAATTCCTCTTCCTCTAAGAAAAAAATGATTTTAAATTCCATTTATCTTATTTTAAATGCTAAGTCCATTTTTTATGACAGATTTATCTGGGAAATCATGTGTTTTTGTGTGTGTGTGTGTATATGTATACTATAAAACATATGTATGTAATAGTATAACACATGTGATTATATTATACAATATGTATACATCGTATATATTTATGTAATACATATGTATATAATATATAAATATATAAAACACTTGACATTAAACGTTTATTATAGATAATGTATTAAAACCTAACATTATATATTTTATTAATTTATTATGTATAACATATATAGCTTATATATGTAATGAATTATATATTATGTATTATAGTTTATATACATAATATTTAATGTATCATATATTATATAGTTTCTATATTATATAATGTATTATATAGTATAGTATATATAATATACAATATTAAAATTTATATATAAAAATTTGCATATGAAAACATATAAACATATGTAAATATATATTAAATAATACATTATATGTTATATATTTAATATATTATATGTAATTTAAATTATGCATTAAATTTTAATATAATATATAATATATACTCAAATACATAATTGAATGTGATTACTTTATGTGTAAATATATAAATATATATTAGTATTTATGTGACATAAGAATATGTATTCTACATAAACGTGTATGTTTATGTAATGTAAAATATGTATTCTATGTAAATATGTATATATTTATGTAATATAAAAATATGCATTCTATATAAATATGTGTATATTTATGTAATATAAAATTTGCACCATATATTTATGTAATACATACATGTATTATACAGTTACGTAGCACATATACATATATTATATATGTTTATATAACACAAAGTATATATTATGTGTTATCTGTATGTATCTATAATGTATTTATTATACGTGTAATATATGTAGTGCACAAATATATACATGTATAATACATATAGTATGTTTATTATAAATACATATGTATTACAGATAGATTACACATGTACATGTGTTGTATAAGTATATAACAAACATAATATACATTACATATTCATGTATTTACATGAAAATATGTGAGCAACACATATATAAATATGTGTTAATATGTATATTATATGTAACATGTATAATATGTATACATGTTTTTAAAATACATATATGTATTATAATCATTTATAACATACACATGTATATATTTTGTATATACACACATCATATATATGTGCATATTTACATACATGCATTTTATTCATTCTCAAATGTTCTACATGTTTGCTAAAACTTGCCTTTTACAAATGACATACATCTGAATATAATTTTTTAATTCCAATTAGAAAATCATAAGTATTAATAAAAATGGGGAGGGGAGGAGCCAAGATGGCCGAATAGGAACAGCTCCGGTCTACAGGTCCCAGTGTGAGCGACGCAGAAGACGAGTGATTTCTGCATTTCCATTTGAGGTACCGGGTTCATCTCACTAGGGAGTGCCAGACAGTGGGTGCAGGTCAGTGGGTGCGCGCACCGTGCACGAGCCGAAGCAGGGCGAGGCATTGCGTCACTCGGGAAGTGCAAGGGGTCAGGGAGTTCCCTTTCCTAGTCAAAGAAAGGGGTGACAGATGGCACCTGGAAAATCCGGTCACTCCCACCCGAATACTGCGCTTTTCTGACGGGCTTAAAAAACAGAGCACCAGGAGATTATATCCCGCACCTGGCTCGGAGGGTCCTATGCCCACGGAGTCTGGCTGATTGCTAGCACAGCAGTCTGAGATCAAACTGCAAGGTGGCAGTGAGGCTGGGGGAGGGGTGCCCGCCACTGCCCAGGCTTGCTTAGGTAAACAAAGCAGCCAGGAAGCTCGAACTGGGTGGAGCCCACCACAGCTCAAGGAGGCCTGCCTGTCTCTGTAAGCTCCACCTCTGGGCGCAGGGCACGGACAAACAAAAAGAAAGCAATAACCTCTGCAGACTTAAATGTCCCCGTCTGACAGCTTTGAAGAGAGCAGTGGCCCTCTCAGCATGCAGCTGGAGATCTGAGAACAGGCACACTGCCTCCTCAAGTGGGTCCCTGACCCCTGACCCCTGAGCAGCCTAACTGGGAGGCACCCCCTAGCAGGGGCAGACTGACACCTCACATGGCCGGTTACTCCAACACACCTGCAGCTGAGGGTCCTGTCTGTTAGAAGGAAAACTAACAAACAGAAAGGACATCCATACCAAAAACCCATCTGTACATCACCATCATCAAAGACCAAAAGTAGATAAAACCACAAAGATGGGGAAAAAACAGAGCAGAAAAACTGCAAACTCTAAAAAGCAGAGCACCTCTCCTCATCTAAAGGAACGCAGTTCCTCACCAGCAACGGAACAAAGCAGGTTGGAGAATGACTTTGACGAGCTGAGAGAAGGCTTCACATGATCAAATTACTCTGAGCTATGGGAGGACATTCAAACCAAAGGCAAAGAAGTTGAAAACTTTGAAGAAAATTTCGAAGAATGTATAACTAGAATAACCAATACAGAGAAGTGCTTAAAGGAGCTGATGGAGCTGAAAACCAAGGCTCGAGAACTACATGAAGAATGCAGAAGCCTCAGGAGCCGATGTGATCAACTGGAAGAAAGGGTATCAGCCATGGAAGATGAAATGAAGTGAGAAGCGAAGTTTAGAGAAAAAAGAATAAAAAGAAACGAGCAAAGCCTTCAGGAAATATGGGACTATGTGAAAAGACCAAATCTACGTCTGATTGGTGTACCTGAAAGTGACAGGGAGAATGGAACCAAGTTGGAAAACACTCCGCAGGATATTATCCAGGAGAATTTCCCCAATCTAGCAAGGCAGGCCAACATTCAGATTCAGGAAATACAGAGAACGCCACAAAGATACTCCTCGAGAAGAGCAACTCCAAGACACATAATTGGCAGATTCACCAAAGTTGAAATGAAGGAAAAAATGTTAAGGGCAGCCAGAGAGAAAGGTCGGGTTACCCTCAAAGGGAAGCCCATCAGACTAATAGCGGATTTCTCGGCAGAAACTCTGCAAGCCAGAAGAGAGTGGGGGCGAATATTCAACATTCTTAAATAAAAGAATTTCCAACCCAGTATTTCATATCCAGCCAAACTAAGCTTCATAAGTGAAGGAGAAATAAAATACTATACAGACAAGCAAATGCTGAGAGATTTTGTCACCACCAGGCCTGCCCTAAAAGAGCTCCTGAAGGAAGCACTAAACATGGAAAGGAAAAACTGGTACCAGCTGCTACAAAACCATGCTAAAATGTAAGGACCATCGAGACTAGGAAGAAACTGCATCAACTAATGAGCAAAATAACCAGCTAACATCATAATGGCAGCATCAAATTCACACATAACAATATTAAGTTTAAATGTAAATGGACTAAATGCTCCAATTAAAAGACACAGACTGGCAAATTGGATAAAGAGTCAAGACCCATCAGTGTGCTGTATTCAGGAAACCCATCTCACGTGCAGAGACACACATAGGCTCAAAACAAAGGGATGGAGGAAGATCTACCAAGCAAATGGAAAACAAAAAAGTCAGGGGTTGCAATCCTAGTCTCTGATAAAACAGACTTTAAACCAACAAAGATCAAAAGAGACAAAGAAGGCCATTACATAATGGTAAAGGGATCAATTCAGCAAGAAGAGATAACTATCCTAAATATACATGCACCAAATACAGGAGCACCCAGATTCATAAAGCAAGTCCTGAGTGACCTAAAAAGAGACTTAGATGCCCACACATTAGTAATGGGAGACTTTAACACCCCACTGTCAACATTAGACAGATCAACGAGACAGAAAGTCAAGAAGAATACCCAGGAATTGAACTCAGCTCTGCACCAAGCAGACCTAATAGACATCTACAGAACTCTACACCCCAAAGCAACAGAATATACATTTTTTTGAGCACCACATCACACCTATTCCAAAATTGACCACATACTTGGAAGTAAAGCTCTCCTCAGCAAATGTAAAAGAACAGAAATTATAACAAACTATCTCTCAGACCACAGTGCAATCAAACGAGAAATCAAGAATACGAATCTCACTCAAAACCACTCAACTACATGGAAACCGAACAACCTGCTCCTGAATGACTACCGGGTACATAATGAAATGAAGGCAGAAATAAAGATATTCTTTGAAACCAACGAGAACAAAGACACAACAACATACCAGAATCTCTGGGACGCATTCGAAGCAGTGTGTAGAGGGAAATTTATAGCACTAAATTCCCACAAGAGAACGCAGGAAAGATCCAAAATCGACAGCCTAACATCACAATTAAAAGAACTAGAAAAGCAAGAGCAAACACATTCAAAAGCTAGCAGAAGGCAAGAAATATCTAAAATCAGAGCAGAACTGAAGGAAATAGAGATACAAAAAACCCTTCAAAAAATTAATGAATCCAGGAGCTGGTTTTTTGAAAGGATCAACAAAATTGATAGACCGCTAGCAAGACTAAGAAAGAAAAAAAAGAGAGAAGAATCAAATAGACGCAATAAAAAATGATAAAGTGGATATCACCACCGATCCCACAGAAATACAAACTACCATCAGAGAATACTACAAACACTTCTACGCAAATAAACTAGAAAATCTAGAAGAAATGGATAAATTCCTCGACACATACGCTCTCCCAAGACTAAACCAGGAAGAAGTTGAATCTCTGAATAGACCAATAACAGGATCTGAAATTGTGGCAATAATCAATAGCTTACCAACCAAAAACAGTCCAGGACCAGATGGATTCACAGCCGAATTCTACCAGAGGTACAAGGAGGAACTGGTATCATTCCTTCTGAAACTATTCCAATCAATAGAAAAAGAGGGAATCCTCCCTAACCCATTTTATGAGGCCAGCATCATGCTGATACCAAAGCCGGGCAGAGACACAACCAAAAAATAGAATTTTAGACCAATATCCTTGATGAACATTGATGCAAAAATCCTCAATAAAATACTGGCAAACCGAATCCACAGCACATCAAAAAGCTTATCCACCATGATCAAGTGGGCTTCATCTCTGGGATGCAAGGCTGGTTGAATATATGCAAATCAATAAATGTAATCCAGCATATAAACAGAATCAAAGACAAAAACCACATGATTATCTCAATAGATGCAGAAAAGGCCTTTGACAAAATTCAAGAACCCTTCATGCTAAAAACTCTCAATAAATTTGGTATTGATGGGACGTATTTCAAAATAATAAGAGCTATCTATGACAAACCCACAGCCAATATCATACTGAATGGGCAAAAACTGGAAGCATTCCCTTTGAAAACTGGCACAAGACAGGGATGCCCTCTCTCACCACTCCTATTCAACAGAGTGTTGGAAGTTCTGGCCAGGGCAATTAGGCAGGAGAAGGAAATAAAAGGTATTCAATTAGGAAAAGAGGAAGTCAAATTGTCCCTGTTTGGAGACGACATGATAGTATATGTAGAAAACCGCATTGTCTCAGCCCAAAATCTCCTTAAGCTGATAAGCAACTTCAGCAACGTCTCAGGATACAAAATCAATGTACAAAAATCACAAGCATTCTTATACACCAATAACAGACAAGCAGAGAGCCAAATCATGAGTGAACTCCAATTCACAATTGCTTCAAAGAGAATAAAATACCTAGGAATCCAACTTACAAGGGATATGAGGGACCTCTTCAAGGAGAACTACAAATCACTGCTCAAGGAAATAAAAGAGGATACAAACAAATGGAAGAATATTCCATGCTCATTGGTAGGAATAATCAATATCGTGAAAATGGCCATACTGCCCAAGGTAATTTACAGATTCAATGCCATCCCCATCAAGCTACCAATGACTTTCTTCACAGAATTGGAAAAAACTACTTTAAAGTTCATATGGAACCAAAAAAAAAAAGCCCGCATTGCCAAGTCAATCCTAAGCCTTTTGGCTTTTGAACAAAGCTGGAGCATCACACTACCTGACTTCAAACTATACTACAAGGCTACAGGAACCAAAACAGCATGGTACTGGTACCAAAACAGAGATATAGATCAATGGAACAGAACAGAGCCCTCAGAAATAATGCCGCATATCTACAACTATCTGATCTTTGACAAACCTGACGAAAACAAGCAATGGGGAAAGGATTCCCTGTTTAATAAATAGTACTGGGAAAACTGGCTGGCCATACATAGAAAGCTGAAACTGCATCCCTTCCTTACACCTTATACAAAAATCAATTCAAGATGGATTAAAGACTTAAACGTTAGACCTAAAACCATAAAAACCCTAGAAGAAAACCTAGGCATTACCATTCAGGACATAGGCATGGGCAAGGACTTCATGTCTAAAACACCAAAATCAATGGCAACAAAAGCCAAAATTGACAAACGGGATCTAATTAAACTAAAGAGCTTCTGCACAGCAAAATAAACTACCATCAGAGTGAACAGGTAACCTACAAAATGGGAGAAAATTTTCACAACCTACTCATCTGACAAAGGGCTAATATCCAGAATCTACAATGAACTCAAACCAATTTACAAGAAAAAAACAAACAACCCCATCAAAAAGTGGGCAAAGGACATGAACAGACACTTCTCAAAAGAAGACATTTATGCAGCCAAAAAACACATGAAAAAATGCTCATCATCACTGGCCATCAGAGAAATGCAAATCAAAACCACAATGAGTTACCATCTCACACCAGTTAGAATGGCAATCATTAAAAAGTCAGGAAACAAGAGGTGCTGGAGAAGATGTGGAGAAATAGGAACACTTTTACACTGTTGGTGGGACTGTAAACTAGTTCAACCATTGTGGAAGTCAGTGTGGCGATTTCTCAGGGATCTAGAACTAGAAATACCATTTGACCCAGCCATCCCATTACTGGGTATATACCCAAAGGACTATAAATCATGCTGCTATAAAGACACACACACACGTATGTTTATTGTGGCATTATTCACAATAGCAAAGACTTGGAACCAACCCAAATGTCCAACAGTGATAGATTGGATTAAGAAAATGTGGCACATATACACCATGGAATACTATGCAGCCATAAAAAATGATGAGTTCATGTCCTTTGTAGGGACATGGATGAAATTGGAAATCATCATTCTCAGTAAACTATTGCAAGAATAAAAAAAACAAACACCTCATATTCTCATTCATAGGTGGGAATTGAACAATGAGAACACATGGACAGAGGAAGGGGAATATCACACTCTGGGGACTGTTGTGGGGTGTGGGGAGGGGGGAGGGATAGCATTGGGAGATATACCTAATGCTAGATGACCTAATGTTAGTGGGTGCAGTGCACCAGCATGGCACTTGTATACATATGTAACTAACCTGCACATTGTGCACATATACCCTAAAACTTAAAGTATAATAATAATAAATAAATATAAATATAAAAATAAAAACTAAGCATACATTAAAATTGAAAACATCTCTTTAGTAAAAAGTTATATTCAGTGGAAAGACATGCTGTTTTTATTGCGGCAGTAGAAATTGAAAGCCTACATGTCTGATAAAAGTTATGTCCAAAGTGTGCAAACAGAGTAAGAAGATTCTCATATATTTTTTATGGTGAGACCCTCTCTAAAATCACAATTATTGCATTTGGTTAGATCTTATGTTTACACAAAATCTACAAAAATCTGTGTAATAAATATACATATATTTATATATGTATATTTTAAAAATTAAATTTAGCAAGAAGACGTGACTTACCAGTTCCTGAATAGTCATCGTTATATAACTTATTGGTCTCCAGACTTCTGCCACCAATTCACCACATTAGGAAGACCTTTACAATATCTAACCTGATTTTTGATCCAAATTGAATGCCTTTGAATTTTATTGTTTTATTAAATAAGTAAAATTTCATAATCAAGAATTACATCCAGGCAATATTCTATAACCTCAGAGGCAGGTGCTGCACCAGTGCTTGAGATGGAGGTGGGCTCCATGGTGTTCATTTATGATTCTGCATTTTAGTGTTCATGGGCATGGGTTGAATGGTAGCCTCCTAAAACATATGCTCATGTCCGAATGCTTGGAAACTGTGAATGTGACCTTAGTTGAAAGGAAGGTCTGTGCAGATGTAATCCATTTAAGGATGGGAAAATTAGATTATTCTAAATTGTTTGCATGGGCACTAATTGCAATGACAAGTCTCCTTATAAGAGACAGAGGAAGAGGAGACACAGACACTGAGGAGAAGAGCACATGAAGGTGAAGGCAGAGGCTGGAGTGAAGCAGCCAGAAGCCCTTGACTCCTGCAGCCACCAGGAGCTGGCAGGAAGGATCCTCTCCTAGAGCCTGCGGAGGGAACACATGTATATGTGTGTGTGTGTGTGTGTGTGTGTGTGTGTGTGTATGTGTTTGTATCATATATATGTATATGTGTATATATACATATGTATGCTTGCATGTATACATATGTATGCATATAAACATATATATGTATATTTTTCACATTAATTTTTAAAATGTTGAACTTACATGTTACTGAATAAAAGTCCCTCTTGTATAACTAGCTGGTCTCCATACTCCTAGCACTAAGATACTGTGCCATAGCTAGGAAAAACTTTGTGATAGCCATCCTAATACTTGGCCAAAATTCAATGCTTTTAAATGTATTATTCTATTAATTCAATATAGTTTAAAGAACCGTAAATACATCCAGGCAATTTTCTATCTGTTAGAAATACAGTTGATAAGATAGATTGAGAAAGACACCCACATTTATGAAAATTATCTTTGCGACTAGACACAGATTACAGAAAACCAGGTATCTAGTATTTTAGAATACTAGATAAGTAATATTACACATATTGACAATACAATAAAGTTATCTAGTATTTTAGAAGGTGTGGAGAGCTATGCAAAAATAACAAAGATACAGCAGCATGAGGGTGATCACAACATAAAAGGTGGGGCGGGGTGTCCAATTTTCAGAAGAGCGATTAGGGCAGGTCTCATTGAAAGTGGGATGTTTGAGCAAAGATTTAGGAAGAGGTGAGAAAGTTCAGTAAGGTTCTATTTGAGAGGGATGGTAATATTTCAGGAAAAAGAATTAATAGCTAAGGCAAAGCCCAGATAGAAAAGCCTTACAGGGATATTTGAACAGAAACCTGGGGGCCAGTGTGGCTAAGAGGAGAGAAGTTCATAGATGAAAGGGGGCAGGAGTATCAGACCTATGGTGCTGCTGAGCACTTAGGTTTTTATTCTAAAGGCTATATGAGTTATTGTGGCATTCTGAGAAAGGAATGATGCATACAACCTCATGTTTTCTGAAAGATAAGCCTGACTGCTGTGTTGAGACAAGGACACGGCACACGAGAAGCAGATAGGTCTGTTAAGAGGTTGTTGAGTTAAACAAAACAAAACAAAACAAAACAAAAACTGGGAAATGATGGATGGGTCTGCCAAGGTAGACCAACAGAAGTGCCTTTAGTGTGTGGAGCACACAATGCCATGAGCAAAAGAGAGAAATTAACAAAGAGAGGAAAGGCTGGCACGGTGGCTCACTCCTGTAATCCCAGCACTTTGGGAAGCTGAGGAGGGCGGATCACTTGAGGTCAGGAGTAAGAGAACATCCTGGCCAACATGGCAAAACCTAGTCTCTTCTAAACCTAGTGTCTATGATTTTTAGTCTACTAAAACTACAGAATTACTTGGGCATGGTAGTGTGTGCCTGTAGTACTTGGGATGCTGAGGCAGGACAGTTGCTTGAACCCAGAACGCAGAGGTTGCAGTGAGCCAAGATAGCGCCGTTGTACTCCAGCCCAGGTGACAGAGTGAGACTCTGTCTCAAAAGCAAAAAAACACCAACAAAAATAAAGGAATGAACACAGACGCCAAAGATTTTGTCTGAGCAACTGAAACAATGGAATGAGGAAGGAAGTAAATTGAGCAGGGCTGTAGGTGAGTTAGAGTATGATTTTTGACCTGTTGAGGGTAGGATGTACAAGAGACCAGGAAATGGAGATTTTAAGGAGACAGTTGGGTGCAGAGCCTGGGATCAGAAGAGAATTCTAAGCTGGAATTGTAAGTGTGGGGAAAATAAACTATGCCAATGTGATTTAAAGTCATGATAGTTGGTGAGATCCCTAAGGACAGGAACATAGTAAAGAAGAGGAGCAGTACTGACTTAGAGAACTCAAGCATGAACGGGTCCAGTGAACAGGAAAGGCCAAGACAAGGGGATAAAAGAAAGCAAACATGAAGAAGAACAGAAGTCAAGGTTAGGAAATCCTGACGAACACAAGGGTGTTGCTGTAGGGAATAAATATACATCGAGTTCTAATTGACCAGGTAAGATAATAAGCATTGAACAGTGGACTTAGCAACACAGCACTAATTGCCAACATCTGGGAAATGTCATTGGAAGATGGTTTCTCATTTTCCCTTCTCTAAGATTCCAGGATTTTATTTATTTATTTATTTGATTAAACTCCAGGGAGGGGGAAAAAGAAAAAAAAAGAGAAATAGGAAAACAATAAAAGGGAAGACGAGAAAAGGAACAAGGTCAGAATCAGAAGAATGTAATATTTGTTCCATTCCTTGATAAATCTGGCCAAGTAGAGGAGTATGTTAGCACTCACTAAGTACTTACTGAATCAATACAAAAAAGACAAATTTGATAATGGTAATAAACGTAAGGTATGGTGAGGTAGAGAATTTTGTTCCTGAAGTTTCAGTCATGTGTAATAAAAAAGTATTCCAACATTTATGATTGCAGTCATGAAAAGAATGTATTCTGAGATTTATGTTCGCAGTTGTGAAATAAGTTTCAGCACGTATACCTGAAGGTCAAAAGGCATTTGTAAGTCTGTTGAATGCATTTAAATTTGATTTTAATCCTTTGTCTCAGATGAATGCAAAAAGAGAGCTTTTAAATGTAGTACATTAAAGGGGAATGGACTTATCTTTTCCTCTTGCTACACCTAAAGGAACAGATTGCAGCTCCTGGTGGTAGACAAATAGTGCTCTTGAGAAATGCTGCCTGCAGATTTAAGAACATTAAGACAAAGGTAATATGGCAATAATACCAGTTACAACAAGGTGTCTAGTAAATTTTGCACTCACATTGTGACTAAAGATTTCCAGTCTCATGTTAAAATATGCATGGACATTCACTAAGGAGCAGAGAGGTCATAAATTATTCGTATTATTGCACAGGAGTAAATGTGCCTAACAGATGGAAAACTAAGTACCAAAAGATTAAGGATACAAAGCCACACAGCAGGAAAGCAAGTGTCAGGACTAAAATTGAGGTCTCCTTACTGCCCCTTCACCTGCAGCTTGCTACAACTTTATTTTTATAGCTAAACTAGGCTGCAGAGGACATGAATGAGTGAAAACATTTATCATATAGCATTCCAAAAGGAAAATGTTCTCTCCTTGAAGGGAAGAAAGGAAGAAAGGTAAAAGGGGATGGAGGAAGGTACAAAAAAGAAAGAGAAAGGGAAGCAAGGAAAGAGAAAGAAAAGAAGGGGGGGGAGAAGAAATAGAGAGAGGAAGGAAGAGAAGATTCAAGGTTTCAAAAATTCAAAGATCCAGAATTCAAGCCTCTGACATTAAATATGTTAAATCATAGTAATAATTGTCACCTCACTGTGCTACTTTTGATGAATGGAGGGAGGGAGGAGAATTAAAGAGAGGTAAGGGGGAGAAGGAAGTCAAAGAATAAAAAAGGGTGAGAGAAAAGGAAAAAAGAGAGAGAGGGAAGGAAGGAAAAAAGGAAGGAAGTAAGGGAGGGGGGGAAAGACCAGCCACCCCACAATGACTTCTGAGTAATTATTAAAGTCTTCAAAATATTGATATAATAGAAAAAAATATGAATTCCAAATTTGTTATAAATGTAAATGTTAGCGACAATAGAAACAACAACACTTTTGGCTGAAAGTGATCCCTAACTAGAGAAGGCAATCTGCCATGGAGACTCGCTGCCAGCTTCCAGCCTCCAGAGCTGTGAGCAATAAATGTCTGTTGTTTAAGCCACCCTATCTGTTTAGTTGGCAGCCTGTACTAAGACAAGACTTCAAAAGGAAAGAGAGATATAATTTTTGGAAAGGATGAATTATAATTATGTTTTTAAAGATGATATAATTAAATACATAGACAATTCAGGACAATCAAATTAACACATGAGAATTAATAAATCTAAAGCCATTTCTAAGCATTAGCAATGATTAAAAGATAAGATGGAGAAAATGAATCTACTCAAAGAAACTTTAACAATTTTATAAGGAAAAATATCAAATCTAACTAGCATAAATAAAGAGGCAAATTATATGCGCTGTTTATGACTGGATACTACAGAAAAAGGGAACAGGGAAAAGGGGAGAAAATGGAAATTTTCTACCATGTTCATACAGAGCTTTAATGAAGATCAAACACATTTCCAATTACATTTACTTTGTGACTTGGCACAGTCTATTGTGAAAAATGAAAATATGTAATATATAATATTCGATAGGTATTATAAATGTAATATGCATTTAATATAAGTGTGATGTGTTTGAGAATACACTACCAAATATCCTGAGTATTACCTTTCAAAATAGGCTATATGCATTTTTAATTGGAAAAAAATCTACCAGATAATTTATATATTAGAGTGGACCTAGGATTCAAATTCACATGTAATATGCATGTAATGTAATAAATGCAATGTATTTGATAATAATTATCAAATGTAATATATATTACATTTCAAAATAGGTAATATGTATTTTTAGAAGGAATAAAGTCTACCAAATAATTCTTGTATTATAGTGGACTTAGGATTCACATTCAGAGCACAGAAAGGAAGAGATAATTTTGAAGCTACCCCTACTGTATTACAGTAAATTACAGATGAATTTACTTTAAATAGATTGCTAAAGTAATGCTGTTTTGTGAAATTAACTTCTTGTAATAAGTAGAGCTATAGCCATCATTTCCAAATGAGTTATAGGGTGAAATTGAAAGAGTGCACTCAGAAGAAAAAAACAAGAGGAGGTTCTCAGTCATGGATGGTGTCCTTGGAGGCCAGACAGATATACACCCACACAATCTTCATCATGGCCATACACAGCCAGTAGCAAACAAAGAGAGGCAGAGTGGTATGGTGGAGAGACATTCTGGAATGAGCAGGCTGGGTATAGATTCCAGGATTCAAGCCTCTGACATTAAATCTGTTAAATCATGGTAATAATTGTCACCTCACTGTGCTACTTGTGATGAACTTTCAAGAACTAATATTTGCAAGGAAAGTGGGGTGTATGATGTCAAAAGGCCTTGTTCTAGTTGGAGTAACCTCCCTTTGACACAAATATCTCTAATAAATCAGACAGAATTCACTAAGCAGAACTAATATTTGCAAGGTCCTCAAAAGCAGTTACTTAAACGTGAAGAATATGATAAAATGTTCTTAGATGAACCCCCAATAGAGTGTATCAATGGGCTTCGTGGTGTTTTTCTAGCAGACCCAGCGGGAATATTCTTGGCAGCTGGGAGTTTTCATGCAGATGGAATGTCAAGGGATTCACGATGAAAAATGCTGCAATATCCTACTTTGTAACATTGACTGTGGATGCTAAACTGCATCCCTTATCTATATTAATAGAGTGTTGTATTATTTTTCTACATTTACAGATATCTTTCAATCAGATGCTCTTGTCCTTGTGCAAACTAAATGAAAGAACATCAAAATGAAATATACAATAGGGGCCAGGTGCGGTGGCTCACGTCCATAATCCCAGCACGTTGGGAGGCCGAGACAATAGGATCATGAGGTCAGGAGATTGAGACCATCCTGACTAACACAGTGAAACCACAGCTCTACTAAAAATACAAAAAAATTAGCTGGGCGTGGTGGCCAGTGCCTGAAGTCCCAGCTACTCCGGAGGCTGATGCAAGAGAATGGCATGAACCTGGGAGGCAGAGCTTGCAGTGAGCCCAGATGGCGCCACTGCACTCTGGCTAGGGCAGCAGAGCGAGACTCCATCTGAAAAAAAAAAAAAAAAAAAAAAAAAAAAAAAATATATATATATATATATATATATATATATATATACACACACACACAAACACACACACACACATATACACACACATATAATATATATAAAATACATATATGTATGTGTATACACATATATACACATACACATATATACATACATATATATACATACATACACACACACAATTATGAAAAGTGGATAAATGCAATTTCAGTTGACCACTGTGGACATGATGGTGCAAAGTGTCATATTATTGCATATTCTTTCTTGTCATTTTGATGCATTCTCTTGACTTATTATTATATTTTTTAGGAAATAGCAATAAGGCCCTGTTTAGGTGATAAAAATTAATCAAGTCCAGTCTAATTACAAAAATCAAAACTCTTAACAATTTTTCACTTGCCCTATGCTATAGTTTGAATATTTGTCCCCTCGAAAACTCATGTTGAAACGTAACCCCCAATGAAACAAAATGTGTTTCCATATTTTTGCTATTGTAAATAGTGCTGTGGTGAACATACATGTGCATGTATCTTTATAATGGAATGATTTATATTCCTTTGGGTATCAATAGCCAAATTGACCACATGATGCAGTTTCAATAATCTATCTTTTTGGGTGCCAAGATTTGTACAGAAACCCTCCCTGTTCTGCACTGGGAGCTGATAACCATGGACTAGAGGTCACTTACAGAGTTTTCAGCTGTGTCTCATCTATCTCAGCCTTGAGGAGGCATATATGAAGCTCCCTGATTTGATCTCATAACAAGGGAAATGTTACCAAAACACCACGGGTTTGGTTTAGATCTTGTTGCACCAGAAAGAAAGCCAATCACTGAGACAAGTATTACCAAGGAAGGCTTTTATGGGTGCTTCAGCCAAGGAGACAGGAGATAAATGTCAAATCCGTCACTGCAACCAAGTCAAACTAGTGGTTTATGTGGTAGGGAAGGAATCTACAGGAATTGGGGGAGGGCAGTAAAGAAAAGGAGTTTCAGTTCCTTGATACTACATGGGAGGCCTGAGGGTCAGTTTCCTGAGAGAAGAACTCAGATTAAACCAATGTGGGTTTCAAGCTCTGAGAAAGAAAGACACTATTTCTATGTTGATTCAAAATAATGATAATAGGCTGGGCATGGTGCCTCATGCCTGTAATACCAATATTTTGGGGGGCTGAGATGGGTGGACCACCTGAGGTCAGGAGTTCAAGACCAGCCTAGTCAACATGGTGAAACCTTGTCTCTACTGAAAATTAAAATAATTAGCCGGGAGTGGTGATGTGAGTGTGTAATCCCAGCTACTCAGTAGTCTAAGGCAGGGTAATCACTTGAAACTGGGAGTCAGGTTGCAGTGAGCCAAGACTGTGCCACTGTACTTCAGCCTGGGTGACAGAGTAACACTCTGTCTCAAAATAGATAAATGAATAATTAAAATTAAAAATTAAAAATATTAAAAACAAAATTTAAATTTAAATATTTAAAAATGTAAAAAATAGAAAGCAAAAATAAAAAATAAATACAAATAAAAATTAAAACAAAAACAATAAAATGAAAACAAATAAAAATTAATAAAATTAAAATGCATAAACATAAAAAATAATAAACATCAGTTCTATGGTGAAATTGGGCTGGTTTCAGCAAGAGGAGATGCTGAATAGAAAGATAATGGTAGGTAAGTAAGGTACTATTCACTTAATTTGTAGTGAAGAAAACATTCTCTTCATCTCTCAATTCTTCATGCTAGATGCTTGGGTCCTAACAGAAAATATATACTCCCTCCAAGGAATTCCTCATGATTGGCCTTGGACACTTCTCCATAGATACTTGACCTCCTCTCATTTAGCTTGGTGGTTATCTAATTTTCTAATACTGGAATAAGCAGTTTCACACTCCCACAGCATGTCTACCTTGGCAAAGATAAGGTAGAGTAGTTTCCACTTACTGTGTCGTCCTCAGGAAAAAATAAAGTAGTGCATCATGAATAGTTGTCATTAAAAAAATGAGGCAGTAGAAAAAGTTGTCTTCAATGTCATATCAAAACACATAAATTTTGTTTTCTTTGTATGCAAACATCTTCTCTAAGATTTTAGGAAAAGAATACTGAAAACTTCCACAAAAAATGGGTAAAGTCTAGAAATAAGTAATAAATAGAGAGATCAAGTGTGCATGATATATAAGAAATATGTGACATAATTAATCATCAAAAATGCCAAAGAAAATAAAAATAAGATGAGGTGAATTTCATAGCACAACAGGGTTACTACAGTCAATAATAATTTAATTGTACCTTTAAAAATAACTAAAAGGTGTAATTGGATTGTTGGTACTTCAAAGGATAAGTGCTGGACAGGATGGATACCTCATATACCCTGATATGATTAGTACACATTGCATGCCTGTATCAAAATATCACATATACTCCATAAATATATCCACCTACAATGTATCCACAAAAAAATAAAACAGGTGAAACAAAATTACAATGCACCTTGCTCACAATAGCAACAGAGATTGAAGAAAATGGTTGAGAGTATAATCAAAGGTAAATTCAAGAAAACTAAATGAGTTTAAAAAGAGCCTATTGATAAGATAATTGAAAAGATGTTTAAACGAGTTCCAATAGATCAAGAACAACTTTTTGTCT
The DNA here is from genome assembly GCF_000001405.40 of Homo sapiens. Lineage (NCBI taxonomy): Eukaryota > Metazoa > Chordata > Mammalia > Primates > Hominidae > Homo > Homo sapiens. Next base: position 18,909,193 of record NC_000024.10, read on the forward strand.
TTTCAAAACAGAATACCAAGTGGAACAGAAAATATATTTCAAAGAGATAGTAATGGATAGACATAAAAGCAAAACGATCTCCCAGGAAATGTGTATCCACACCTATAATCACTAAGATGCAATAAAATAAAGCTAACACAAAAATTCATGATATTTGGGTGACACACGGAATCTGGAGGTGGGAAAACTCAGATTTTTTTTTTTTTCTATAGCAGCATTGAAAACGGCAAGAAATGAGAAGATAGTTATAAAATCTCTAGGAAAAAAACATAGAGCCCGATAATCTTGTACCCTAATTGTCAGTCACTGTTAAGCTATCTATTTAAATGCAATAAATTCAAAATTTGATATACCTGGGTCTACACACACACATTTTTAAAAAGTACAAGAGAGTGTTCTTACCTAAATTAATGTTGGAGAGTAGTTCTGGCAAAAGAGGTCATGGGAAACACTGAACCAACTTAAAGGTACTATTAAGAGTGTGCAGGTCTTATTTCTGGGTTCTCTATTCTGTTTCATTGATGTGTATGTCTGTTTTTGTACCAGTACCATGTTGCTTCTGTTATGGTACCCTTGTAGTATAGTGTGAATTTAAGTAGTGTGATGTCTACAGCTTAGTTCTTTTTGCTTAAGATTGTTGTGCGTATTTCGGCTCTTTTTGATTCCATACAAATTTTAAAATATTTTTCTCTAGTTCTGAGTAAAATGTCCATGGTAGTTTCATAGCGATAGCATTGAATTTATAAATTGCTTTGGGCAGTATGACCATTTTAATGGTATTGAATCTTCCAACCTATTCATGAACATGGAATGTTTTTCTGTTTGTTTGAGTCATCTCTGACTGGGTTGAGCAGTGGTTTGTAGCTCTCCAAGAGAGATCTTTCACCATCTGAGTTAGCTGTATTCAAAGTTATTTGATTCTTTTTGTGGTAATTGCAAATGGAAGTTTGTTCCTGATTGGGCTCTTGTCTTGACTTTTGTTGATGTATAGGAATGCTAGTGATTCTTACACACTGATTTTGGGACTTGAGACTTCACTGACATTGTTTATCAGCTTAAGAAGCTTTTTGTCTAAGATTATGGGGTTTTCTAGATGTAAGATTATGTTGTCTGCAAACACAGATAGTTTGACTTCCTCTCTTGCTATTTGGATGCCCTCTTTCTCTTACCTGATTGCCTTAGCCAGGAATACCAATACTATGTTGAATTGGAGTGTGAAAGATTCCCTATTCGATAGATAGTGGTGGGATAACTGGCTAGCCATAGGCAGAAAATTGAAAAGGGACCCCTTGTTTACATCACATACAAAAATTAAATTAAGATGGATTAAAGACTTACAAGTAGAATCCAAAACTATAAAAGCCCTGGAAGACAACTTAGGCTATACCATTCAAGACACAGACAAGGCAAAGATTTCATGATGTTGACACAAAAAGGAATTGCAACAAAAGCCAACATTGACAAATGGGATCTAATTAAACTAAAGAGCTTTTGCACACCGAAATAAATTATCATTGGCATAAACAGGCAACTTACAGAATGGGAGAAAAATTGTGCAAACGATGCATCTGACAAAGGTGTAATATCCAGCCTCTATAATGAAAGTAAGCAAATTTACAAGACAAACAACTCCATAAAAAAGTGACCAAAGAACATGAACAGACACTTTTTAAAAGAAGACATATATGTGTCCAACAACCATATGAATAAAAGCTCAGCATCCCTGATCATTAAAGAAATGCAAATCAAAACCATGAGATACCATCTCACATCAGTCAGAATGGCTATTATTAAAAAGTCAAAAAATAACAGATACTGCCAAGGTTTTAGAGAAAAAGAAACACCTATACACTGTTGGTGAGAGAGTAGATTAGTTCAGCCATTGTGGAAGACAGTGCTGTGATTCCTCAAAGATCTAAAGACAGAAATACCATTCAACCCAGCAATCCCATTACTGGGTATATACCCAAATGAATATAAATCATTCTATTATAAAGACACATGCCTATGTATGGTCATTGCAGCACTATTCACAATACCAAAGACATAGAATAAACCTAAATGCCTATCAATGATAGACTGGATAAAGAAAATGTGGTACATATATGCCATGTAATTCTATGGCGCTATAAAAATAATGAGATCATGTCATTTCAGGGATATAGGTGGAGCTGGAGGCCATCATCCTTAGCAAACTAATGCAGGGACAGAAAACCAAATACCCCATGTTCTCACTTATAAGTGGGAGCTGAATGATGAGAAAACATGGATACATAGAGGTGAACAACACTCAGCAGGGACTTTTGAAGAATAGAGGGTGGGAAAAGGGAAAGGATCAGAAAAAATAACTACTGCATACTAGGCTTAATACTCGGTGTTGAAATAATCTGTACAGCAAACCCCCACAATGCAAGTTTACCTTTGTAACAAACGTGTACTTCTACCCCTGAACTTAAAAAAAAGTCAAAAAACAAAAATAAAAATACCAAAGTAAACTAATTCTAAATGATTAACGTGGAAGAAAATCCTAAAATCTTAGGGCTGCAAAGGTGAAACAAAAAGGAATTAGATGAGGCACAATATATGCTGACTGATTCATTCTTTTTTCCAAGCAAGCACTCAAAAATCTTGTTTTATCTTGTACACACACACACACACACACACATACACTCGTGCTCTTTCTCTCTCTCAAGAAATATAAAGGAGAAATAAAGGCAAATTTTACTGAACAAAATCAGGTGATAAACAGAAGTGGACAAATAATCATAAATATATCAAGCTAACTATAGTCATCAATTGTATTAAATAAATTCTTTAATAGAGGAATGCAAGACTGTCAAAAATAGTGAAAGATCTGAGATATCACCCTCATTGCAAACAGACAATTTACTCTAGCATGTTTCCATAAATGCTGATGGTAGACATGAGGTTCTGGAATCAGAGACAAAAGATATTATTACTCATGCACAGCAGGCAACATGAGCTTCCCATGTGTGTGAGTTCTCCCTGCATTCTTGCTGTCATTCTCTCTGTGATTTCTCCCTGTCATTCTGTAGAGATGACTTGGAGTATGTAGGTAAATACTGCTCATGCGGTAAGTTTGCATTACAGCTGAGGAACTTGAAGCTTAAGATATTTCCCTCTTTCGTGAGAGACTGCAAGCAAAATCGCCTACCACTTTCCTCTGGATGAGATGTTATCTTTATGATACTGAACACTTCTCCCCAGTAGATAGTCTTCCAACTGTGTTGGGAGATTCTTCCAACTATTTTGTTGTATTTCAAACATCTCTGAAAAACATTCAGAATAAAAGTTGTTGGTTCTCCTCAGGCAAGAATTCTATCTCACGAGAGACAGTGTTTACTACTAAAGCCACTTTGACTTGATTGTTTTAGACAAACTACCTGAGATGAAAGCAATTTTTAAAAATCATACAAAGTTAGGAAGAAATAACACATTAGCAATATTTGCAGTTAATAGGAATGCAAAACTGAGGAAAATATTGAATTGAACTTCTTCCTTAGACAATGGTGTTATGCAGGAATTCCGCAGGATAAATAAATGAATACATAAAAATTAAAAGCAAATTATACACACAAGCACACACACAATTTAGAAAAAAAAAGAAATAAACTACTGCAGCAAATATAAACTAAGGATGGAATTATAATTGTCCTAGGATCTCAGGAGTGAACTTATTGGAGAACACACAAAAACTTTATAAAGAATACAGTTGAGGGTTCACTTAGGCACAGATTTTTTTTTCAACCGATTGCAGATTAAAAATACATTATTCATGAGATAGGAAACCTGAGTGTACTGAGGTCCAATTTACATGTGTTCTGCAGGGCATGTTTTGGGACTTGAGTATGCATGATACTGGTGTAAGCAGGAGTCCTGGAGTCTATCTCTTTCATATTCTGAGGGTGATTATAATTCCAGTGCTACAAAGGAGGATACAGTCTACGTGGATTAAGAGAAACAAGCACTATCTTCTTGCCCAAGTTATCAATATTAGATATCAATTATCTCCAAGTTAAACTATAAGTGAATTCAATTCTACTTTTAAGATATCACTTTTTAGAAGGAAAAAAGTCAGATGTAGTAACTATTTTACAGAAAACTAAACTGGGGAGAATAGAATATTCTAAAGCAAATGGGTAATGCATGGAATTTTTCCTACCATATAATTTATGCTAGTGCTTTATTTATACCTTAGACAAATATGCAGCTCAGAGCAGAAACTGGGGACTCCAAATGCCTTTGTACAACTCTTGCAATATCTCTTACTAGACTCAAGACATACAGCAAATTCCTTAGCATCATTTTGTGTTTTCTCACCTTTTCAATTGTGACACTAAATCACTAATATTGTCAGTCTTTGTATAAATAGAAGAGGATTCATATGCAAAAGAAGGTAGTTAAAATATTGTCCTGTATGTAGTATGCATATAGCCACGAATGTGTAGGGGGTACCTAAATGTTAGCCATGGTGACATTATTGTTGGCATAATTGGAAACTGAGTAATGAGTTGGGATTAGTATATGAAGAGTTGAATAAATACTTGGAACAAATTAGTGCATCCAGGAACAGATCCCAAAATATAAAACAAGTTAGTATATGATGTAGGCGTCCATCGAATTTGAAAATTTGTAATTGCAAGTTTCCACCTTGAGGAATTCATTTCCTCTGGATTAAATATTTCAAGGTTAAAAGAAGCAGCAGAAAAAAGCTTGAAATTACTTTGCTTAAATGATCTCAGAGTGGTAAATATGATTTTAGCACTGAAATCACCTATTGTTAAAAGGTTGATATGTTGGGCTACATTTTAGTAGATTGCAAGTACTATCAATAAAAACAAAGTATACATGAAAACATTAAATATTAATGTATTTAATGTATAAAATGAATATAATATATATTTTAATATACAAATATATAAAGAATATAGAAAAAAGATAATATACATTAATCCGTTATTCACAAAAATACTATTTAATTTATAAAAAAGCTATTACTCATCACATTAGGAGAAAGGTCAATTAAAATTTAAACATTCACTTTCTGGATTGGAAAAGAGGATGTTTCGTAACACACAGCAAATTAATGAGTGGATGGAGAAACTCTCTCATAAATAGGTGATGAAAATATAGACCATTGTAACATCACTGAGGAATTTTGCCATACCTATCATGATGAAAAATGCACATATAGTTTGATTCAGGAGTTTCAGTTTTAGGAATAGGTTTAATCAGGAATGTGTAACATATTAGCATCTGGCTTTTCTCAGGGTGGTTCCTAGAAGCTCCACCCACCACCTTCCACTCATGTCTCATTGGTTAGGAAGAGGTCTAGATGGGCATGCTACTTTCTGGGAATTCTGACCAGGTAAATATTTTTATCTGGACACACTGCCTTTCTAAGCAAAATTGCTATTACATAATGATTTATTTTTATTTTCAATTTTATTGGGAAGCCTCCAAAACCAGAAAAGTTGCAGAGAGAATCTCCATAGTGGTTTCTTATATAGATATGTAAAAAGATTAAACAGCAAGATAGTAGACATTGTACAAATGAGTGTGTGTGTGTATATGCATTTGTGTACATATGTGGTGTTTTCTTGTGTGTTGTTTAAAAGGACAAAAAGATTAAACAGAAAGATAGTGAACATGTACAAATAAATGTTTGTATTTGTATTTGTGTATGTGTTTGTGTGTGTGTGTATGTATATTTTGGAAGTACAAAAAACTTGGTAATAATATTTTACTCTCATGAATAAGAGTGGAAGAAGCATATTTCATTTTATATATTGAATTTCATTGAAATTTTTACCATGTATTTATCATCTTTTAAAAATATACTCTTAAGAATATTACATTGCTATCCCCTTCAAGCTACCATTGACTTTCTTCACAGAATTAGAAAAAAAATTACTTTCAATTTCATATGGAAGCAAAAAAGAGCCCACATAGCCAACACAATCCTAACTGAAAAGAACAAAGGTGGAGGCATCACACTACCTGACTTCAAACTATACTACAAGTCTACAGTAACCAAAACAGCATGGTACTGGTACCAAAACAGAGATATAAACCAATGGAACAGAACAGGGACCTCAGAAATACCACCACACACCTGCAACCATCTGATCTTTGACAAACCTGAGACAAACAAGCAATGGGAAAGGATTCCCTATTTAATAAATGGTGTAGGGAAAACTGGCTAGCTATATGCAGAAAACTGAAACTGGACTCCTTCTTTACATCTTATACTAAAATTAACTTAAGATGGATTAAAGATATAAATGTAAGACCTAAAACCATAAAAGCCCTAGAAGAAAACCTAGTCAATACCATTCAGGACATAGGCATGGGCAAAGATTTCATGATTCCAAAAGCAATGGCAACAAAAGCCAAAATTGACAAATTGGATCTAATTAAACTAAAGAGATTTGGCACAGCAAAAGAAGCTATAATCAGAGTGAACAGGCAACCTACAGAAGGGGAGAAAATTTTTGCAATCTATCCACCTACAAACGGTTAATATCCAGAATCTACAAAAAAATTAAACAAATATACAATTAGAAAAAGCCCTATCAAAAAGTGGGCATGGGACATGAGCAGACACTTCTCAAAAGAAGACACATGTGCAGCCAACAAACATATTTAAAAAAGCTTATCATCACTGGTCATTACAGAAATGCAAATCAAACCTACAATGAGATACCATCTAATGCCAGTTATACTGGTAACCATTAAAAAGTCAGAAAACAACAGATGCTGGAGAAGATATGGAGAAACAGGAATGCCTTTACTCTGCTGGCAGGAGTGTAAATTCGTTCAAACACTGTGGAAGATAGTGTGGTGATTCCTCAAAGATATAGAACTAGAAATACCATTTGACCCTGTAATCTGGGTATATAACCAAAAGATTATAGATCATTCTACTATAAAGACACGTGCACACGTATGTTTATTGTGGCACTGCTCACAATAGCAAAGACTTGGAACCAACCCAAATGGCCATCAATGATAGACTGGACAAAGAAAATGTGGCACATACACATGATGGAACCTCTAAGTCGGGAGTTTGAGATCAGCCTGACCAACATGGAGAAACCCCATCTCCACTAAAATAAATAAATAAATAAATAAATAAATAAATAAATAAATACAAAATTAGCCGGGTGTGGTGGTGCATGCCTGTAGTCCTAGCTACTTGGGAGGCTGAGGCAGGAGAATCACTTGAACCTGGGAGGCAGAAGTTGCAGTGAGCCGAGATTGCGCCATTGCACTTCAGTCTGGGCAACAAGCGTGAAACTCCATCTCCAAAAAAAAAAAATAATGGATGAGTTCATGTCTTTTGTGGGGACGTGGGATGAAGCTGAAAACAGTCATTCTCAGCAAACTAGCATAAGAACAGAAAACCAAACACTGCATATTCTTATTCATAAGTGGGAGTTGAAGAATGAGAAAACATGGACACAGGGAGGGGAACATCACATGCTGGGGCCTGTTGGGGGTGTGGGGGGCTAGGGGAGGGATAGCATTAGGAGAAATATCTAATGTAGATGACAGGTTGATGGGTGCAGCAAGCCACCATGGCAAGTGTATACCAATGTAACAAACCTACACGTTCTGCATATGTACCCCAGAACTAGTATAATAAAAAAAAGAATACTACATATGACATATTAGTAATACTAATCATACATATTGAATATATTGATACATATATATGTATCTACATACTACTTATATGGATATATACCTATTACATGTGTGCTAAAATATTCTGTATTATACAATATATACACATATATACCATATGTTTTAGGTAAAGCATGTATATACATTATATAAACAAACTATATATACACATTATATATACACAAAAATAAACTTAGAAGTTTATTTTTGGCTTACCACACATATATATACATACACACCATATATATGTATGTACATGTATATACACACACACCATATGTATGTACATATATATACACACACCATATATATGTATGTATACATATATGTAAACCATATATGCATATACCATACAGATACCATATATGTACATATATACCCATATATATGTATACATATATATGTATATACCATATATATATATAAACACACACACACACACCATATATGTATGTATTGTAAGCCAAAAATGAACTTCTAAGTCCTGCTCCAGGCATCTGAGTGGACCCCTCCTCTTGGATAAGGACATTCTATAGTTAATCTGAAGATCTAGTTCAGGCCATGATGGATGAGGGGGTCAGACTTGCCTCATTCTACCTCTCCAGAATTAAACTTAACACAGACCTTAAGTCTGATGGAAAATTTTTACAATCTGTTCTCCCTGAAGCCTGCCACCTGAAGGCTTCATCTGCATGATAAAAACTGGGTCTCCACAACCCTTTATCTTAAGGCAGATACTCCTTTCTATGGATAGTAGGTTGGTGCAGAAGTAATTGCTGTTTTTTGCCATGGAAAATAAAATGCAATTACTTTTGGGCCAACCTAATAATAACTCTTTCAACCAATTGCCAATCAGAAAAATTTTAAATCTACCTAAGACCTGCAAGTCCCCCACCTTCCTACTTCCAATTGTCCTGCCCTTCCCAATCAAGCCAATGTAAATCTTATGCATGTATTGACTGATGTATTATGTCTCCCTAAAATGTATAAAAGCAAACTGTACCCAACTACCTTGGACACATATCATTATGACTTCCTGAGTCTGTGTCACAGTGTGTCCTTAACCTTAGCAAAATTAGTTAATTTTGCCTAAATTAATTGAGACCTGTCTCAGATATTTTGGGTTCACAGAGTACATTTTAAATACATACATCAATGTACATACATAGTTCATTATACTTAATTTTATATTGATAAGGTATTATGAAAGACTCAGGGAGTTAATATTTGAGAAGACACTTGGTAAAATGCACTCAAAATATACAAACCTAAATAATTCACTCACTGAGACAATTTACATTTGTTTCACTTCAAAACTTGCTTCAAACACCAATTAAATAAAATTCAGTATGTCTCAAAGTTTAAACTAAAAACAAGATCAACAAAATTTTCTCACACATCAACTTTATCCAGACAAAGCCATTAGAATTTATCTGAGAGGAAAAGCATTTTAATTTTTGTATAATAAACATTAAAAGCTCTCCCAAGCTGAAATGCCTTAAATCAAGTTGTACTTATTAATCAGAGTATTGATTTAAATGTTGATGCTGCATCACTTCTATGCTGTCTCATCTTCAGTTTTTATAATATTTTCATATTTATGTTTTTTGGGGGGTGTATCTGACTTTATCTTCAAATCAAAGCAGAAACTAGAAGTAAAACCTGATAGGTTTTTACCATGGTAGATACAGTAGAAATGTCCACAGAGTGTTTCAGATTTGTATGCATGGAAATTAGTCCTCAATGGTGAAATTGAAGGGGTCAAAGATCATTTTGGTAGCAATATTTGTGACAAAATGCCTTCACTCTATATGAATTCTCTAAAACATTATTTAAATGTGAAGCATCAGTAAGGTCCTGCACCCGTAGAGAATTCAACAGGCAGAGAGATTATGCATCTATTGTATCTTCATTTTCCGTCTGGGAAAACTCATGGCACTAATGAGCTCTAGACATACAAAGATCAACAGGATGTTGTTTGGGTGCTAGCCTGTCATAACCACAAAGTAGGGGGAAATTAGCTGGGTAGAATGAGTAACAGCATCAGATTAAGGTTCCAACCAAATTTTAGCCATACAAACTTAAGTACATTTATCTCCCTGACCCTTACTTTTCTTGCCTTTGAAGTGAGAGGAATAATTCTGCACTGAGCTATGTCTTCACAAGGATTAAGCAAGAAATTGATTGACGAGCATCTATACTCATGTCTGATGCATGATGTGGAGACTACAAGAAAATTATCCTTTTCCCTAAAACACAAATGCTAAAATAAAAGGTGTAGAAGAAGGAAGAAGGAAGATAATGTACATAATATTTTGTGGGGAGGAGGCAGAAGAACTGATGAGAGATTATTTGAATCTTAGAAAATCCTAGGAAAAGAATCATAGACAAAAAGATGGCACTGGTGTTGGGGCAGAGGAACAGGTCACGCTAATCGAGCAAATCTTAAAGACTTGGGGTAGATGGAGAAATGATGATTAAGACAGATGTGTTCACATGGTGGATCATGCCTGTAATCCTAGCACTTTTGGAAGCCAAGGTGTGTGGATTACTTGAGGTCAGCCTGGCCAACATGGTGAAACCCTATCTCTACTAAAAATAGAAAAATTTCCTTGGTATGGTAGCATGCACCTTTAATCCAAGATACTCAGGAAGCTGAGGCAGGACAATCACTCGAACCTGGGCGGTGGAGGTTACAGTGAGCTGAGATTATGCCACTACATTCCAGCCTGGGTGACAAGAGCAAAACTCGGCTGGAAAAAAAAGAAAAAAGAAAGAAAGATGTAGGCTAACAAGGCATTCTGCAACTCAATTTTAAAGAACTTTCTAAGTGAAGAGCAAACAGTGCTATGCCATGGGAGCTGGTTAAGGAAAACTTAAAGCATGGGCTTTGCTTTGGAGTTTTCAAATAAAGAGAACTCCTGGAGACATGCTGAATGTTGAGTGATGATATTGAATTTGGAGAAAAGAAAGTCAATTATACCAATTTATTCCTTTGTAAGGAATTGGTTTGTCTCCCTCAAAAAATATGTTGAATTCCTCACCTGTAATATTTGTGAATGTGACCTCATTTTGAAATAGAGTCTTTGCAGATATCATTAAGAAGTAAGTTAAGATGAGGTCATAGTGCAGTAGTGTGTGACCTTAATCCTGTATAACTGGTGTCTTTATAAGAAGAGATGGCTTGGCAAGGTGGCTCATCCCTGTATTTTGGGAGGCCAGAGCAAGAGAATTGCTTGAGTTCACAAGTTAGAGAACAGCCTGAGCAACACAGGAGAACCTGCCTCTACAAAAAATACAAAATTAGCCAGGTGTGGTGATGTGCACCTGTAGTCCCAGCTATTCAGGAGGCTGAGGTGGGAGGATTACTTGAGCCCAGGAGGCAGAAGTTGCAGTGAGCCAGCATGGCACCCCACACTCCAGCCTAAGTGACAGAGAGAGACCCTTCCTCAAAAAAGAAAGAAAGAAAAGGAAGGAAGGAAGGAAGGAAGGAAGGAAGGAAACAAAAAAAGAAAGAAAGAGAGAGAGAGAAAGAAAGAAAGAGGGAGGGAGGGAAGAAGGGAAGGAAGGAAGGAAAGAAGGAAGGAAGGAAAAGAAAGAAAGAGAGAAAGAGAGAAAAAGAAAGAGAAGAAAGGAAGGAAGGAGACAAAGAAAGAAGGAAAGAGAAGAGAGGGAGGGAGAGAAGGAAGGAAGGAAGGAAGGAGGGAGGGAAGGAGGGAAGGAAAAGAAAGAGAACAGAAGACACAGAGACCAATACACATAAGGAGGAGAAGACAACACCACACAGTCATGATCCAGGCAAAGGTTGCAATTATGTGTCCACAACCCAAGGATTACCAGAAACCAGCAGAGTTGGAAGAGTCAAGAAAGTATTCTCTGATAGAGCTTTCAGAGACAATGCAGACCTGCTAACTCCTTGACTTTTGGTCTCTTGAATCGTGAGAAGATAAATTTATCTTGCCTGAAGCAACAAGTTTGTGGAACATTGTTTCTGTAGCTCTAAAACTGATACAGATTTTAATATTATTTAATGCTAAACAAATGGAATGGACAGAAGGAACATCATCAGGTGGGAACAGAGAACAAGGGATGGTTGTAATAAGTAATCAGATATTAGGATCTGTCTGGGCACAGTGGCTCATGCCTGTATCCCAGGAGGCCTCAGATCACTTGATCTGATCAGGGCAGGAGTTTGGGACCAGTTTGGGCAACAGAATGAAACCCCATCTCTACAAAAAAATAAAACATTAGCCAAGTGTGGTGTCATACACCTCTAGTCCCAGCTACTCAGGAGGCTGAGTTGGGAAGATTGCTCAACTCTGGAAGGTTGAGGCTACAGTGAGCCATGAGTGTGACACTGTACTGTAGCTTTGGTGGGCAGAGTGAGACTCTGTCTCAAAGAAAAAAAAAGTTAGAATCTGATTCAGAGAAAACAAAAAAGGGCAAGGCTGATTCTGAAGTCTCTCCCTACTACTGCATTCTAGCTTGGGTGGGCTGAGTGACACTCTGTCTCAAAGAAAAAAAATGTTAGAATCTGATTCAGAGAAGATAAAAAAGGGCAAAGCTGATGCTGAAGTCTCTCCCTACAAGGACTGGGCAAGTAATGCTAACTTTAATCAATTGATGAATACTCCAGGAAGAGAACTTTTGGGGAACTAATGAGTTAATTGTTCATCATATATTTGAGCTGTCTGCTGGGAAATTAGGAGGAAATATCTACACATAGAGAGAGAGAGAAATCAAAGAACCCTGAGATGAAGCAGGCAAAATGCTGCCTAGCAGAATCCAAGCTACTAAACAAAGATAGAAGGCACTTTCGTGAGAACAGGTGGCCAACACTTCCAAATGCATGCTTCAGTGTTGGGGAGATCTACCTCTGATAAGCAGACCAGGAGAGGCCCATTTAAAGTCATCATTCTGGTAAGAACCAGAGTCAAGAAGGGAATTTAGATTTTTCTCACTCATCATTCACATTTTGATGTCAGTTGAAACCTAAATTGACTGCAAGTGCAGAACTGTACAAGATGATAAAATTTCTAACAAAGAAGAGTTTTAGAAATTGCTGTAGCTCTTAGAGTCCATCATGCCATCATACAAGGTCAAACACATCTGAGGATAGGTACTTCCTCTTATAATAAAAATTTTAGATTCTCCTCCCTCATACATTCTAAGGAGGTTTTCCCAGAAGTCTGCACATTCTTTGACAGAAAGAGAGAAGAAGAATGGCCACTTATTACCTGCAATTTGCCCAGTACTGTTAGGTGCCCCATTAAATCATCTATCAGTGCTAGGTACAGTTTTCCACATGAGGAAGCAGGTGATGGGATTTTTCAAGGTCATGCAAGTTGTGGCTCACTCATGCTGTCTTTGAAACCAAGCCTGAGCCCTTTCTGTTTTCGCCATGCTGCCCTCTTGGCTGACATCTAGTGCTTTGGTGCATATTCTAGATAACCATCAAGGTAATGTTGCATATCAGGGCTTTCTTTGACATTATTATGGTATACCTCCCTGCCCCTTGGGATACATATATATATATATATATATATGTATATATATATATATATGTGTGTGTGTGTATATATATGTGTATATATATATGTGTGTGTGTATATATATATGTGTGTGTGTGTGTATATATATATATATATATTTTTTTTTTTTAGATGGAGTCTCTCTCTGCCGCCAAGGCTGGAGTGCAGTGGCACGATCTCTGCTCACTGCAAGCTCCGCCTCCCAGGTTCACACCATTCTCCTGCCTGAGCCTCCCCAGTAGCTGGGACTACAGGTGACCATCACCATGCCCGGCTAATTTTTTTGTATTTTCAGTAGAGGCAGGATTTCACCGTGTTAGCCAGATGGCCTTGATCTCCTGACTTCATGATCCTCCTGCCTCGGTCTCCAAAAGTACTGGGATTACAGGCATGAGCCACCGTACCCTGCCACCCCTTTGGATATTTTTCAGAGGAGCAAGGAACATGTGCCCTTTCCTGCTTTATCTAACAACTTAGCATAATGAGTAAATTCTCTGCTTTTGTTTTGTTTTGTTTTGTTTTTGACAACTGCCCAACTCCATTAGAACTCTGCTTGTGTTTCAGGGTTTGATATTGTTTTCTAAGGTATCCTTTGAGTTTGATGAGTCTCGAATTACTCTCCAAAGGATTCATGCTCCTTGTTTTCTTGTGAGTGCCAGAAATAATATAAACCAGACAACATATATAATTCATGAGCACTGTTTCACCTCACAGTTATTTCTGGCTCCCAGTGTCTGTCTGTAAATAGTGTATTAAGAGCAAGCACTGTTTCCTTTTTTTCTTTATATTATGGTAGAATGATAAAAATAATGAACTGACTATTCAGCCTTAGAGGTTCTTGCCAGAATGTAATGTGTCTATATCTAATACTTTTTAAAACAGGTGTGAAGAGGTTTTGTGGTTTGGCAGAGCGAATCCCAGCTCTATTTTTGTGTGTTTTCTTGTCTTTATTGAAATGGAAAGGGTGGATGTTTTGCACACCGCTCTGGAGGTGGCATTCTGCTTGTGTGGCAGTTGATTGAATAAGTTATTTCAAAGACCATCATGGCTTCCTCAGCATCTTCTATTATTGGATAATAACCACAGCTCCTACAAACTGCCACCACTAATGACCTGTTCTTTATGATAGCTTAGTTTGCACCACAGTGGAGGTATTTATTTTCCCCATTAGGAACTTCAGTGTTTAGCAGTAAAATTGGCAGGAAAACCATTGGTTGGCATACAAAGCCTGCAGGTTGCTATTCTAATGACTTTCTGTTCAAATACACATTCCAATTGCAAGGAGAATGTGGAGATGCAGTACAGGCAAAGATGAACAGCCAAGGATCTGAAAGGCTGCCAGTGTTCCATATATTACATAACACAGCCTTCCCTACATGTTAGAGTCTACTCCCTCTGTTTCTGATGATGCATCTGACTCTTCATAAAACTCTTGTCATCCCAGAGTGAGACTCCGTCTCAAAAAAAAAAAAAAAAAAAAAAAACACCTCTCATCATCCTGAGTTTGTTATATTGCTAAGGCATATTATGCATTTGAAGAGCTTTAATTTTGAGGTCTTCTCTGTTTCAGGTTTGAAGGAAATATTTCTTCCTGCCAGGTCCAAACAATTAAATCATAGTTTGTTGGACTGAACATAAGATTTCAGAGATGTGGTCTGACTCTGACTCACATGAGTCTCTTTTATTCAGAAGCATTTAATATCTGTACACTCTCGGGCACTAAGCCAAGCAACAAGGGAACATATAAATGAGTCCGAGTTATTTTACTGAAAAAGTTTTTAGATTACTGCTGAGTGAAAAACCATGTAAGTCCTCTTAAAAAAAAAAAAAAAAAAAAAAAACAAGGATAGAGCTAAATGAAAAATAAATACTGGGTCCAAAGGGGTAGAAAGAGATCAGATATTTTGTCACATAGGCTGAGTTGGGAAGACTTTGAAGTAAGAGATAACATTTGAAGTGGGACTTCAATAATTTTGAAGTTGGACCAGCACAAAAGGGAACTTTCTGGTAGTAATAATTTACAAAGCTACAGAAAAGGATTGGGTTCTTTAGGAGCCTGGAGGAAAACTGGAGTGATGGAACATCCCAGCATGAACATCAAGAAAAGCAAGAAAACTTAAGACCCTAATGTTGGTCAGGCAGCAGAACCTGTTGGCTTTTGTGTGTATAACATGTGACAGTGTTTCAACTTTCTCCTCCAGGCAGTAATGGGCTGGCCTGAGGAAGGGTGTGCTTGCAGCAGACAGGATGATTCAAATGCAGAGGTGATATTTTTTAGGGTGTGACACTCTTTAAGTATTGATGTCATCTTGATCAATTGCAATGGTAAAGAAAAAGAGGGAATCTAAATTAGGGAAACTATAAAACAAGAATCCATGGAATTTGGAGTCCAAATAAACATAAGTATGGAATGAGGACAGAGTCTCTGCTGAGGTTTTAGCTTGGACTCCAAAATGGGTTAAGAAAACTATTACAAATATAAATCTCTGAAGGAACAGACAGCTTTTGGGAAGAGGAGGGAGATACCTGTTGCTTTAGAAATGTTAATCAGACCCAATCCCATTTTCAGGTATATATCGAAAGGAATATAAATCCTTCTGCCATAAAGATAATGTATACATATGTTCACTGCAGCATGATTCACAATAGCAAAAACATGTAATCAAACTAGATGCCCATCAACAGTGAACTGGATAAAGAAAATGTGGTACGTATACACATATATACTACACAGCTATAAACAAAAGTGAGATCCTGTCCATCAGAGCAACATGTTTGGAGCTGGAGGCCATTATCCTAAGTGAAGTAACACAGGAACAGAAAACCAAACACTATATATTGTCACTTATACATTGAGTATAACATTGAGCTAAGCATTGAGTACATATGAATTCAAGAAGGAAACGAGAGACACTGTGGCCTATTTGAGGGTGGAGGAAGGGAGGAGCGAGAAAATGGAAAATCTACCTATCTGGTACTATGCTTATTACATGGTTGACAAAATTATCTGTACCCTAGATCCCACAACGCATCTGTATAAAAAACCTGCACATGGACCACTGAACCTAAATTAAAAGTACAAAAAAAAAAAAAAGAAATGTTAATTTGAGACGGTTTTAATCATTTGAGTAGAGTTCAAATTTTGGTCTGGAACTCAAAGGAGAAAAGGCAGATGGGATCAGAGAAAGTGAATGCTGAGCTAACTAGAGGGTTAGTTTCTCAGGGCTGCTGTAATAAATTGCAGTAAACAACTGAGGAGCTCCAAATCAAGGTGACTTTAGGGCCATGCTCCAGTGGAAGGCTCTAGGGGAGGATGCTTTTTTGCAACTTTCATTTTCTAGTGGCTCCTGGTGTTCCTTGGCATGTGGCTCCATCAGTCCTATCTCTGTCTCCATTTTTCCATGTTCTTCTTTCTCTTGTCTCTGTGTCCTCCTCCCTCTCTCTCTCTCTCTTTTATCATGAAACTAGTCATTGGATTTAGGGCCCATGAGTTTATACCAAGATCTTAATCAATTACATCTGCAAAGACCCTATTTCCAAATAGGGTCACATTCTGAAGCTTCCAGAGTACATGAAGTTTAGGAGTGCACTCTTCAATCCAGAATAGCTACAGACAGATGAAGCTGAAGTAATGAGGGCTGATAATGTTGACCAGAGACAAAAATAGTGTTAATGAAGGACTGAGACACAAAAGATAGCCTAGAGAATATAATTGATGGGAAGACCAATGGAAGTAAACTTCAAAGAAGACAGAAGTCTCTCTCAAGTGCTAAGAGGAAACCAGGAGAGATTACAAACTCATGGCAATACAATTCTTTCAAATCCAATTAGGGTGAATTCTCAGAGGTTATTGCCTCAAGGAGGGGAAATAATAAATGAACACTTCAGAGTCCTACAGGACTGGAAAATAACTTGAGAGAAGCTCTGTTCATCAGTACATTTGCAGTGCTTTTAGAGTTGTCAGGGAAACCTCATCAATATCAGTCAAAGCAGCATTTATAAATTCGCCAACATGTCTCATCAAAAACAAGACAGACAGAAGGATGAATGCAGTCAAGTGTTGTTTTTTATTTCTTTAAATTTTGTTCAGATTTAAATGCAATTTTTTTTTGAGACAGGGTCTTGCTCTGTTGCCTAGCCTGGATTGCACGGTGTGATCATAGTTGAATGCAGCCATGACTTCTTGGAGTCAAACAATCCTACCATGTCTGTTGGGAGCAAGCCCTCCAAAATCTGGCCATAAACTGCCCCGAAAACTGGCCATAAACAAAATCTCTGCAGCACTGTAACATGTTCATAATGGCCCTAATGCCCACGCTAGAAGGTTGTGGGTTTACCGGAATGAGGGCAAGGAACACCTGGCCTGCCCAGGGCAGAAAACGTCTTAAAGGCATTCTTAAGCCACAAACAATAGCATGAGCGATCTGTGCCTTGAGGACATGCTCTTGTTGCAGTTAACTAGC
Organism: Homo sapiens; assembly: GCF_000001405.40. Lineage (NCBI taxonomy): Eukaryota > Metazoa > Chordata > Mammalia > Primates > Hominidae > Homo > Homo sapiens. Next base: position 18,926,897 of record NC_000024.10, read on the forward strand.
CCAACCGATTCCTTTAATTTGGCCCATCCCTTTGTTTCCCATAAGGGATATTTTAGTTGATTTAATATCTATAGAAACAATGCTAATGACTGGTTTGCTGTTAATAAATATGTGGGTAAATCTCTGTTTAGGGCTTTCAGCTCTGAAGGCTGTGAGACCCCTGATTTCCCATTTCATACCTCTATATTTCTGTGTGTGTGTCTTTAATTCCTCTAGCGCCACTGGGTTAGGGTCTCCCCGACTGAGCTGGTCTCAGCAATGTCAGCCTCCAAAGTACCTGGAATTATAAGCACATACCACCATGCCTAATATTTTCAAATTTTTTATAAAGATAGCATCTTGCTTTGGTATTCAGGCTGGTCTTGAACTCCTGAGTTCAAGCAATACTCTTGCCTCAGCCTCTTAAACTGTTGGGATTATAGGCATGAGCAGCCACACCCAGCCTTGAATGCATTCTTTAAATAAAGATGACTGGGTTGGTGTTAAGTGTGCAATCAAAGATGTTTTATAACTAGCAGAAACTATTGCAGAAGAGTTAACTTCTGTTTCCTTATAAATAGTCATCTGGCAACACCTTAAATGTAAGTTCTGAGACTCTACAAAATAACTGAAGTCAGCCTCCCTCACCACTTGCTTCAGAATATATTGGAGAATATATTTGCTCACCACTTGCTTCAGAATATATTGGAAAATATATTTGCAGAAAAGGAAAAAACGGAAAACAACAGCGATAATATTGTGCTTGGCTTCACTTGCCAACATGGGAAGAGTAACAATAACAACCCTTTGATTTTCTTCTTTAATTGAGGAGTAGGTTTATGGACCTATAAGTTCACACACCCAATTTAGATTACTCATGTTCTTGACAAGGCCAATTTTAGTAATTGAAATTATATGAAATGTAGCTTTCAGTGTGTTGTTTCTACATTGGATCCATGTGTTTTTGAAGCAGGCAGCAATAGCAATTGCTATTACATTTGTTAAGTGGCAACTACAATTTCACAATACAATCTTCAGAATCCAAATTCCAAATGCATTTCATAAAGGCATTAGCCATGTTGCCCTATCTTTGTATTCAAACAATTTTATTTCATTATGTGAAGCTATTGTTGGATGTTATCATATTGTTTTATTTGGTACTGAGGAGACAAAACACTGATGAAACAGGAAACATTTAAATATGCTTTCAATTTATCTCTGTGTTTGCCCGACCCAGTGGCTCATTCCTTTAATCCCAGCACTTTGGGAGGCAGAGGCAGGTGATCACCTGAGGTGAGGAGTTTGAGAACAACCTGGCTAACACAGTGAAACCCCATTTCTACTATAAATACAAAACTTTGCTGGGCCTGGTGGCGCATGCCTGTAATCCCAGCTACTTGGGAAGCTGAGGCATGAGAATCACTTGAACCTAAGAGGCAGAAGCTGCAGTGACCCAAGATGACACCATCGCACTCCAGCCCAGGTGACAGAGGAGGCTCTGTAAAGTAAATAAATAAATAATAAATTACCTCTTTGTTACAAGAAATCTGCTGAAAGTAAGGTTAATGTAAAAAGTCTAAGATAAATGGCTGTTTCAACACAATATGAATGTGAACCAAATTGCAAGAAGTGCCATCTTTCACCATGAGCAGGGCTGTCAACTCTGTTTAATAAGCATTAATAAATTCAATTTATATTATAATCTACTGAGAAGATACTATTATGCCAGTGTTAAAGACAGTGGCACTTTAACTTAGAGTGTTTAAATAACTTTTCCAGGACAACTTAACTAGCAAGGGTACACTCCAGGTCTAGAAACTTTCCCTTTCTAACTCTGAACTCCATGTGTTTAACCACTCAACTATGTCACATACCTGGACAACCATAATGTCTAATTAGTTGCTAAACAAACTGCATTAGGAAACTGAGGGATAAAGACAGATTCTGTAGAAGCAGAAGTGAACCATGGTCAGAAGACAGCCACAATAAAACTGGATTGGAATATAAATATCTAGGCCAGATGTGGTGACTCATGACTGTAATCCCAGCACATTGGCAGGCCGAGATGGGTGGATCACAAGGTCAGGAGCTCAAGACCATCCTGGCCAACATGGTGAAAGCCCGTCTCTACTAAAAATAAAAAAATTAGCCAGGTGTGGTGGTGGGTGCCTGTAATCCCAGGTACTCGGGAGGCTGAGGCAGAGAATTGCTTGAACCTTGGAGGCAGAGATTGCAGTGAGCCGAGATTGCACTACTGCACTCCAGCCTGGGTGACAGAATGAGACTCAGTCTCAAAAAAAAAAAAAAAATAATAATAATATAAATATCTCTGTTGCTGCATTTCATTTGTGTTGGGAAGGTCTCATAACCAGGTATAATTTTCCATATGCTTATCCATGTCTTAAGTGGTTTAGAAATTCAGAATGTTTTTCCTCACACTGACAATTTTAATGAAATTATATATGTCTTCAAAAGTTATTTCAGAAAATGGAGAAGAAACACTCAGAGACTTATTTTATGTCAATGTAATTTTAATATGAACTCCTGACAAAAATTCTACAAAGAGTAAATTATAGCATGATAATTTCTTACTAGAGTGGATACAAAAAATACTAAAGATAAAATCTCCACATACAGTAAGAATAAAAAAATTATTTATTTATGTATTTATGTATTTATTTATTTTTTATGGACAGAATCTCACTCTGTTGCCTAAGCCAGAGTGCAGTGACGTGATCATAGCTCACTGTAGCTTTCAACTCCTGGGCTCAAGCAGTCCTCCAGCCTCAGCCTCCTGAGTGGCTGGGACTACAGGCATACACCACCACACCCAGCAAATTTTTTAAATTTTTGTAGAGTCAGGGTCTCACCATATTGCCCAGGCTGGTCTTAAACTCCTAGGCTCAAGTTATTCTCCTGCCACAACCTCCCGAAGTATTGGAATTACAGGTGTGAGCCCATAATCTGGCCTGGAATTTCTTGATTTTGATCAGTGACATCTAATATAAAAACATACAGCTAACATTCTGCTTTATAGTGAAATATGGAACACTGTCTTTTTTGAGATTGGGAGCTAAGCATTGATATGCACTATCACCTCATTTCCTCAAGATTGTACTGGAAGTCCCAGCCACTGCAGTGTTCCAAGAAAGACAGATATATTTCATATAGATTTTAAAACAATGAGTGAAATTGTCTATATCCAAAGACAATATGCTTTTCAAATGCAGAAATTCCTAATGAACATTCAAATCAATAGTAGAACCATTAAATGAACTTTGCAAGGTTGCAATTTACAAAGGTGATATAAATAAATCAATTTTTCTACATACTAGCAGCTAGCCATTATAAATAAAACTAAAAAATTCATTCCTTTTAGTATAAAAACAAACAGTAAATGTTTAGAATTTTTTTCTTTCTTTTCTTTTTCTTTTTTTTTTTTTTTTTTGAGACAGAGCCATGCTCTTTTGCCTAGGCTGGAGTGCAATGGCACAACCTCAGCTCACTGCAATCTTCACCTCCTGGGCTCAAGCAATTCTCCTGCCTCAGCCTCTTGAGTAGTTGGGATTACAGGCATGCACCACCGTGCTCAGATAATTTTTGTATTTTTAGTAGATACGGGCTTTCATCATGTTGCCCAGGCTGGCCTTGAACTCCTGACCTCAGGTGATGCACACACTTCAGCTCCCAAAGTGCTGGGCATGAGCCACCATGACTGGCCAGAATATTTAAAAGAAAAAAAAATTATCCAAGATCTCACCACTGAAATCCACATAGCACGATTTTAAGAAAAGAAGAACGCTGAATTAAAAAGGATGAGTTCATGTCCTTTACAGTGACATGGATGAAGCTGGAGATCATCATTCTAAGTAAACTATCACAAGGACAGAAAACCAAACACCGCATATTCTCACTCATAGGTGGGAGCTGAACAATGAGAACACATGGTCACAGGGCGAGGAACATCACACACCAGGGCCTGTTGGGAGGTGGGGAGCTAGGGAGGGATAGCATTAGGAGAAATACCTAATGTAAATGACGAGTTGATGAGTGCAGCAGACCAACATGGCACATGTATACCTATGTAACAAACCTGCACGTTGTGCACATGTACCCTTTAACTTAAAGTATAATAATAAAAAAAAGAAAATAAGAAGACTGAGATAAATTGGAATATATACCACGTGCATGGATTAAACGACTTAATGTTGTTAAATACAAAACCTTCTCAAATTGGTTGATATATTTAATGCAAATTTTCTCATTATACTGATAGGATTTTTAAGCAGAAATGGAGAAGTGTTATCTAAGTATTATCTGGAAATGTGAAGGACCAAGAAGAGACACATGATATTGAAAAAGAACTGTATATACAGGAGGTTGTGTAATCCCAGAATTTACTGTAAACATCAGGAATTCAGAGGTCCTGTTATTATTATACATAGAGGCAAATTAGCAATGCATAAAGAGGACATACACTGACCCTCATTTATATAGCATGTTGCTTTTTGGCAAGAATGCTAAAGGAATTAAATGGGAAAAGAAAGTCTAATAAATAGAGATAAAATAACTCAGTATTCACATAAAACATGGAGTTCTAAAACTTAGAACTATTTTTTAAGAAACCTATAAAAATTAGTAAGCTCCGAGTATTATTATTATTACTATTATTATTATTTTTTGGAGACTGAGTCTTGCTCTGTTGCTCAGGCTAGAGTGCAGTGATGCGTTCTCGGCTCACTGCAATCTCCACCTCCTGCATTCAAGCAATTCTCCTGCCTCAGCATCCCAAGAAGTTGGGATTACAGGTGCATGCCACCACACCCTTGATATGGGTTTTCACCATGTTGGCCAGGCTAGTTTCAAACTCCTGACCTCAAGTGATCTGCCTGGCTCAGCCTCCCAAAGCGCTAGGGATACAGTCATGAGCCACCACACCTGGTGAGCACAGTTTTTTAGAGGAATCAATCTCAAATTACCTATGTGTGTTCATTATTCACATACATACATATATATGGCATAGGTGTATAATTATATATGTCAATGTATAACCCTACCTCCCAATATTTTTCTTGGAAAATTCCTTTGAATTAGACTTACAAGGTCTTCAAAAATGACATGCAAGCCTTCATAATTAGTTATTTATTGCAAATTGTTATAGGTAAAATATGAGTTATGGTTTCACATTTGTGTACAATATACACAACAGCTAAAGGAACATAGATGCTGTTAGATTTAGTAGATAATTTCAGTGACAAGAGGCCAAACCCAACTTATTTTTGCCCTTTTCAGGTATATTTCTTCCTATAACTAATAAGTTGTTTTAGATCATCTCTGAAATTGTTGCTTTTGTACATGAGGCATTCTATTATTCCATTACTCTGTTTTTCCCCATTTTTTTGGTTTCAAAATTAGAATGATGCTTTCTAAAAATAGCAAGTTTTGTGAGATTGATCATTTTATCTTCCTGATGCTTCTCTCTTCCTCTCATTTTTCATTCTTGACCCTACCCAGGCATTCATAGACTAAGACTCATTTTCAAAGTAAACAAAGCTCAATATTTTTCACTGTAGTCCAAAAGGGAATGCTGTTTATTGAGAAATGCAAAGATGATTTTGAAGAGCTATTTTGTAATCCCCTCCCCTCAACATTATGATTATTGATTTACAGCTTAGTGATGAAATCCCATGAGAACCAATGAATAAAAATAATATTTGAAGCATAAAACAGTGCCAGCTTTGAAAACCTACATCACACATATCAAAATGATCTAACCTTGTAAGTCAGCATACTAACATCATCATATACAAGCAGAAAGTCTTGTTGCTTTTAATTTTTTTAAATTTATTTTAAAGTCAGGGTCTCACTATGTTGTGCAGGCTAGTCTTGAATTCCTGGGCTCAAGTATTCCTTCAGCCTCAGCCTCCCTGCTGTGTAGCTGGGACTAAACATGCATGCCACCAAGCCTGGAAAAAAGAAAAAAAAAAGAGAAAAAGAAAAATACACTAAGCTTCAAAAATACTTTGGGTTTTTAATGTTCTCCTGCCATATAAGTTTTCATAGCTCAAGGGACTGTTTTGAGTTGTAGCATCTGTCTCAGTGTGGAGTTACTCCTTCAATATAATAAAAACTAAGAGAATTTTCATCTCTATCTAAGGGTGCTATATATCTTAGCGATAGCACTGAGTTGTGATAACTTTTAAAAAGCTTATAAAATGATATTTAAATAATTTTAAAAATGCAGCACAAAGAATAAATCAATGATTTTACAGAAATAAATGGTAATAGGAATGAATACACAATTATCCATGACATTTTAAAATTAAGCTTTTTCTTCAAGATCTGGCAGGGGAAAAATAAAGGTTAGAAAGTAATGAGCTATATGTGAACATGACAAGAACAATTTTCAGTTGTACTCATTTGTCACCTGTCATTTAAGTTAAGCTGATATTTTGCTCTTAATCATTCCTCTGAAACCTACCCCAATGTGTAGGTTTCTGTCCCAGACTCCATTTATGGGATGTCTGCTTTAAATTTCTTTTCAGGATAAATGCTTATAAAAGCAAGCAGGATGATTCGCTCATAGCCAAATGGACAGTTCTATTTAAAACACAATCAAAATGGAAGTTAAAATTATTAAAAACATTTAAAATTTAATAATTGCAACATGTTTACTTTTGACTTCTAATCACTGTCTTACAAATTATTATCAGTGATTGGGCCAGATAACCTGCATTATATTGGAATTGATCTCCCAGGACCTTATTTATTTATTCAGCTTAAACGTAGCTCACTGTTGAGACTTGATTTATAGTCAGGGTATACATTATTACTTAGAAAGGGCAGACCACTTTTAACAATCTAAAAGGAATAACTCATTAGTGAGCTATAAAGAAAGAATGATAATGGCTAATCTAAAATATTAAGATAGCAACTAACTATAATAGTCATTTTTAAATAAAATATACTCAAATATAAAAAATGTCAATTCAGATACAGAATGATAGAGCTGTCATTATGAGATATATACATATATATAAAAAATATACACACATATACACATATATATGTGGGTATATATACATATACACACATGCATAATTATATTAATATAAATACACAATATATTTTATAAATATAATTTACATGAATTGTTATGTATTATATGTCACATATAATATATAGTTATACATGTAATGTGTATATGTAATATACATATATGTACATTATAGAAGGAAGGCTATACTGTATATCACATATAGTATAATTAAAATTTATATTTTAGGCCTGGCAAAGTGGCTTACACCTATAATCTCAACTGGGAGGCCAAGGTAGTAGGATAACTTGAGGCCAGGAGTTCACGACCAGTCTGGGAAACAATGAGTCTCCTTCTCTAAAAACAATAATACATAAGTAAACAGGCCAGGCGTGGTGGCTCACACCTGTAATCCCAGCAGTTTGGAAGGCCAAGGCGGGTGGATTGCTTGAGGTCAGGAGTTCAAGAACAACCTTGCCAACATGGTGAAACCCCCATCTCTACTAAAAATACAAAAACATTAGCTGGGTGCACACCTGTATACCCAAATACTCAAGAAGCTGAAGGAGGAGGATCCCTTGAACCTGGGAGGAGGAGGTTTCAGTGAGCGGAGATTGTGACATTATAATCCAGCCTGGGCGGCACAGAGAGACTCCGTCTCAAAAAAAAAAAAAAAACAAAAAAACAAAAAAAGTAAACAAGTAAATGAAGAAATCAATAAATTAATTTTTCTATTATAATATACTATGTATATATGAAAAATTTATAATACATAATATATGTTATTATTATAAACTTTTGTTTCTTCCTTTTTTTTGAGATGGAGTTTCATCTTGTTGCCCAGGATGGAGCACAACGGTGCAATCTTGGCTCACAACTTTAGCCTCCCAGTGCAAGTGATTCTCCTGCCTCAGCCTCCCTAGTAGCTGGGATTACAGGCATGTGCCAATATGCCCAGCTAATTTTGTATTTTTAGTAGAGACAGTGTTTCTCCATGTTGGTCACGCTGGCCTTGAATTCCTCACCTCAGGTGATCCTCTCACCTCAGCCTCCCAAAATGCTGGGATTAGAGGCATGAGTCACCAAATATTTTCATATGATATATTAAATAATTACATAACTATAACATATTTACATAATGTTATATAAAATTTATATAACTAAAATAGAATTTATAAAGCCACCATGGCACATATATACCTATGTAACAAACCTGCATGTTCTGAACGTGTATCCCAGAACTTAAAGTAAAATAATAATAAAAATAAAAAATTATATTGAGATATATTAATTATAACATATATCTTATTATATATAACATATTATATATAAGACATGTTATATGTTATAGTAACATAATTGTATAACTTATACAATATATAATTATGTTGTAATTAATATATCTCATATGATATAAATACTATATATTACATTACAGTTATACTGTGATTATATGCTATATATATCACAGTATGTAGTATTACATATTATAATAGTACATAATGAAACATTTTATGTTACATAATTATATTAGTATGTTGCATAATTATTATATTATTATGAGTAAATTATATTGCAATGGTTATATTATATATAGTATATATTACATATTTTGGTCATGATGCCAAAACATACAAAGAGTAAATATGTTATTAATATAAAAGTATCATGTTTGAATATATTCACAATATAGTTAGTACACACTGGAGTGACATAAATCTATGAGATGTATATGTTGAAACAGTTGAACCTATACTACCTACAGGGATGCATATCTGCAAGCAAGAATACCCTCTTCCCAGGTCTCAGTGCCTCTTCTTTTGCACCCATTCAACCTCATGGCACCATGAAGACCTCCTTCCCTAAGGAAAGGGAGGATTCCTAGATCTGAGTCCCCTTGGGAAGGTGGTCTTTGGAAATAGCAGCCCAACAAGAACTTCTATGATCCTTCTGTAATTATGAGAGTCACAGCTAAGCTTTATCCCCTAGAATGTAAAGTCAGTTGAAATAAAGGCAAAGAGTCTGGGCTAGGGAAGCATCCCATGGAGACGTGGCCCAGTAGCTACAGAATGCTCCTCCCCTGGGCTTCCCGTGTCCTGCACATCCTCAACTCCACAGAAGCCCACAGCATTTTCACAGGGGAAGTCCCACGTTGTTTTGGTCTTTCTAATACCATCCTTCTCAATGTCATGGCCATCAGACCAAATGAAATATGGCACACACACTTAAATCTTTTCCTGTTTGAAATGTAAGTATTTTTAACTTTGAAATGCTGCCTCTAAGAAATATCTCCCCAACGGATGCTTATTGTAAATTCAGCTACCAATGCTCCTTTTCAAATAAAATGAATAATATTGAGATGGAATGTCACTCTGTTGCCGGCTGGAGTGCAGTGGTGTGATCATGGCTCACTGCAATCTCTGCCTCCTGAGTTCTGCTCCAAAAGAGTGAGCCAACCAATTAGCTCACAGGTGATTAATACTATTTTGTAAATTGGCCTGATCACCAAACATCATGAATTTATGTCATGAATTTATTCTCGCTCCTCACAGACATGTCTTTTTCAGATGGTTTTTGATTCTTTGTGATTCCATAGAGTAGGAATGTTACCTCATTGTTCGACTCGCAATCCTGTGATATGTCATGAGTCTGAACATTTAACATAAGAATATAATCACTTTGTTTTGGAATTTGTGAGCCCACTCACATGTGGCTTCTTTGATGCCTTTGAAGTGCTTTGAAGCCAAAAGAACTGTCTTCTTGTGGTAAGGGGAGCCAGGAACAGCTGAGTAAAAACTACAGATAACCTTAAGCATCTTTCCTATTTGACTTCCTATTTATTTTAAGAACTTTTTTAGTTTTCCATATTTAGGGGAACGAATGCAGGTTTCTTATGTGCACGTATTTTATAGTGGTGAAGTCTGGGCTTTTAGTGAACCCATCAAACAAAGAGTGAGCATTGTGCCCAATAGGTAATTTCTCAACCCCTACCCACTTCCACACTTCTGGGGAAGATTCATATTTCTCCTTAGGCACTGATAAGTTCAAAAGTAAAGTTGGTTTCATAACCCTTCCATCAAGTCCTCCTGACAACAGCCCAAAGGCCTTGTGCAGAGCAAGCAGAAACTTGCCCACCATGTCAACTTCAAAGTGAATAATCATCACATCATTAATGAGCTTCTGACAACTACTCATTGATTATGGAATCATAAAACACTAGAAAGTAAAGGGTGGAAGAGACTTCCAATACATCACTTTTGCTTATTTTCCTTTAAGAAATTTTTTAGTTTTCTATATTTAGGGGTAGAAGTGCAGGTTTCTAACATACACAATTTTGTACTGGTGAAATCTGGGCTTTTAGTGAACCCATCAATCAAATAGTAAGCATTGTGCCGAATAGGTAATTTCTCAGCTCCTACCCACTTTCACACTCCTAAGTCTCCAGTGTCCATTATTTTACTGTCTATGTCCCTACCTGCACACTGTTTAGTTCCCACTTACAAGTGAGAACATGGGGTAATTTTATCTCTGTTTTTGAGTTATTTCACTTAGGATAATGGCCTCCAACTCCATCCAGGTTACTACAAGACAATATTTCACTCTTCTTTTATGGCTGGATAATATCCTATGGTGTACCTATACCACATTTTCTTTATCCAGTCCTCTACTGATGGACACTTAGGTTGATTCTATATTTTGGCTATTGTAGTGCTGTGATAAACATATGAGTGCAAGTGTCTTCTTTAGACAATTTTTCTTTTCCCATGGGTAAATACCCAGACGTTGGAACTTCTTGCAGATCAAGATACTTCCCCAAACTTCAAAATCAAAAATCTGTAGTATATATCTCACCATTTAGGGTACTCAAAGACACATTCTACACACTCTCTTCAACATGTAAGTTCTACCTTGGTGCTGACCAGCTGAAATTCTCTATCTTGGCTTTTTTTTTTTTTTTTGAGATGGAGTCTCACTATGTCGCCAGGCTGGAGTGCAGTGGTACGATCTCAGCTCACTGCAACCTCTGCCTCCTGGGTTCAAGCGATTTTCCTGCCTCAGCCTCCTGAGTAGCTGGGATTACAGGCACGTGCTACCCCGCCCAACTAATTTTTGTATTTTCAGTAGAGATGGGGTTTCACCATGTTGGCCAGGATGGTCTTGGTCTCCTGACCTTGTGATCCATCGGTCTCAGCCTCCCAAAGTGCTGAAATTACAGCTGTGAGCCACCGTGCCTGACCTCTCTATCTTGGTTTTCAAAAAGGAGGAAGAAAGAAGGAAAGATGAGAATAGATGACTTACAACCACAATGAACAATGTGCTGTCAACAATGTTGGATAGGTAGATCACATTTTTAGACTGATAAAAATTTGCAAAACAATTTTTTTGTTTTTTGTAAATTCTACATGCCTACACTCTTAACCCTTCAACACAAGAAGAAGGAATTTGGTTCTCTCTGAACAACTGCTCACACCTCATACTCATACTCACCAAAATATTCTCCCAAATAAATCCTTCTGAGTGGCTTGGTGACTGACACCTGCAATCCCAGCATTTTGAGAGGGCAAGTAGGGCAGATCATGAGGTCAGTAGATCGAAAATATCCTGGCCAACATGGTTAAACCTCGTCTCTGCTAAAATACAAAAAATTATCTGGGCATGCTGTTGCGCACCTGTCGTCCCATCTACTCAGGAGGCTGAGGCAGAGGAATCACTTGAACCGAAGAGGCAGAGATTGCAGTGAGCCATGATCACGCCACTGCACTCCAGCCTGGCAACAGAGTGAGATTCCATCGCAAAAAAGAAAAGAAAAGAAATCTATCTGTATAATGTGACTACATGTGCTGAATCATCTTCATTTATGCAACTGATTAGATAAATTTGGCACAAACTATTCAATTACCTGGCCAGAGTTCTCCAGAGAAACAGAACCAGTAGGGAAAATAATAGAGGCTGAGTGTGGTGGCTCACTCCTGTAATCCTAGCACTTTGGGAGGCTGAGGCAGGGGAATCACTAGGGACTAGGAGTTTAAGACCAGCCTGGCCAACATGGCAAAACCCCATCTCTACTAAAAATGCAAAAATTAGCTGGCCATGGTGGCACATACCTGCAATCCCAGCTACTCGGGGGGATGAGATAGGAAGATTGCTTGAGCCTGGGAGTTGAAGGCTATAGTGTGCCAAAATTGCAACACTGCAATCTAGCCTGGGCAAGAGAAGGAGATGTTCTCTCTCTCTCTCAAGAGAGAAAGAAAGAAAGAAAAAGAAAAATAATAGATGACTGATAGAAGATAGATGTGACAGATGATAGATATGATAGATGATGATGATCAATATAGATAGATGATAGATACATGATGGAGATAGATAATAAACAGATAACCGATACATAGAGACATAATAAGATGGATAGATGGATAAGATAGATAGATAGATAGATAGATACATAAAGATTTATTATGGGAATTGAAGTTATTATGGAGGCTGAGAGGTCCCAAGCCTTACTACGTGCAAGTTGGAGAAAGAGGAAAGCTGGTGTTGTAATTCCAGTATTTCCGAAGGCTGCGAACCAGAGAGTTCACCATGTAACTATCAGTCCAAGATCAAGGTCCTGAGAATATGGGACATCACTAGTGTCAGTTCCAGATATGAAGGTTCTGTCTTCTAAGAACCTAAGTTAGGGTGACAGAGAGCAGAAGAAGATGACTGCCCAGCTTGAGAGAGAGCAAATTCACCTTTCCTCTGTTATTTTTTTTCTACCTCTGGTGCTGTACAGTCTGAATCATCATGTCCACTCACATTGCTGAGGGTGGGTCTGCCGTCCTCAGTCCACCAGTTCAAAGGCCAGTCTATTCCAGAAACCTGCTCACAGGCACACACCTGGTATCCCTCAGATAGCTAAAGTTGCTGCCTAAAATTAATCATCACAATAGTGTTGTCTGAAATCAAATGGACGGGGTCCAGCACGTGTTGGTGTGTGCAGCAAATATATCATCCATACCAAGCCACTTGGTGGTAACAGCCAGGTGTTGGCTTCAAGGAAGGGCCTGATAGAGTAAATGGAAACTGTTCCACCAAAGCAGGGGTTCTTCAGGCATAGACTCTCTTGAGACCTATATGGCTGTCTACTAGTTTAAGCATTCTAACATTATGTATGCCCTATATCAAACCTCATAAAAGAGTTGATATGGCTGATAGACTATCATTACAGATTGAAAATTGGTTAAGGCCAGGCATAGTGGCTCATGTTTGTAATCCCAGCACTTTGGCAGGCTGAGGCAGGTAAATGGGTTGAGTTCAGGCATTTGAGACCAGCTGGGGCAACATGGTGAGACCTCTAACTTTGGAAAAAACTCAAACATTATTTGGGCATGATAGTATAGTACCAGCTACTTAGACAGCTGAGATGGGAGGATCATCTGAGCTTAGGGAGATCAAGGCTGCAGTGAGCTGTGATGGCACAACTGCACTGCAGCCTGGGTGACAGAGTTACACTCTGTCTCAAACAATTACAATAATAAGAAGTCAAGCAACATTTTGGTGCATATTTTAAATACTTCAAAAATACCAAGGCAAAGTTAAGAAGTAGCCAGTGTCACACATGGAATCTCTTCCTTTTAAGCTGGAAGTGGAATCACATGTTCTAACATTGGACTTCTGCTGCTGCATTTAGGTCTCATAAAGGGAACATACTTTGGGGTTGCAAATTCAGAAAGAAAACAAGGCTGTGATTGACTTTACCCTACTGCTGGAAATCTGGTTCCAAATAGTCCTTTGTCTCATACCCATTGTTCAAATCAAGAAACTGTTCATCGCTAAACCAAACCCTGGGATTAGCATTGACTCCCACACTTGAGGTTTTACATGCATGAAAAGACCAGGCTTAGAAAATTAGTTCAATAAAAAATAATAGATTTTTTGCCTATTTAGCTTGAAAATGGGGAGTTTAAAGATGATTGGCTAAATTATCTTCAAAATATTTTAATTGTATGCAGAAGATATTCATTCATTATCCTAAGTATAAAATGAATAAACAGACAGCTAAAACATATCCAGAAAGTATTTGGGTGTAAGTCAACCTAATTACAAGTTGATTATACATTAGTCAAGACTAATAAGGAAGACTGATTTCAGAATTTTCAGGTGTAAGTGTAAGTTTTTTTTTTTCCCTCACCATCTTCAGGTGTAAGAATAAGGTTTTTTTCATTTTAGGTTTTGTTTTCTTCTGTTTTTGAGACACAGCCTCACTCTATTATCCAGGCTGGGGTGTAGTGGTGCGACTGTGTCTCATTGCAGCCTCCAACTCCCAGGCTCAAGCCATCCTCCCATTTCAGACTCTTGAGTAGCTGGGACTAAGAGAGAACACCACCACACCTGGCTACTTTTTATATTTTTTGTACAGACAGGTTCTCCCTATGTTTCCTAGGCTGGTCTCAAACTCTTGACCTCAACCAATTCTCCAGCCTCAGCTTCCCAAAGTACTGAGATTACAGGTGTGAGCCACCATGTCCTGCAGGGAATAATTTTTTTTTTTTAAGGAAGAAAATGTTATTTGTCCTGAAAAACTTAGATATCTAGCCATCTTTAAAAAAGGAATTAAACTAGATAATCTATTTAGGTTTTATTCATGTATGTGTGAGCATCCATAAATATATGTTACTGCAAACAGATATCTGAGTTCCTAAACAGAATATGGCTTATTACTATGAAACACAATCAGTTTCCCAACATTTTTTTCATAAAATAGTTGACTCTTTATCTAGAAGATCTTTTCTGTATTTTTTCTTGGCCTTCCAAAAATAGCATAGAATGAAACAGAGAGCCATAACTGAGAGTATTAAGTGTCAGACTCAGCCTACACACCTATATGGGTGAACTATGACAGTCAGGCAAAGGTAATACACACCTGTCTTTGGAAGAAGAACTTACAATTGACCTTTGAACAACATGAGTTTGAACTGCATTGGAGGTCCTGAGACAGCAGGACCAACCCCTCCTCTTCATTCTCCTCCTCAGCCTCTTCAGTGTGAAGATGACGTGAGGAAGACCTTTACGATGATCCACTACTACTTGATAAACAGTAACTATATTTCATTTTTTTAGGATTTTCTTAATAACATTTTTTCTCTACCTTATTTTATTGTAACAACACAGTATATAGTATACATAACATACAAAATATGCGTTAGTTGACTCTCTATGTTATTGTAAGGCTTCTGGTCTTTTCAGCAGTATATTAACTGTTAAGTCTTGGAGGAGTTAAAAGTAATACATGGATTTTTGACTGCATGGGAGAGTAAGTGCCCCTAATCTCTACACTGTTCAAGGGTCATCTGTATATTGAAAATATAGTCTTTTTACCAATGAAAATATCTTTCACGTACTAATGCAAGATGAATGCTGCATAGACTCAACTATATTTTACTCCTTAAACCAAGACATATATATATACTTGGAAATTGTCACTGTATGGTATTGTAATACCTAACTCAGGATATATTGGCTGTTATAAAAAGTTCCTCCTGCCTGGTATGGTGGGCTCATGCCCGTAATTCCAACGCTTTGGGAGGCCCAGGTGGGAGGATCCCTTGAAGCCAGAAGTTTGAGACCAGCCTGGGCCACATTCGGAGACCCCATCTCTATAAAAAAAAAAAAAAAAAAAAAATTAAAAGTAGCCAGGCTTGGTGGTGCACACCTGTAGTCACAACTACTTGGGAGGCTGAGGTGGGAGGACCCCTTGAGCCCAGGAGTTCAAGGCTGCAGTGAGCTATGATCACACCACTGCACTCCAGCTTCGGTGACAGAGCAAGATGAGAGAGAGAGAGAGAGAGAGATGGAGAGAGAGAGGGAGAGGGAGAGGGAAGTTTCTCCTGTATAATTATTTTTAATATGAGAAAAAGAGACAGAGGGAGAGAGTGAGGAGGGGAGACAGAGAGAGGAAGGAAAGAAGGAAGGAAGGAAGGAAGGAGAGAGAGAGAGAAAGTTTCTCCTCAATAATTTTGTTTTTTGTTTTGAGACAGAGTCTCACTCTGTAGCCCAGGCTTGAGTGCAGCGGTGCAATCTCGGCTCTCAGCAGCCTCCATCTCCCAGGTTTAAGTGATTATTCTGCCTCAGTCTCTGGAGTAGATGGGACTACAGGAACATGCCACCATGCTGGGCTAATTTTTGTATTTTTTTTTTTAGTAGAGATGGAGTTGCACCATATTGGCCAGGCTGGTCTTGAACTCTTAACCTCATGATCTGCCCACCTTGGCCTCCCAAAGTGCTGCAATTACAGGCATGAGACACTGTCACTGGCCAATTATTTTTAATATAACCCAAATAGTGACCAACTATAAAGAGAAGGCAGAAAATAGTGCCAAAACCTTTTCTCACCTTTAGAGATAAAATGCCCTTGTTGGTATGGTCTGTTCTTTTAAGTCTGTTGTCATTTGGTATTAGAAAGAGAAATTTAACATATGGAGTTTCTCGTGGAAACTTCCTTTGAACTGGTTTCGCTTGGGTTCATTTGATAAATTTACATCTGTTTATTTTTTACGCCTCCAAATGTAACCACACAACCACCTATTTATTTATTTATTTTACTTTTTTGGGATGGAGTTTCACTCTGCCATCCAGGCTGGAGTGCAGTAGTGCAATCTCTGCTCACTGCAGCCTCTGACTCCTGGGTTTAAAAGATTCTCCTGACAGCCTCCCGCGTAGCTGGGACTACAGTGGCTATTTTTTTTTTTTTGCATTTTTAATAGATAACGGGGTTTCATCATGTTGACAAAGCTGGTCTCCAATTCCTGACCTCAGGTGATCCACCCATCTCGGCCTCCCAAAGTCCTGGGATTCCAGGCATGAGCTACTGTGCCCAGCCACAAATACCAATTTAAACCATGGGTTCTGTGTCTGTGGTTGTCTGAGGTACCTCAAATCCTTATTTTTCAAATGAATAGTTTTTGCTCTAGCCAGTTTCCTACCTTTCCACAGTAAAGAGCTTAGACACAAGATCAGGCATTCAAAGTTTTATTGTTTTTCTTTAATACTAAATGACACAATATAACACCATCCAGGCCTGCAGCTCTCAATAAAGCTAAATGTGATTTTGTTTGAAATGACAGGATCCACCAATGCATTCAACAGCCTTCTACATGTCTGAGGTCAGGAAGTTGTCTTAAAGAAGACAAATCCCTTCTAAGAGAAAAAAATAAAATAATTTTTTTTTTGATTCTTAAATTTATATAGCTGGACTATCAAATAAAAACATGAAGGATAAAAAGAAAAATCTACCAGCTGCTACACACCAGATGATAAAAATGTGAGAGATTCTGAATATTCAGCTTACGGAGGACAAAGTGCAGCTAAAATACAATGAAATGTGCTCCTTTTCACTTGAAAGATGTTAAACCACTTTCATAAAAGGTTAAGGCTTTACAACTATGTATTAATTTTCAAATCTCTTAAACAGCATCTTGAGTTGTTGAAAATATCAAGGAATTTTTGCTTTCTACTGAGATTTTTCCTTGCAAGGTCAAAAGCATGATCAGTCTCTTCTTAGGAGTTACTCAAGCGTCCATAAAACCTTATTGTTAACACTAGGCCCTGTGACATACAGCAGATCTTCAGAACTTACTCATCTCAAGTAACTTAACTGTAGATCAGTATCTCCCTTTTCACTCTCCTCACCTTCCCTAGCAACCACCATTCTGTTTTCTACGTCTCTAAGTTTGACTGTTTTACGCACCTCATATGAATAGTGTATACAAAAAAACTTGCTTCAAACTGTGTTTTACCTCTGCTCTTAAACTACAAAACATCATCAACACATAAGCAGCATTCTGTGACTAAATGTATGACCTTTCAAGAAAAAGAGTCAAACTCTGTAAAATATTTGAAGAGATTTATTCTGAGCCAAATATGAGTGACCATGGCCTGTGACACAGCCCTCAGGAAGTCCTGAGAACATGAGCCCAAGGTGGTTGGGGCGCAGCTTGGTTTTAAACATTTTAGAGAGGCATGAGACATCAAACTGTTACACACGTCCATGTGAAGGGAGTCCACCAACAGGCTTTGTGTGAGCAACAAGGCTGTTTATTTTACCTGGGTACAGGCAGGCAGAGTCCAAAAAAGTAGTCAGCAAAGGGTGGTGGGATTAACATTAGTTGTTACAGGTTTGGGATAGCAGTACAAAGTACGTTCTCACGGGCAGGGAGAATATTACAAAGTGACTTCTTAAGGGCTTAAGGTGGGCAAGGTGGGGGCGGGGGCAGGGGAAGAATATTACAAAGTACCTTAAGGACAGAGGAGAATATATCTTTTCAGTTAGGGTGGGACAGGAACAAATCACAATGGTGGAATGCCATCAGTTAAGGCTATTTTCACTTCTTTTGTGGATCTTCAGTTGCTTTAGACCATCTGGATGTATACATGCAGACCACAGTGGATATGATGGCTTTGCTTGTGCTCAGAGGCCTGACATTCCTGTCTTGTTATATTAATAACAAAAACAAAACAAAATGGTGGTGAAGTGTTGGAGTGGCGAAAACTTTGTGGAGATGGTACGGGGAGACAATGGGCAATGTTTCTCAGGGCTGCTTTTAGCAGAATTAGGGTGATGTGAGAACCTAGAGTGGGTAAGCTTAAACTGAAGAGCTGCTTTGAGCGGGATTAGGGGCAGTGTGGGAACCTACAGCGGGAGAGATTAAACTGAAGAAAGATTTTAGGGTAGGGTGTGATGTTGTGGGGTGGTCAGAAGGAGCATTTTTTGTATAGAATGATTGGTGATGGCCTGGATGTGGTTTTGTAAGAATTGAGAAACTAAACGGAAGACTCAAGGTCCGAATAAGAGAAGGAGAAAAATAGGTATTAACTAAGACTTGGGAGGACCCAGGACATCCAATTAGAGAGTGCCCAAGGGGGTTCAGTATAATTATTTGGTAGCTGGTGAGTTTTAGGGCTCTATCTTTGAGTTTTTTTATGTTGTCATATACCAGGCCAGATTGATTCAGGTAAAAACAACACACTTCATTTAAAAATATACAGAGTCCCCTTTTCTTAGCAGTGAGTAAGTCGAGGCCTCAGCGATTTTGGAGGAAAGAGAAATGCAAAGCCAGCAATTGTTTGTTAAAGAAGGATTAGAAAAGGCTGGAAAAAGTGAGCGAGATTGATAGTGTGGTGGAGATAGCTGGGGAGAGGTAAAGGGTGGCATAAGAACAGGAATGAGAATAAGAGTGAGTATAAAAGGAAAGAATAGGACTTCATCAGGGTGAAAGTGTTGGAGGGTGCCCTATCAGAAAAGATCATCTGTCCACTCCAAGAGGGAGTCAAGATTGGTGGACTGGGGATAGTACCAGGAGATATCTGCTGCAATGATTTGGAGGAAAAGTGTAAACCAGCAGTGGAAACAAGGGCAGGGTGAATAGGAGTATAACTAGACAGAAGATAGTAGGGATGACAAGTTTTTGGGGAGCAGTCCAAGTAGTGGAGGTGACTGCGTAAAGCCCTGTTGCAAAAAGTAGGGTAAGGACCAATAGACCTAATAGAATGAAGGGATGTATTAGGCTCATAAGGGTTATTACTGTTCTTCAGAAATGCGAGTGAGTTTAAGGGAAGTAGAGGAGAGTACTTGTGACTTCCAGGAGGAAGATGAGAGATCAGGCTGGCTGTCTGATGGACACAGCTTTATTTTGGAATGGTGAACCCAATGGGGAGGGTCCTGCAGGCAGATGGCAGCTGGGGTACGATAGATGACTAAGTAGGGTCTGGTCCATCAAGGCTGTAGAGTTTGAGGGGTCAGATTCTTAATAAGAACTGATCGTCCAGCTAGGGTCTCTTCCTATGGCTGGGAATCTGGAGTAGGCAAGAGATTAGCAGCCTGGCAAATTTGCTGTCTAGCCTGCTGGAGGACCAGTAGAGTCACCTAGAGGGCTGTTGTCTAGGACAAGGTTGGGGCCGAGCAAGAAAGTGTGTCTATATAAAAGTACAAATGGGCTGTACTATGTAGCATCTCGAGAATAGGCTCTAATTCTGAGAAGGGCAAGAGATAAAAGTACTGTCCAGTCCTTTTTTAAGTTGGAGGCTGAGCTTGGTGAGTTGTGTCTTTAAAAGACCATTAGTCCACTCTACCTTTCCCAAAGATTGAGGACGGTAAGGGATATGAAGTTTCCACTGAATACCAAGAGCCTGAGAAACTGCTTGGGCGATTTGACTAATAAAGGCTGGTCTGTTATCGGACTGTATAGAGGTGGGAAGGCCAAACCGAGGAATTATGTCTGACAGAAGGGAAGAAATGACCGCAATAGCCTTCTCAGACCCTGTGGGAAAGGCCTCTACCCATCCAGTGAAAGTGTCTATCCAGACCAAGAGGTATTTTAGTTTCCTGATTCCAGGTATGAGAGTAAAGTCAATTTCCCAGTCTTGGGCAGGGGCAAATCCCTGAGCTTCATGTGCAGGGAAGGGAGGGGGCCTAAGCAATCCCTAAGGCATACTAGAATAGCAGATGGGAGTACTGAGAAGTGATTTCCTTGAGGATAGATGTATACGATGGAAAGGACATGAGAGGTTCTAAGAGGCAGGCTAGCAGCTTGTAACCTACATGGAAGAGGTTATGAAATGACAACAGAATAGAATGGGCCTGTGAGGCTGGAAGGAGATATTTTCCTTGGTCCAAGAACAATTTGCCTTGTGTGGGAAGAGACTGATAGGTGGAAGTTTCAGTGGGACAGTAGGTGGGAGAGACCAATGAGGAGAAAAACCGGCTGTAAGGGACAGAAGTTGGAACACTAGCTGCTTCTTTAGCTACCTTAACAGTGTAAGTGTTGCCCTTGGTGATGGGATCTGATGCCTTTTGATGGCCCTTGCAGTGAATGACTCCAGCTTCCTTTGGAAGTAAAGTGGCCTTGAGAAGAGTTTTTAATAAAGAGGTATTAATGATGGAGGACCCTTGCATAGTGAGGAAACCTCTTTCAGCCCATATAACAGCATGGCGGTGCAGGATATGGAATGCATATTTAGAGTCAGTAGAAATATTGATGCGTAGTCCCCTTGCAAGAGTGAGGTCCCGAGTTAAGACAATGAGTTCGGCTTGCTGAGAGGTAGTGGAGGGCAGCAGAGCACTAGCCTCAATGATAGATGTGGATGATATTATAGTATAGCCTGCCTTTGCTGGTGAGTGGCAATTAGGCCTGGTGGAACTGCCATCAATAAACCAAGTGTGATCAGGGTGAGGGACAGGAAAGAAGGAAATATGGGGAAAAGGAGTGAATGTCAGGTGGATCAGAGAGATACAGTCACGGGCATCAGGTGTGCTATCTGGAATAATGTGGCAGGCCGGATTGAAGTCTGGGCCAGAACAGTGGTAACTGTGGGAGACTCAACAAAGAGTGAGTATAGCTGAAGGAGCTGGGGAGAAGAAAGTATATGTCAGGTGTGAGGAAGGAAATAGATTTTGGAAGTTATGAGAACTGCCTTGATTCTTCACCTTGGTGGCAAGCACCAACTCCCCTGGGGGGCTTTAGATTTCACAGACTAAGGACTCCATTCCCAAGACTGCCCCGCCCCACACACATCAGTCACAAGTCTGGGCTTCTAGAAATTCTGCCCAACCACCTTCAAATTGGGGTTCCCGCAAACCTCTCTTTGTATTCAATTAATTTGCTGGAGTAACTCACAAAACTCAAGTTACTGCTTAATTACACTTACTGGTTTATTACAAAGGATATCCTATTCCTTACTTTTATACTCAATCTTTTTCTTATGCCACCCTCTACCTCTCCCCAGCTATCTCCACCACACTATTAATCTCACTCACTCTCTCCTACCCTTTTCTAATACAGATAAGAACATGTGTAGGGCAAGATTTGGAGGTGGGAACCAAAAATAAAATTGTGAGTTCCCCCCAGCCACCTGAATGGACTTTCTCCTGGGCCAGGGGACTCTAAAATTTAACCTGAAAGACTGTTTCAGACCACGATGGGAAGTGGGGCTTGGAGATACCTCATTATAGCCGTTCAGCATTAACATCAACACAGACCTTAAGTCTGATAGGAAACATTTACAATCTATTCTCTCTGAAGCCTGCTACATGGAGGCTTCCACTGCATAATAAAACCTAAGTCTCCACAACCCCTTATCTTAAGCCAGACATCACTTTCTATTGATAGTAACTCTGTCAACCAATTGCCAATCAGAATATGTTTAAATCTATCTATGACCTGGATGCCCCCAACCCCTTTGAGGTAACCGACCATTCTAGATAAAACCAATGTGTTTCTTAAATGTATTTGATTGATGTCTCATGTCTCCCTAAAATGTATAAAACCAGGCTGCACCCCAGCCACCTTGGGCACATGTTCAGGACCTCCTGGGGCTGTGTCACAAGGCATGGTCACTCATATTTGGCTCAGAATAAATCTCTTCAAGTATTTTACAGAGTCTGACTCTTTTTATTGACAGGGAGGGGGCACAGAGCTTCCATGTCCTCCCTGCAGCACCGCCCTCCAGGAACCTCCATGTGTTCAGCTTCTGGAAGCTCCCTGAACCCTGTCCTCTTGGGGTTTTATGAAAGCTTCATAACATCAGCACTTCTTCCTCCAGGGAATAAGGTGGGACCTCTCTCATGACAAGGTCTTAAGTCTCACAATCAGAAAGGCTATGAGAGGCCTGCTTCTGAGCCCTGATAAATGCAATATTATAACAAAAGACTGTAAACAGGGCTATGGGAGTTACGGGCCAGGAACCATGAATGAAAACCAGCATGTATCATCATAACACAAATGGAATCGGGCAGAATTTCATACACTTAAAAATTTGTTAAGAGGGTAGATCTCATGTTATGTATTCTTACCACACACACTGTCAATGGAAAAAGTCAAACTCTGTAAAATATTTGAAGATATTTATTCTTAGCCAAATGTGAGTGACCACATCCCATGACACAGCCCTTAGGAAGTCCTGAGAATATGTGCTCAAGGTGGTCGAGTGCTTTATGTATTTTAGGGAGGCATGAGACCTCAATCAAATAAATATATTTGAGAAATATATTGGTTTAGTCCAGAAAGGTGAGACAAGTCAAGCAGGGCATGGAGGAGAGGGCTTCCAAGCTACAGGTAAATATAAACATTTTCTGGTTGACAATTGTTTGAGTTTGTCTAAAGACCTGGGATTAACAGAAAGGAAATGTTGAGGTTAGGATAAATGATTGTGGAGACCAAGATTCGTTTGAAGTATCATAGTGGCTGCCTT
Organism: Homo sapiens; assembly: GCF_000001405.40. Classification (NCBI taxonomy): domain Eukaryota; kingdom Metazoa; phylum Chordata; class Mammalia; order Primates; family Hominidae; genus Homo; species Homo sapiens. Next base: position 18,950,136 of record NC_000024.10, read on the forward strand.
TAGAGACAATACATGACTATTTCCTATTCAGACCTTTAAAAGGTTCTAGACTCTCAGTTAATCTCTTTAGGATAGGGAGGGCCTGGAAGATCTAGTTTTGTTAACAGAGATTCTCTGCAGATGCAAATTTTCTTCCACAAAGGATGGCTTTGCAGGGCCATTTCTAAATATGCCAAATAAACATGTTTTCGGGTAAAATAATTTTATTTTTTTCTTCATCATGTAATGTTACACCCGAGTCAGACTGGAAGGTAAGTCTGATATATAGGGTTAAGTAAAACTCATAGAATGAGAATTTATGTTTTATAGAGCATGACACCCCAGGCCTATTACATAGGAATTTGCGCAAGATTTAAAACAAAACAAAACAAAAAAATCAGAAAATTAGTACACACACACACACACACACACACACACACACACAAGAAAATTCTAAAAAACAAAAAAGACACAAAGAACTTTGGAGATGATGGATATATTTCTTATCTTGATAGTAATGACAGTATTGAGGCAGGATAGGTAGTCAAGGAAGTGACTATGTAATCAACTCAATAAACCTCAGCATTCACAATGTCCTTGGGCTCATTCAAGCTTAGCTATCTTCAATAGGCACTTTTCATTCTAGAGAGCATGTGCATTTTGATGTTACCTGTCCTCAAAGTGACCCTTTGCTCATTTTAAGAGTGAAAAACACACCCTTTGGTGCACCCAGAGGAACACCCAGAACATGCTTACTAGTAACACCTCTGACTCCCATAAAAGGAGTCCCTTCCCTTCCCTCCTGTTCCCTCTGCTCCCCTTCCCTTCCTTTTGTTTTTAAATGGAATCTCATTGTTTCACCCAGGCTGGAGTGCAGTGGCATGATCTGAGCTCACTGCAAACTCCGCCTCCTAGGTTCATATAATTCTCCTGCCTCAGCCCCCGAGTAGTTGGGGGTACAGGCCACATTACCACGCCTGGCTAATTTTCGTCTATTTTTAGTAGACACGGGTTTCACCATGTTGTTCAGGCTGGTCTCAATTTCCTGACCTCATGATCCACCTGCCTTGGCCTCCTTAAGTGCTGGGATTACAGGTGTGAGTCACTACTCCTGGTCCAAAATGAGTTTCACCAGCAATAATCAATGCTGTCTCACTCTTAGGAGCAGCCAGCCCTGAAATCTCTCTCTCTCTCAGGGTGTACTGTCTATTCTTAGGCTGACTTTCAAAATATTCTTTTTCCTTTGCAATAAATTACTCTACACTGCATCTCCTTTGCTGTGTGTCTCTTGCTTCTTTTAAACTGAGAAGACAAGAACTGAAGTTTCACAACAGCTGTCCCCAATAACATCCAAACTCATTAAACTGTATATATTAAATATGTGCCTCTTTTGCATTTCAACTATACCTCAATAAAGCTGTTTTAAAAAAAGAGCTACTTCAGAAAATTCTCCAAATATAATGATAAAAACATAAAAAACAAACAAAAACAGTGCATTCCTATTTACTTGCTAGAGTTTTGAACACCTAGCTAGAACTAACATTTTCTATCAAGTGTATGTCAGCAATGATGTCCATTTCCTCAAAGTGTGGGAGAGACCACGGCTTCATTCTGACACATAGGTGCACATATTCTAGAATCTGATCAGCAAATGAACGTTGGTGTGGTGAGCAGAAAATTTGTATAGACAAGGAGTATTGATTGCAATGTGGTGAAACAGGTCTGACAGGTTTGTTTTGCCTTTCACGATGGGTGTCCACCAAGTTGTTTTCCTCCTTCATCTCTCTGACACATGCAGACCCATGCACTTATTCCCTGTTCGCTCTGCCCTTATTTTGCCTCAGCATGACCATATGTATCTGGCTTCACTCTCACAGCTAATGAATAAACCCAAAGGTCCCCACTGAGCCTGCGAGATTAATTAAGCTGCTGACTTATGGCTCCAGCAGAGCAAACCCCCTGAGCGTTCCCCAATATCAGCAGTACAGACTGTGATCAAGTCACTGATAATAACAGTATCTCTTCTTGTCTAACTACTGAGGTTTGTATTCATCCTTATTTGTTTATTTTTGTCCAAGTGGAAGACAACCATTCAGGTTCTTTGGTGTCTATCTCCACAGGGCAAGAACTCCCCCTACTGCCCCAAAATTTATCTTTTCTTTTTATGAAAGGCACACAGTAATTAGCCCTGTGAATTTATTATTTATTTATTTTTCTGTTTGAGAATGCACATGTATTAGAATGATCTGGACATGCCACAGGAGGGGCAGACAGTTTCTAAATTCAAGCCTTTGTAGAATTTTTCTCGATATCACAGATTTTAATGCTCCATCCCAACAGACTTTTTCAAAATGTATCTCCCTGTTGGATTGTCTTAACTATGAAGTTGCTAATGCTTGGAAAACATCTCAGGTGCAAAATTTTCCTTCATTTTGATATCATTAATATATCTATTAATCTTAATATCACAAAGAAATCATTAATATATGTATTAGAATTGTTAGACTGTATTAGAATAATGTAATAAAGCACTTCGCCCATTATGAATTATTTGAGAATTTAGTTTTCCTGGCTCTTTCTTACATATTTGTTCCATCGCCAAAGAAGTTCATTATTTTTAGAGGCCCTTAATTTTTGAAGTCTCACCCTGCAAAATCGTATAGTCAATGAAGAAGCATTTGTGAGTCCTACACAATTTTACCAAGCTACATTTTAGTTTCTGTGATATATCAAAGTAACACAAGAAATGTTTCTACCCTCAAAGCAGCAAGGGAGAAAAACAAACATACATTAATCAGTTTATTGTGAAAAGTTTAATTAAAGAAAAATTGGAGTCAATGTAAGCTGAGGACCTAAGAAAAACTTACAGGATGACATCTTTTCAAGAAAAGTAGGAGGACACTCCTGGGAGCAATGAAAGGAATGCATTTTGCATTTGGAAAGGATGTACACCATTAATCGTCAGAGGTTGACAGTGGTTAGCAGAATTTTTAAGATAGTTGCCATGGTTTTGACTTCCTGGAGTGAATGCCTGGTATGAATATAATGGGCTAATCAATCCCTTGATTAAGGTACATTATATGAGTCTTTAAAAAACAAAAACTTTCAAGCCTTCGCTGAGGGAGAAATTCAAAGTAGTTAAAATTCTCTTGCTGGCCTTGAAAAAGCAAACAGCCATGCTTTAAACCGCCTAAAAAGAGATCTGCAGGGCAATGACCTGGGGGCATCCTCTAGGAGCTGAGTGTGATCCTCAGACAACAGTCAGCAAGGAAACAGACACCTCAGTCTTCCAGCTTCAGTAAATCCATTTTTTTCCAATTACCTGAGGGAACTTGAATGCAATCCTTTCTTTACATTAGTTGGGCTTCCATAAAAGACACAGGCAAGCAAGGCACGGTGGCTCACGCCTGTAATCCCAACACTTTGGGAGGCAGAAGGAGATGAATTGCTTGAGGTCAGGAATTGAGATCATCCTGGGCAACATGGGAAAACCCGGCGTTACACAAAATACAAAAAATTAGCCAAATGAGTTGCCACATGCCTGTAGTCCCAGCTACTCTGGAGGCTAGGATGGGAGGATCACATGGTCCCAGGAGGTTGAGGCTGTAGTGAGCTGTGATCTCCACACTGCACTGCAACCTGATTGACATAGCAAGACCCTGTCTCAAAAGTATTTTAAAAATTTTCAGATATTGGCCGGGCAGGGTGGCTCACACCTGTAATCCCAGAACTTTTGGAGGCTGAGCAGGGTGGGTCACGAGGTCAGGAGTTGGAGACAAGCCTGGTCAATATGGTAAAACCCCATTTCTACTAAAACTACAAAAATTAGGCGGGCATGGTGGTGGGCACCTGTAATCCCAGCTATTTGGGAGGCTGAGGCAGGAGAATCACTTGAACACAGGAGGCAGAGGTTGCAGTGAGCTGTGATTGCACCATTGCACTCCAGCCTGGGTGACAGAGTCAGACTCCATTTCAAAAATAAAATTGAACTAAAATAAAATAACATACATAACATAACGTAACATAACATAACATAAATAAAATAAAATAACATAAAATAAAAAATATAAAATAAAATCCAGATACTCGTTACACAGCAACAGAAGAGTAATACAATGTAACGACATCACAGTAGAAGACAGAAGATCTATTCGTCAAATATTAGGGTGAACAGGAAGAAGGATGGAATGACTCAGTAGGATTTCAGTTAACAGAGGTATTCAAAGACCAGAACAAAACTTCATTTTTTATTGTCTGCCTTTTCTAACTGTTTAAACTAGCTCAAACCATGAGTGGAGCTTGGTCTCCTCTGTATACAGAATAATGGTGATGAGTTTGCATCAAATTCCCCATTCACTCTGTTTTGACCAACAAAACATACGGTGATGAGGATATCTGGTCTTGCGTATGGCACCATTATCTTTGAGTGGAGAAAGTAACTGTACGCATTTGTTTTTAGCTCTGTCTTGGCTACTATTACACATAAAAGGCTTCACTTATGCCCCCCCACTCCATAACAGGCATCTCTTTCCAAACACATCTCATTTTCAATTATATATTTTGGCAGATCTCAAGATCTCCTGGCACTATATTAGCACCATGATTGCATTTGAATGAGAAGCAACCTAAATGTACATGAATGTGGACTGCATAAAGAAAATGCGGTCCATATATATCATGGAATACTATGTAATCCATATACATCATGGAATACTATGCAGCCATAAAAAATGAGAAGATGTCCTTTGCAGGTGAACAGATGGAGCCCAAGGTCATTATCCTTGGCAAACTAATGCAGGAACAGATAATCAAATAACACATGTTCCCACTTATAAGTAACGGTTAAATTATGAGAACACATGGATACAGAGATGGGAAGAACAGACACTAGGCCTTACTTGAGGTTGGAGATTGGGATGAGGGAGAGGATGAGGGAAAATAACTAATGAGTAACAGGCTTAACACCTGGATAATGAAATTATCTGTACAACAACCCCCCACAACACAAGTTTACATATGTAACAGACCTGCACATGCACTGCTGAACCTAAAAATTTTAAAGAACATTTTTCTACTTTGTTTTATTGCCACAGCAAATTATTTGATATTCATCATTGCTGAGTTTATTGAATGTTGTGCTGTCCATGCTAGCTCTGAGTTAAGTGGCTTTTTGAGGTTTCTTTTAGCCAATCTGGTTTTGACATAGAAAGCAAAACCCCATGACTCTTGTGTTCTGTACCATAAGGTTCTTCTATTTCCAAAAAAAAAAAAAAGTCCTTTGATATAAGCTCCTTGACCATTCAGATTTGAGACTATTTCTTCATGTCTGTTTGTTTGTTTGTTTTTTGAGACAGGGTTTCACTCTGTCTCTGAGGCTGGAGTGCAATGCTGTGACCTTGGCTCCCTGCAACCTTGACCTCCCGGACTCAACCTATGCTCCCACCTCAGCCTCCTGAGCAACTGGGACTACAGGTGTACGGCAGCACTCACAGCTAATTTTTGTATTTTTCTGTAGAAATGAAGTCTCACTGTGTTGCACAGGCTGGTCTCACACTCCTGGGCTCAAGTGATCCTCCTACCTGGGCCTCCCAAGGTGTTGAGATTAAAGGTGTGAGCCACCGCCCCTTGCCCGGAGGTGTAATTTTTGAAGGTAGTGGATTACCCCATTTTGAAGAGGCTACCGTTGAGATTTCCAGTGTATTCTGTTGAAGTCCAGATATTAGCAGTACTGACATTGGACACCTACTATATCTTACAACAAGACTGAGAGAATGACTGTTTAACTTGATTTACCTATGAATGTAAATGTCATGTGGGCCAACCTGTCACCCCTGCTCGGTAATATTTTTGGTATCTTCCATTGGTTATTTTTGGACCATAGCTTTTACTCAGTATTTCATTTGCTGTCTGCCAACCCACCTGATGATAACAAGCCTGTGGTCCAGTTTGCTTATGAAAAATTAACTGCTCCACTTTTTAGTTTAACTCAGTTACTGTTGCTGCTGTTGAACTGCTGGGTTTTATAGTAAACAAGGAAAAATTAAAATCATCTTCCAATTTAACGTTGGCCGGCCCCAAAGTTATAACATATTTTATAACACTCAATCTCCAAACCATAGATCTCAGGAGATGGTAAATCAAGGGGTCATGTTACCTGTACACACACACACACACACACACACACACACACACACACACACACAGAAACCTAGACAGACCTTGACAGATTAAGAAATACTTAAATGTCTCCTCATATTAAGAATGAAAAAACTTCTAGTGGAAATAACATTAACTTAGATGTCAGGAGATCCAAATTAGTCCTGACTTACACACTTTCTAGATATGTGATTGTGAGCAAATCAGTCACCACTAATTATGCTAATGTTTTACATTTGTGGAAAAAAATAAATTATAATGCTAATATGGCCAGTCATGACAGCTCATGCCTTTGATCCCAGCACTTTGGGAGGTCCAAGCAGGAGAATCACTTGAGCCCAGGAGGTGGAGACCAGGCTGGGCAACATAGTGAGACACTGTCTCCATAAAAAAATTAAAAATAAATAAATAAATTAGCTGGGTGTGGTGATGCATCTGTAATTCCAGCTACTTGGAAGGCTAGGGCAGGAGGATCACTTGAACCTGGGAAGTAGAGGCTTCAGACAGGTATAATTGCACCACTGCACTCCAGCTTGGACAATAGAGCAAGACCCTATCTCAAAAAAATATATAGACAGTCTAGAGTGGACCTCCAGCAAATTCCAGCAGCCCTGCAGCAGAGGGGCCTGATGGTTTGAAGGAAAACTAACAAACACAGAAATAGCATTAACATCAACAAAAAAAAGTCCACACAGGAACCCCATCCGAAGGACACCGACATCAAAGACCAAAAGTAGATAAATCCATGAAGATGAGGAAAAGCCAGCACAGTAAGGCTAAAAATTCCAAAAACAAAAAAATCAGAACTGCTCTTCTCCTCCAAAGGATCACAACTCCTCACCAGCAAGGGAATAAAACTGGATGCAGAATGAGTTTGATGAATTAACAGAAGTAGGCTTCAGAAGGTGGATAATAAGAAACTCCTCCGAGCTAAAACCCAATGCTAGCAAGCTAAGAACCTTGAAAAAAATATTAGAGGAATTGCTAACTAGAATAACCAGTTTAAAGGAGAATATAAATGACTTGATGGGCCTGAAAAACACAGCACAAGAACTTTGTGAAGCATACACAAATATCAACAGCTGAACTGATCAAGCGGAAGAAAGGATATCAGAGATTGAAGATCAACTTAATGAAATAAAGTGTGAAGACAAGATTAGAGAAAAAAGAATGAAAAAGACCAAATAACAATGCCTCCAAAAAATATGGGACTATGTGAAAACTTCAAACCTCCGTCTGATTGGTATACCAGAAAGTGATGAGGAGAATGGAACCAAGTTGGAAAACACTCTTCAGGATATTATCCGGGAGAACTTCCCCAAATTAGCAAGACAAGCCAGCATTCAAATTCAGGAAATACAGAAAACCCCACAAATATACTCCTTGAAAAGAGCAACCCCAAGAAACATAATCATCAGATTCACCAAGGTGGAAATGAAGGAAAAAATGTTTAGGGCAGCCAGAGAGAAAGGATGGGTTACCTGCAAACGGTAGCTCATCAGACTAACAGTGGATCTCTCTGCAGAAACACTATAAGCCAGAAGAGAGTGGGGGCCAATATTAAAAGTCTTAATGAAAATATTTTCAACCCAGAATTTCATGTCCAGCCAAACTAAGCTTCATAAGTGAGAAGAAATAAAATCCTTTACAGACAAGCAAATGCTGAGAGATTTTGTCACCACCAGGCCTGTCTTAACAAGAGCTCCTGAAAGAAATACTAAATATGGAAAGGAAAAACCGGTAGCAGCCACTGCAAAAACATAAACTGTAAAGATCATCAAGATTAGAGAAAAAAGAATGAAAAAGACTGAACAACAATGCCTTCAAGAAATATGGGACTATGTGAAAACACCAAACCTCCGTTTGACTGGTACACCAGAAAGTGACGAGGAGAATGGAACCAAGTTGGAAAACACTCTTCAGGATATTATCCAGGAGAACTTCCCCAAATTAGCAAGACAAGCAGTTTCTAAGAAGAAACTGCATCAAATAATGGGCAAAATAACCAGTTAGCATCATCATGACAGGATTAAATTCACACATAACAATATTAACCTTAAATGTAAATGGGCTAAATGCCCCAATTAAAAGACACAGATGGGCAAATTGGATAAGGAGTCAAGACCCATGAGTGTGCTGCATTCAGGAACCCCATCTCAGGTGCAAAGACACACACAGGCATTAAAAAAAAAAAAAAAAGATGGAGGAATATTTTGTTGCGGGAAGTCAGGAACCCGGAATGGAGGGACTGGCTGAAGCCATGGCAGAAGAACATAAATTGTGAAGATTTCATGGACATTTATTAGTTCCCCAAATTACTACTTTTATAATTTCTTATGCCTGTCTTTACTGCAGTCTCTGAACATAAACTGTAAAGATTTCATGGACATTTATCACTTCCCCAATCAATACTCCTATAATTTCCTATGCCTGTCTTTAATCTCTTAATCACATCATCTTCATAAGCTGAGGATGGATGTTGCCTCAGATCCCTGTGATGACTGCGTTACCTGCACAAATTGTTTGTAAAACATGTGTGTTTGAGCGTTATGAAATCTGGGCAGCTTGAAAAAGAACAGGATAACAGCAATGTTCAGGGAACAAAGGAGATAACCATAAGGTCTGACTGCCTGCAGGGCTGGGCAAGACAGAGTCATATTTTTCTTATTGCAGAAAACGAGTAGGAGAAATATCTCTGAATTCTTTTTCCAGTAAGGAATAACCCTGGGAAGGGAATGCATTCCCACGGGGGGCCTATGGACGGCCACTCTGGGGTTGTCTGCCTTATGTGGTTGAAGATAAGGGATGAAATACTCCCTGGTGTGCAGTGCCTCCAGGCTTGCTAGGATTAGGAAATTCCAGCCTGGGGAATTCTAGTCCAATAGGTTCTCTGCTCTTGAACACTGTTTCCTGTTATGATGTTTATCAACGACAATGTGTGCACAGTGGGACATGAAACCTCATCAGTAATTCTAATTTCGCCCTGGCCTTGTGACCTTGCTCTGCCCTTCTGCCTTGGTGATCTTTTACTGCCATTTGAAGCATGTGATCTCTGTGACCCACTCTGTATTCATACACCCTTCCCTTTTTGAAATCCCTAATAAAAACTTGCTGGTTTTGTGGCTCAGGGGCATCATGGAACCTGCTGACATGTGATGTCACCCCCGGAGACCCAGCTGTAAAATTTGACCACATAGTTGGAAGTAAAACACTCCTCACCAATGCAAGAGAATGGAAATCAAAATGAATGGTCTCTCAGACCACAGTGCAATCAAGTTAGAATTCAGAAATAAGAAACTCATTCAAAATCACACGGCTACATGGAAACTGAACAATCTACTCCTGAATAATGGATACATAATAAAATTAAGCCAGAAATGAATACGTTCTTTCAAACCAATGAGAACAAAGACACAACGTACCAGAATCTCTGGGACAAAGCTAAAGCAGTGTTTAGTGGGAAATTTATAGCACTAAATGCCCACAAAAGAAAGCAGGAAAGATATAAACACCCTATCATTACAATTAAAAGAACTAGAGAATAAGAGCAAACAAATTCAAAAGCTAGCAGAAGCCAAGAAATAACTAAGATAAGAGCAGAACTGAAGGAGATAGAAACACAAAAACCCCTTCAAAAACAATAGTGAATCTGGGAGCTGGTGTTTTGAAAAGATCCACAAAATAGATAGACTGCTGGCCATACTAATAAAGAAGAAAATAGAGAAGAGTAAAATAGACACAACAAAAAATGATAAAGTAGATATCACCACTGATCCCACAGAAATACAAACTACCATCAGAGAATACTATAAACATCTCTATGCAAATATACTAGAAAATCTAGAAAAAAACAGATAAGTTACCAGACAAATATACCTTACCAAAACAAGACCAGAAGTCAAATGCCTGAATAGGCCAATAACAAGTTCTGTAATTGAGGCAGGAACTAATAGCCTACTAACAATAAAAGCACAAAACCAGAGGCATTCACAGCTGAATTCTGCCGGAGGTACAAAAAGGAGCTGGTACCATTCCTTCTGAAACTATTCCAAACAGTGAAAAAGAGGGACTCATCTTTAACTCATTTTATGAGGCTAGCATAATCCTGATATCAAAACCTGGCAGAGACATAACAAAAAAATAAAATTTCAGGTCAATATCCCTGATGAACATCAATGTGAAAATCCTCAATAAAATACTGGCAAACTGAATCCAGCAGCACATCAAAAGCTCATCCACCAGGATCAAGTCAGCTGCAAGGCTGGTTCAACACAGGCAAATCAATAAACGTAATCCATCACATAAACAGAACCAATGACAAAACCCACATGATTATCTCAATAGATGCAGAAAAGGCCTTCAATAAAACTCAACACCCCTTCAGGCTAAAAATTCTCAAAAAACTAGGTACTGATGGAACATATCTCAAAGTAATAAGAGCTGTTTAGGCTAAACCCACAGTGAATATCATACTGAATGGGCAAAAGCTGGAAGCATTCCCTTTGAAAACTGGCACGAGACAAGGATGCCCTCTTGCTCCACTCCTGTTCAACATAGCACTGGAAGTTCTGGCAAGGGCAGTCAGTCAAGATAAAGAAATAAAGAGTGTTCAAATAGGAAGAGAAGAAGTAAAATTGTCTCTGTTTGTAGATAACACGAATGTGTATTTAGAAAACCCCATCGGTGCTCATGCCTGTAATCGCAGCACTTTGGGAGGCCAAGCTAGCTGATCACAAGGTCAAAGGATCAAGACCATCCTGGCCAACACGGTGAAAGCCTGTCTGTACTAATAATAAGAAAAAAAAAACAAAAAACAAAAAAAAAACAGCTGGGCATGGTGGAGCGTGCCTGTAGTCCCAGCTACTTGGGAGGCTGAGGCAGGAGAATTACTTGAACTCGGGAGGCGGAGGCTGCAGTGAGCCGAGATGGGGCCACTGAACTCCAGCCTGATGACGCAGTGAGACTGTCTCAGAAGAAGAAAAAAAAAAGGAAACCCCATCATCTGAGCCCCAAATCTCCTTAATGGATAAGCAACTTCAGCAAAGTCTCAGGATACAAAATCAATGTGTAAAATTCACAAGCATTCCTATACACCAATAGTAGTCAAAGAGAGAGCCAAATCATGAGTGAACTCTCATTCACAATTGCTACAAAGAGTATAAAATAGCTCGGAATGCAACTTACAAGAGATGTGAAAAACCTCTTCAAGGAGAACTATAAACCACCTGTCAAAGAAATAAGGTAGGACACCAACAAATAGAAAAACATTTCATGCTTATGGATAGGAAGGATCAATATCATGAAACATGGTCATTCTGCACAAAGTAATTTGTAGATTCAAAGCTATCCTTATCAAGGTAACACTGACTTTTTTCATAGAATTAAAAAAAAAAAAACGACTTCAAATTTCATATGGATCCAAAAAGGAGCCCGTATACCCAAGACAATCCTAAGCAAAAAGAACAAAGGCATCACATTACCTGATTTCAAACTATACTACAAGGCTACAGTAACAAAAACAGCATGGTCCTGGTACCAGAACAGATATGTAGACCAATGGAACAGAACAAAGGCTTCAGAAATAACACCACACATCTCAACCATCTGATCTTTGACAAACCTGACAAAAACAAGCAATGGGGAAAGGATTCCGAATATAATAAATGGTGCTGGGAAAACTGGCTAGCCATATGCAGAAAACTGACACTGGACCCCTTCCTTATACCTTATACAAAAATTAACTCAAGATGACTTAAAGACTTAAACATAAGACCTAAAACCATAAAGGCCCTAGAAGAAAACCTAGGCAGGCTGGGTGTGGTGGCTTATGCCTGTAATCCCAGCACTTTGGAAGGCTGAGGCTGGCTGATCACAGGATCAAGAAATTGAGATGACTTGGCCAACATGGTGAAACCCCATCTCTACTAAAAATACAAAAATTAGCTGGGAATGGTGGCCCATGCCTGTAGGCAGGAGAATCACTCCAACCCAGGAGGTGGAGGTTGCAGTGAGTCGAGATTGTGCCACTGCACTCTGTCCTGGTGACAGAGTGAGATTCTGTCTCAAAACAAAAACAAAAACACCTAGGCATACCATACTGAACATAGGCATGGGCAAATACTTCATGACTAAAACATTGAAAGCAATGGCAACAGAAGCCAAAATTGACAAATGGATCTAGTTAAACTAAAGAGCTTCTGCACAGCAAAAGAAACTATCATCAGAGTAAACAGGCAACCTATAGCATGGGAGAAAATATTTTTAATCTATCCACCTGATAAAGAGTTAATACCCAGAATCTACAAACAACTTAAACCAATTTACAAGAAAACAAACAAACAACCCCATAAAAAAGTGGGGAAAGAATATGAACAGACACTTCACAAAAGAAGACATTTATGCGGCCAATAAACATATGAAAAAAACTCATCATCACTGGTCATTAGAGAATTGTAAATCTGCCAAGACAAGCTTGGTCGGGGAGACCCTATCCCAGTGGTGCTAGAGGAATTAAAGACACACACACAGAAATATAGAGGTGTGGAGTGGGAAATTAGGGGTCTCACAGCCTTCAGAGCTGAGAGCCCTGAACAGAGATTTACCCACGTATTTATTGACATCAAGCCAGTGATTAGCATTGTTTCTATAGATTACAGATTAACTAAGAGTATTCCTTATGGGAAACAAAGGCAAGGGCCAAAATAAGGGTTGGGTTTGGCTAGTTATGTGCAGCAGGAGCATGTCCTTAAGGCACAGACTGCTCATGCTATCGTTTGTGCTTTAAGGACACCTTTAAGCGGTTTTCCACCCTGGGTGGGCCAGGTGTTCCTTGCCCTCATTCCGGTAAACCCACAACCTTCTAGCGTGGGTGTCATGGCTATCACGATCATGTCATAGTGCTGCAGAGATTTTGTTTATGGCCAGTTTTGGGCCAGTTTATGGCCAGATTTTGGGGGGCCTGTTCCCAATACAAATCAAAACCACAGTGAGATACCATCTCATGCCAGTTGGATGGTGATTATTGAAAAGTGAGGAAACAACAAATGCTGGAGAGGATGTGGAGAAATTGGAACACTTTTACACTATTGCTGGGAGTGTAAATTAGTTTTTCCATTGTGGAAGACAGTGTGGAGATTCCTCAAGGATCTAGAACTAGAAATACCATTTGACCCAGCAATCCCATTACTGGGTATATACCCAAAGGATTATAAATAATTCTACTATAAAGACACATGGACAAATAAGTTTATTGCAACATTGTTCACAATAGCAAAGACTTGGAACCAACCCAAATGTCAATTAATGATAGATTGAATAAAGAACATTTGGCACATATAACCATGGGATAGTATGCAACCATAAAAAAGGATGAGTTCATGTCTTTTTCAGGGACATGGATGACACTGGAAACCATCAATCTCAGTAAACTAACACAGAAACAGAAAACTAAACACCACATGTTCTCACTCAAAAGTTGGAGTTGAACAATTAGAACAGATGGACAAAGGGAGGGGGAACATCACATACCTGGGTTAGTGGGTGGAGGGGCTGGGGAGGGATAGCATTAGGAGAAATACCTAATGTAGATGACAGGTGGATGGTTGCAGAAAACTACTACAGCATGTGCATATCTATGTAACAAACCTGCACATCTATCCATGTATCCCAGAACTTAAAGTATAATTTAAAAAGAAAAAGAAGTTATGTGTTCCATTGTATTTCACTCTTTTCTCTTATAAGTGTGAGTGTGCATTATTAAAAAAACTAGAGTTAAGTGATACTTTAGTGACACATCTGTATGGCTCACAATTAAAGTGCTTTCATTTGACAATCCCTACTATCTGTTCTTGGATTTAAATAATTTTATTTTATATATACATATAATGTGTGTATACATATATAATGAAAAAGTGCCATTAAAAAAGCTGTCCTGTTCTTTGTTTGTTAATTTCCAAGTTATTCCCGTAAGAGTCTATTTTTTTGTATCATCATCATCAATATAAAGCCTAAAAATCTAGCTATATGGTTTTTCTAGAGAGATTTCAACACTCGTCTTAGTTTATTATTTTGAGGTGAAATATAATATACTTTTAGAGAACTCAACAATAGTACGTTTTACTATTTGTGGTTCATTGCAAACTGGCCACCTGCCATAGTCCCTCCCCATCCATACCCTTTGCAAGACAACTTTGTCCCTCTTCTCATTAACAAGAGAAGTGCATTAGCCCTCTGCATGAATCTTCATTGTCTTTCTTTTGCCAACAGCATGCAGTGGAAGGGACACCATGCTAGTTTTAAACCTGGGCTTCACAAGGTCAGCATGCTTCTGCTCTTGGACCTCCTCTACTGAGGTTCCATATGTACAAATCTGAACCAAATTACTAGAGTTCATTCAAACCACTAGGAGCTGAAATGAGTTGTCACCATGCTTGAATCTGTCCTAGACCCTCCAGCCACCAGTCAACCTGTGAAGTGACCACAAATACATGAGGGAGCCCAGGCAAGACAAGAAGAGCCACCCAGCTGAGCCTAGTCCAAATTACAAAACTAGACACTCTTCTGCTAAACAATGAGTAGTTGTTTTTTTAGCCACTAACTTTAAGGGCAGTATGCCACAGAGAAATAACCAGTGATTCCCTGTTGGTGTATATTTTAGACACAATTTTACCAAGAAATATGTAAGCTAATTTAATTTATCAGCATTTTATTTCTCTGTTTCTATTATTCCTATTTTGCTTTGGACAGGGAAACTGATTTCTGGGTTGAACATGCAGAAGCACATTCACAGAACTTTCTTTTTCTCTGTTGGGCAGATTTTATCAGAATTACAAAAGACTTAGGAAATAAATCATATAAACCATTGCCGTCATCAAAAGCTTTCAAATCGATCTCCCATAGGACACTTGAAGTTTATGCATGTTTGGAAGGCAAATATAGACATGATTTCAACAGAACTAAAATGATTCTTTGTGATAGCCTGTTTCTTTAAGATCTGTTCAGAATATCAGCTTTTGTTTAACGTGTAAACTTACAAAACTAACTAAAAGAGAGTGTGCTTGAATCTGTGATTAACACAAATTATTATAGTTGCAAATTAAAAGCACAATGAGACACCATCTTACACCAGTCAGAATGGCTATGATTAAAAACTGAAAAAACAGCAGATGCTGGCAAGAACGCAGAAAAAAAGGAAGGCTTATACACTGCTGGTAAGAATGTAAATTAGTTCAACCTCTATGGAAAACATGATAAGAGATTTCTAAAATAAAACTAACATTCCATCCAGCAATCCCACTACTGGGTATCCACTCAAAGGAAAATAAATCATTACATCAAAAAGATACATGCATTCCCAAATTTATTGAAGCATTATTCACAGTAGTGAAGATATAGAATCAACCTAAATATCCACTGGACCAGATAAAATGTTATATATATATATCATATAATATATATTTATATATCACAATGAAATACTACTCAGTCATAAAAAAGAATGAAATCATGTCTTTTGCAGCAACATAGACGGAACTGGAGCCTATTATCTTAAGTGAAATTACTAAAAATCAGAAAATCGAATACTGAATGTTCTCATGTATATGTGGGAGCAAAATAATGTGTACACAGGGGCCTAGAAAGTGGAATAATGAACACTGGAAACTAGAATAGGTGGCAGGATTGGAGGCTGTATTTTGTACAGTATTTGGGTACGTTAATTCTGGCTTCCCACCTAGTTCCAGAAATTACTTAATGCATACAATGTACACTATTCTCCTGATATTTACACCAGAAGTCCAGACTTCATCATGACACAATATATCCATATAAAAAATGTGGCTGATACCATGGCTCATGCCTGTAATCCTAGGAGGGGGAGGAGGGTGAATCACTCAAGGTAAAGAGTTCAAGACCAGCCTTGCCAACATAGTGAAACCCTCTACTAAAAATACAAAAAATTAGCTGGGCATGGTGGCACATGCCTGTAATCCGTTACTTGGGAGGCTGAGTCAGGAGAATGGCTTGACCCAGGAGGCAGAGGTTACAGTGAGCTGAAATTGCACCACCACACTGCTGTCTAGGTGACAGAGGAAGACTCTGCCCTTAAAAAAAAAAAAAAAAAATTGTACACACTAAATCCATTAAGAAAAATTTTAACTATATAACCAAATAATGTGTAAGTATTGATTTTGCTGTTTAATGTTGCAATTCATATTTTAAATATCAAATACTTAATATTTAGTATATAACATTACTTCATAGTTAATAAATATTTAATGCTTAATTTAAAAATTGAAAGCTAAAAAATTCTTAACAGGTGCTGTGATGTTCATTAACTCTAATTATTTTATTTTGTCAAACTGTGATTGTTATAATAATAATTTGGAGTTATAGTGGAAAGTATTACACCGTACTTTGGGAAGAACTTACATGTCCATCACTAGCTAAGTTCAATCAAGTTTATTTCATGTCCTGAGGATAGGTCAGGGGAAAAATAAGTTGACATCAGATGCCTCAAATCTATTTTAATGAGTGCTGTGAGAATATATTTGCTGTATTCCTGCAAAATGTTCAAAGTGGCTTAAATTTTTTTTAGCCAACTTTTAAACTTTTATTAGCATTGTTTGAAATATTCGTCTGCTTGTTTTTCTCACTATCTTTATTTTTTTGAGATAATGTCTTGCTCTGCTGCAGTGGCAGGATCACAGCTTGCTGCAGTGGCAGGATCACAGCTTACTGCAGCCTCAACCTCCTGGGCTCAAGCAATCCTCCTGCCTCAGCCTTCCAAGCAACTGGGACTTCAGGCATGCATCACACAACACTCCGCTAATTTTCTGTAGAGGCAGGGGCTCTCTATGTTGCCTAGGTTGGTCTCAAGGTTCTAGGTTCAAGGCAACCCTCCCAACAACCTCCCAAAGTGTTGTAATTACAGGTGTGAGACATCACACTGGGCCTCTCACCATGTTTAACCAATATTTTCTCCTGGTAACGTTGTTTTCATCCACAAAGCATTTATATGTAGTCATGAACATCACTCTCTTTTAAATAAAAATTTCACAGTCAGAAGACCCATCAGGAGTCATGAATTCTAGCTCCTCACCTAGTTCTGGAATCTTCCTCCTCACTCTTGAGGATGGGACATGTGAAACCTCCCATGACAGCAGACGGCCTTTTCCACTCGGAGAGAACACTTACTATTTGCAAGTTTTCTTCAGATTATGCCCAAGTTAATGCTCACTGCCACCCACCAAAACAAACAAACAAAAAGATATCAAAGCAGATACAGAAGCCAACAGGGAAGGAAGATGGGTCCAGTGCCATTTCCATAGACTGCTCTTCAAAGAAAATATTTATAGCCCAGCTCTGTTGCCCAGATCCACAAAGAGAAAGCCAAATAATTGTTTCATCTTCCCTAAGTCATCACACTGCTAAATCAAACACATTGTGTTTTCTGTTGTCCTGCTGTTCTTGATGCAGTCTCTGCACTCTTCAACACACCATCAAAAAGCGGGGAATTTTCGAGGAATCTAAGATGTAAAGAGATGAAATGACCTTCACAAAGTTAATTCTTAGCTGGTGTGAGAAGGAAAGCCCTATTTTGAGTCCGCATCCAATGAACTTTCCAGCAGAGCCTGGCCGCGCAAACTTTACTCACATAAAGATCACCCAAAGGGCCTAGCAACACATGGATTCTGGGACCCCATCCCAGAAGTTCTGATTTAGTAGTCAAATAGTACAACCCAAAAATTTACAACTTTTGGGGTCTCTGATCCTGCTGGAGGTGCTGCATCATGGAATAGCCTTTCAATACTGTTGGGCTAAGCTGCACCAGAAAATGAGAACCTATTCCACAGGTCTGATATACTTGTTTTATTTTGTTTTGATATAGAGTCTAGGTTAGAGTACAGTACAATCTCAGCTCACTGCAGCCTTGACTTCCTGAGCTCAAGCAATCATCCCACTTCAGCCTCCCGAGTAGCTGAGAAAACAGGTATGTACCTGTTGTCTTTAAATCAATTGCTTTGGACTGCCACCTCACCCAGCTAATTTTTGTATTTTGAGTAGAGACAGAGTTTCACTATGTTGCCCAGACTGGTCTTGAACTTCTGAGCTCAGAGATCCACCTGCCTTGATCTCTCAAAGTACTGGGATTACAGGCATGAGTCACCATCCCTAGCCATACTTGTTAAAAATGTACCATTGCTAATGCAATAGTAAGTGGATTTTAAGGACAGATGTCCAGGTAAAGGGCAATAGTTCTAACACAATGAGAATCCTAGTAGTTAAGGCTCCTTTTCCAGCTCTAGGAGGGAGCAAAAGTAAACATTAAGAAATCTATAATTCCAGCATTTTGTGAGGCCACGGTAGGAAGATTGCTTGAATGCAGGAGTTTGAGACCCATCTGGGCAACAAAGTGAGACCCATGACTCTACAAATAAATAAATAAATAAATAAATAAATAAATAAATAAATAAATAAAAATAAATAAATAAAAATGAGTTGGATGTGGTTGTGTGTGCCTATAGTCCCAGCTACTCGAGAGACTGATGTGGGAGGATTGCTTGAGTCCAGGAGGTCAAGGGTACAGTGAGCCAGAATTACACCATTGTGTTCCAATCTGGACAACAGAGAAAGATCATGTCTCGAATAATTAAAAAAAGAGAGGAGAAAGAAAGACTCTCCTAGAATTAGAGCTTAGCCATTCAGTGGAGGTTGACTGAGCTAAATGAGCAAAACTCACTCTTCAAATATTTGCCAAGAAACTTCTCTAATAATAATAATTCTCTCACTCTTTCTCTCTCTCTGAGTGTATCCCTTCCATTGTACAATTGAAGAAATTGCTTCCAGAAGATAATTCTTAGTTTACACTTTATTCTCTCTTTATATATGTATCTCTCTCTGTGTGTATCACTTCCATTGTACAACTGAAGAAATGACTACCAGAAGATAATTCTTAGTTTACACAGCCTAAAATTGTAAAGTTGGATGCTGAGACCAGAATTTCCAAAACCCAGGCCAACATTCTGTCCAGAACTCAGCACTGCTTTTCTGTAGAAGCAGATGCTAAGAGCAGTCATACCTTGGTAGGAGAATTTGTTTCCCCTAAGCTATTGGTCTGTGTTCTGTTTTAGCTCAAGGCAGAACAACATGTTTCTACAAATAGTCAACACAGCGTAGCCCATAATACACAGAAAATAAAAGTATTTTATTCCTTAGGAAATCGTTTTCCATGCTGACAGCATAAGAAGTTGTGTTTTGTGGCAGCTGGTTTAAAATTTCTCCTTTCAACTTGTCCCTCTACTGTCTTTCTCTCTGACCTTTGATTTTTTTCTAACTTTCTCCATCTTCTTAGTCACATCTTTTCTCTTTCATATTTTCATTTCTGTTCCATTTTGATCAGTGACTGACCATATTGAACTCTAGAAAAATGGTTATTTAAGCTGTTTAGCCCTCATCCATTAGATCTCAACAGTAAATTTGTTGCTGTTCCTCTAAATCAATTGCTTTGGACCACAGAAATGGAAACTCCATTTTGCAAATGTATTTGGAATCTACTATGTTCATAGCTGGTTTTTAAGAGTCCATGCTGAGAAATTTTGTGACATTGCAAATTAATATCAAAGAAGGTCTACAAATAAAAAATTCTATTACACTGAATTATGAAAGATGATCTGATTATTCTTTAAGTTGAAAACTAGATAGAAGGGAAATGTAAAACACTTCAAACACAATATATCATGGGTTTCATGGGATAGTCTCAGTGGTTTGTGTTTAATTTTGTATGGATTTCAAATTTCCAAAAATTTACAATGAAGAAAATTTAGCATCTATGTAACCACCTCTGATTTTTTTTCCTGCTTACAGCATTTATTTTTTGAGATGCAGTCTCGCTCTGTTACCCAGGCTTGAGTGCAGTGGCACGTTCTCATGTCACTGCTACATCTATATCCTGGGTTCAAGTGATTCTCCTGCCTCAGCCTACCAACTAGCTGGGATTACAGGCATGCACCACTACACCTGGCTAATTTTTGTATTGTTAGTAGAGAAGGGGTTTCACCATGTTGGCCAGGCTGGTTTCAAACCCCTGACTTCAAGTGATCCATCCGCCTCAGCTTCCCAAACCGCTAGGATTACAGGTGTGAGACACCGTGCCCAGGCTTACAGCATTTTTGAAACAAAATGGGTCTTGGATAATTAATTTTGATGTATTTCAAGAGCCCAATGAAGGGGAATGTGAATACCAAAGTTCAAATATGAACGTGGGCTCAGGGGCTCTAGACTCATTCAAATTTATATATTTCAACTTCCTAAGAAGCTGTCTTGCCTCCACTCTTTCCATAAGCACTGCACACACAATTCCAGCAGCCACATGGAGATATTACAACCTCATGTTTCCATCAGAAAAGAGAATTGGCTTTAGCTTTGATACATTTAAAGTACCATGATTTTGGCTGTTCTGTAACTATATTTATTATTTATACAATCAAATTTTCATCTCAGGAAAAGAAAGTGTCTACATTTCTGTGTTTTTTTTTTTTTTTTTTGAGATGGAGTCTCACTATGTAGCCCAAGCTGGAGTGCACTGGCATGATCTTAGCTCACTGCAACCTTCACCTCTGGGACCTAAGCAGTTCTTGTGCTCCAGCCTCCCAAGTAGCTGGGACTACAGGCTCACACCATCATGCACAGTAATTTTTTGGAGGGGGTTTCACCATGTTGCCCAAGGTGGTCTTGAACTCCTGAGCTCAGGAGATCCACTGACCTCAGCCTCCCAAAGTGCTGGGACTACAGCTCTGAACCACAATGTCAAACCTTCTCTCTCCCTATCTGACTGATAGTTTCTCATGCTGAACCCTTTAAGAACCAGAAAAGGGGACCCAGGGCCAGCATCTTTCCATGAAACAGTCTCTGCTAGTAGATGTTATTGCCAAGGCAGCTTTCAGAAGGCTGGTCCTCATTGTCAATGCCAAGCATGCAGTCATCCATCATTTGGAACCATTTCTACCTTGCTAGTCCACCCGCTTCTCTTCGGGGGAAGCTGTATTTGTGGTAGAATGAGAAAACCCTCTTTGTTCTCATGAGAAACTGGGATGTGTTTTAGAAAGGCCCAGGTGGCCTGGGCATGATAGCTTTATGCCTGTAATCTCAGCATTTTGGGAGGCTGTGTGGTGGGGGGGATCACTTGAGCCCAAGAGTTCAAGACTAGCCTGGGCAACATAGCCAGACTCCGTCTCTACAAAAAAAATTAAAAATTAGCCAGATGTCGTGGTGCATGTCTGTAGTTCCTGCTACTTGGGAAGCTGAGGCAGGAAAATTGCTTGAGGCTGGGAGGTTGAAGCTGCAGTGAGCCATGTTCAGGCCGCTGCATTCAAGCTTGGATGACAAAGACAGACCCTGTCTCAAAAAAAAAAAAAAAAAAAAAAAGGAAAGAAAGAAAAGGAAAAGAATATGCTCAGGTGCACTGATGCTTAACAATGGAAGAAAACAATTAAGTCTTAAAAGATTAAGCATTAAGCATATTTGGATATTAAGTTTGCTTTGTAAATGATTTCCAACATGTGACTTTGTCCCTTTAACAATATATCATGTGTTAACTGCTTAAATAATGGTTTTTAGCTTCTTTACTTGCCAAGATGAAATGCCAATGAATAAATACATTTATTTATCACAGCAAATACTTGGAAAGTGTCTAATTATTACCATATTTGGTTATATGCCTGGTAATGTATTCTGAGGGACAAACAGAAGAATTAGGTAATCAAAAGGGAAAATGGTATGTTAATTTTCTTAAAATACTTGACTCTGGAATAAGGGAAAGTAGAACTTTAAAATGAAGAAGGATTCCTCCCTGAGGGAGCATTGGATCTAACTTCTACTTTGGGGCAGGGCATGGTGGCTCACACTAGTAATCCCAGCACGTTGGGATGCTAAGGTAGGAAGAGCGCTTGTGCGTAACAGTTTGAGACCAGTCTATACAACATAGGAAGGCACCATCTCTACAAAAAGTCAAATAAAATAAATTAGCCAGGCACAGTGGCAAAGTCTGTAGGCTCAGCTATGCAGGTGGCTGAAGCAGGAGGATATTTTGAGCCCAGGAGTGGAGGCTGCAGTGAGCTGTGATGGAACCTCAACACTCCAGCCTGTGCAACAGAACAAGACCCTGTCTAAAACAAACAAACAAACAAAAAACAAAAAGGAAACTTCTCCCTCATAAGGACATCTTTAAAGGTCAATATAGTGCAAGTGTTTCAAAAGTTTTTATCAAGAAGTAGGAAAATGAGAAAATATTAAATTCATGCACTCTAAATTTCTTTGAATGTCTTTTAAACTCAAGAGAAGAAGTATTGACTTATGAGTAGACACCATGAAAGTGCTCATCCTATGTGGCAAAACAGCCAAATTATTGTTGGAGATAATATTATATTGGCTAATTATCCTTCTCACACAGTTAGTTAGATACTGCAGATACACAGCTGCTCAAATTTGTGGGATGGGATAGAAAACAAGGTGTAAAGGCTAAAAAATGAAAATTTAATCATTGATAAAAACACTTATGGTTGACTTTCTTCACACAGTGGCTTTTGGTACTTAATAAATACAATTTTTTTTTTTTAAAGATGGAGTCTTGCTCTGTTGCCCAGGCTGGAACCCTGGTGTGCAATGGTGCAATCTCGGCTCACGGAAATCTCTCTCTCCCAGGCTCAAATGGTTCTCCTGCCTTAACCTCCCAAATAGTTGAGATACAGGTGCCTACCACCATGCCTAGCTAATTTTTTTTTTTTTTTTTTTTTTGAGACAGAGTCCCGCTCTTTCGCCCAGGCTGGAGTGCAGTGGCGTGATCTCTGCTCACTGCAAGCTCTGTGTCCCGGGTTCACACCTTTCTCCTGCCTCAGCCTCCTGAGAAGCTGGAACTACAGGTGCCCACCACCAGGCCTAGCTAATTTTTTTTGTATTTTTAGTAAAGACGGAGTTTCACAGTATTAGCCAGGATGGTCTCGATCTGCTGACCTCCTGATCCGCCCACCTCCGCCTCCCAAAGTTAATTTTTGTATTTTTTAGTAGAGATGAGGTTTCACCATGTTGGCCAGGGTGGGTCTCAAACTCCTGACCTCAAGTGATCTGCCTGCGTCGACCTCCCAAAATGCTGGATTACAGGTGTGAGCCACCATGCCAGCCAACAGGTACATCTTTAATTCAGTCTTCTGTTGACTTCTTGTGGTACTTTCTTTGTAGAGAGTTTATGTGATCCTTGAACCTGGGTTATTATTTATTTATAAGCATATAACTCTATCTTCCCCAGGAGATCACCAGTTCCAAAAGGCATTCATGTTAATTTCATAATAAAGAAAACATAAAAATATTCCTAAAGCTTATGAAATTTTAGGAGGCCAGGAAAAAATATATACCACCTAGCTTAGACCTATGCTCAACATATTTGTACATGAAACAAACAATGTAAGTCATTAATTCTGAATAATTCAAGAAAATTTGGTACGTAAAATACACTTAGGCAATGAACATAGAGGGGTTAGAATGGTTTGTCATCCCCAAATCAGAAACAATAACAAACACAAAAGGCATCTGATTCTCCAGCATATTTTTATTGGAGGATTGAGTAAAGAAAATGAAATGTCTTCATTTACCATTTGGTAGTATGAGACAAATAAAAAGAATAAAAAGAATGCAGAAATGTGTTAGTTTAAGTTTCTTCTCCTTTTTTTTTGACCCAAGGTCTTGCTCTATCTCCCCGTCTGGAAGGCAGTAGTATAATCATGGCTCGCAGCAGCCTCAACCTCCTGGACTCAAGCAATCCTCTCACCTCAGCCTCCAGAGTAGCTGAGACTAGGTGTTCAACACGATGTGCAGCTAAGTTTTGAAATTTTTTTGTAGACTCAGGATATTGCTATGTTGCCCAGGCTAATCTCCAACTCCTGGGCTCAAGCCATCCTCCAGCCTCAGCCTCACAAACTGCTGGGATTATGGGCGTGAGCCATTAGGACCAACACCAAAACTTCCATTTTAAGACCTGCGTTTTCTGTACAGAAAACTCTCTGTACAGAGAGTCACAGACACTATTAGCACTGGGGAGTACCAAGCATGACATTTATGGGGCAACACTGACCATTCTAAAATACACATATTTTGTTTAAATCCGTGAAAGTACACAGATAATCTTGACTCTTCTAAAGTAATCTCCTTAGAGCTATCCGCATACTCGTAGGTGCTGTTCTGACTTCTGGAAACATTTTCAGAACCTAGGGCATGTTCTTTCATGCCTGTGCTTCTTTCCACAAGACTGTTGCTTCAATAAATGTATTACTGAGTACATCTCCACAGATACACATCTTCACCCTTTCCAAACTGATGTGGGTTTTGACCACATTTTGAGTGAGTTTTGTTTGTTTGTTTTTTAGGGTCGAGGTCTCACACTGTCACTCAGGCTGGAGTGCAGCAGTGTAATCACAGCTCACTAAAGCCCTGAACTCCTGGGCTCAAGCGATGCTCCCAACTTAGCCTGCTGAGCAGCTGGGACTACAGGCACACACCACCACATCCGGCTAACATTTAAAATTTTTTTGTAGAGATGGAGTCTCACTATGTGTCCCAGACTGGTCTTGAACTCTTGGCCTCAAACCATCCTCCTGCCTCAGCCTCCTGAAGTGCTGATATTACAGGCATGAACAACCACTCCTGGCCCTGAGTGGCTGTTATATAAGATATAGTAAATAAGGCTGACAATGCTGTTAGAAATTGAAAAAATGATTTTCAAAAGATAATTTTTAACCAACACATCAGAAAGAATAAGAAAGTTAAGCACTGACATTGTCCGTTATATTCTTCCTCACAGTAACAAAAACTTCAGTAGATCACTTTCAAACTCCATCTGCATACTCTAAAAAGACATTCTCAAAAGGCAGTTGAAAGACTCAGCTGACTGAGTCTTCTCAATTGTTTGAGAAGATACTTGGCTACAGGTGGGTCCAGGAAAGAGGAAAAAGGGAAGGCACTTAACTAGTTATCCCAATTGACAGGTGGCTTTGGGATGGTATTAAGGAGAGCCTTCTGTTTTACAAATTTTGAGTTGCTCCCAGAACAGAATAACAACAGAATATTACTCTGTTCCTGGAGGAAGCAGAGAATATTGGAAATACTAAAGAAACAAATAACATGCGAAAAGTAAATAAAACACATGACTCAATTTCATAGGTCCTTTGATTTCGAAGGTTGTCCTGGGTATTGAATGCAGATCTCCATGCTTTGCAAGCAATCACACATCACCATTCAGCCATTGCTGACTTTTCATTTGTCTGTCTGCCTGCTGTTTTCTTTAATTTAGAATCTCTACATGGAAGACTATTCTATTTTGCATCCTCAGGGCCTCGCATGATGTCTGGCAAACAGAAAAATAAGTATAATTAAATTTAAAAAAAGCATTCAAACCTTAAAAATTGACTAAAAATAATGGGAGAAAATGTTGCCTTTGTTTGTTTGAGACAGAGTCTTGCTGTCACCCAGGCGAGAGTGCAGTGCTGTGATCTCAGCTCACTGCAACCTCCAGCTCCTGGGTTCAAGCAATTCTCCTGCCTCAGTCTCCCGAGTAGCCGAGATTACACATGCCTGGCACTAGGCCCAGCTAATTTTTGTATTTTTAGTAGAAATTGGGTTTCACCATGTTGGCCAGGCTGGTGTCAAACTCCTGACCTCATGATTCACCCACCTCAGCCCCGCAAAGTGCCGGGTTACAGGTATTAGCCACTGCACCTTGCAGTGTTGCCTTATTTTTAAACTCTAAATCAGTCCAAGTGGAGTGTAAGACCCCACACTACTCACTGCACTCCCCACACACCCTTGTAATAGCTTCTCTTCAAGATGCAGTCTTAATTTGTACCCCAAGCAGGTGACTAAGCCAGTTTCATTCACCTCTGGTTGAGCTCACCTGGAAATGATAGGATAACTTTTTTCTCACATTCTAAGCACACCCAGCTGACCCAGGATGCAACAGTAATTACACAGATGGGTTCTCTGTACCAGACAGCTCCTTTCATTGAAAAAAATATTACCATTCATGCATTTTCACCCACCAGCTAAACCTCACATGAGGGTCTAAGAGAGAACACCAGAATGTCAAAAATCATTGACTTCTAAGTTATTAAGTTTCCAAAAATGCTACTGTGGGTGCCATCAATTTGATTCAATTTGCTATTTAAGACACACACACACACACACACATCACTGTAACAGAAGGAAGAGAGGATCCTTTTTAAATAAATGAAATCAAGAATTGCTTTTCAAAAATAAGTGTGGGCTGGGTGCGGTGGCTCATGTCTGTAATCTCAGCACTTTGGGAGACCGAAGCAGGCAGATCACTTGGGGTCAGGAGTTAAGAGACCAGCCTGGCCAACATGGTGAAACCCCATTTCTACAAAAAATACAAAATCAGCAGGGTGTGGTAGCGTGTGCCTGTAATCCCAGCTACTTGGGAGGCTGAGGCAGAAGAATCTCTTGAACCCGAGGGTGCAGTAAGCCGATATCGCACCATTGAAGACCAGCCTGGGGGACAGAGCGAGGTTCCATCCAAAAAACAAACAAACAAAAGTAAAGAAAAGGGGGGGGAAAAAAAAAGAAAAGCAAAGGGGAGGGGAGAAAGGGAAAGAGTGGTAAAGCTATCCGTGTTGGCTTGTTGGAATTTTTCCAAAACTAGGAACCCATCCTTCTACAAAGACTGAGAGACAGATGTGTCATCTCCTTCAATTATTACATTTTAAAGGGATGGCTCTCAAGTCTTCCAAAAGGCATTCCTAGGTTGTAAAACTAGAAAGAAGCTAGAAGATTTGCATCACAAATAGGTATAGAAAGAACTCACAATTCCAAGTTTTCTAACATAAATCCTCTATGAAAAAGGAGGCCTGATGAATGGAACTGTAGCTCATTATGTAAGAGAAATAAGGCAAGTACAGAAGAAAAATATTGCATGTTCTCACTCACATGTGGGAGCATAAAAACGGGACCTCATGGAGATAGAGAGTGGACTGGTGGCTACCAGAGGCTGGGAAAGGGAGCAGAGAAGGGAGATAAAAATAGTTTGATTAATGAGTACAAATATGTAAGGGTTTTGTTTGTCTGATTTTTGTTCTTTGGAGACAGGATTCTGCTCTGTTGCTCTGACAGAAGTGCAGTGGTGTGATCATAGCTCACAGTAACCTGAAACTCCTGGGCTCAAGTGATCCTCCCACCTCAGCCTGACTAGTAGCTGGGACTACAGCTGAGTGCCACCATGCCAGGCTGATTTTTGTATTTTTTGTAGAGACAGGGTCTCACTAGGTTGCCCAGTCTGGTCTCAAACTTCGAGGCTCAAGCAATCCTCCCACCTTGGAAATATACAGTTTGATAAAAGAAATAAGACTTAGTGTTCAATAGAACAGCAGTGTGACTGTAGTTTACAATAATCTATTATACATTTCAAAATAGCTAGAAGAAAATAAATGTTTCTAGCATAAAGAAAAGGCAAACATTTAAGTTTATGAATATCCTGATCACACTGATGTGATCTTTACAAATTATATGAATGTATTTAACAAACACATGTACCCCCAACATGTGTGCATCTATAATGTATCAATAAAAAAAAATTAAAAAGATAAGGAGGTCAGGAGGAAAACTGTGTTAATAATCAACCTGAGGGAAACATGCAGGCTGTCTTAGTCAATCAATTCACCCTTTTCCTCTTAATGTGCTAATTATCAATTGATATGGTCTGGCTTTGTGTCCCCACCCAAATCTCACCTTGAATTGTAATAATCCCTACGTGTGGTGGAAGTGACCTGGTGGGAGGTAACTGAATCATTGGGGTGGGTTTTTCCTGTGCTGTCCTTGTTGATAGTGAATGTATATCATGAGATCTCATGGTTTTACAATAGGCAGTTCCCCTGCACACACTCTTTTGTCCACCACCAAGTAAGATATAACTTTGTCCCTGATTTGCCTTGTGCCATGATTGTGAGGTCTCCCTAGCCACGTGGAACTGTGGGTCCATTAAAACTCTTTCCTTTGTAAATTACCCAGTTTCAGGTATGTCTTTATTAGGAGTGTGAGAATAGACTAGTACATCAATAATCCCCATATGAGGACATTTTATTTCTTTGGAAATGTCTGCTCCTACCTCGATTTTTTATTTTTATTTTTTTGATTTTTATTTGTGAGACAAGGTCTCACTTTGTCACCCAGACTGGAGCACGATCTCGCTCACTGCAGCCTTGACTTCCGAGGCTCCAGAGATCCTCCCACATCAACCTCCCAAGTAGCTGGGACTACAGGCAGGCACCAGCATACCTGTTTAATTTTTGTATATTTTGTAGAGACGGGTTTTGCCACTTTGCCCAGGACGGTCTCAAATTCCTGAGCTCAAGTGACCCACCTAGCGCAGCCTCTCAAACTGCTGGGACAACAGGAGTGAGCCACTGTGCCCAGCTGTCTTGGTATTTTTAACCTTAAAAACAACCAAGTACATCCTTGGTATGGTCTCATCCCCCTTGCTGTAAGCATATTAAAATGCTGTTATTACATGCATTCAAGTAATCA
Source organism: Homo sapiens (assembly GCF_000001405.40). NCBI lineage: Eukaryota > Metazoa > Chordata > Mammalia > Primates > Hominidae > Homo > Homo sapiens. The sequence continues at coordinate 18,978,849 of NC_000024.10, forward strand.
CATGGTGCTAACACCAATTTTTTTGCCTGCAGAATTAATTCAGGAGTTTATCTGAAATTCTCAATATAAATACCTAATATGCAAAACTCGCCAGACAAGAAACCATATGCAGCCATAATCTTTTTTTTTTTTTTTGAGATGGGAGTCTTGCTCTGTTGCCTAGGTTGGAGTGCAGTGATGCGATCTTGGCTCACTGCAACCAGTGCCTCCCAGGTTCAAGTGATTCTCCGGCCTCAGCCTCCCAAGTAGCTGGGACTACAGGTGCACACCACCACACCCGGCTAATTTTTTGTATTTTTAGTCTACAGGAGGTTTCACCATGTTAGCCAGGATGGTCTTCATCTCCTGACCTCATGATCTGCCCACCTTTGCCTCCCAAAGTGCTGGGATTACAGGCATAAGCCACCTCACTCAGTTGCAGACACAATTTTATTATTTTATAATTTTGTTTTATTTTACTTTATATATATATATTTTTTTGAGAAGGAGTCTCACTCTGTCTCCAGGCTGGAGTGTAGTAGCCAATCTCGGCTCACTACAACCTCTGCTTCCTGGGTTCAAGTGCTTCTCCTGCCTCAGCCTCCCGAGTAGCTGGGACTATAGGTACGCACCACGATGCCCAGCTAATTTTTCTATTTTTAGTAGAGATGGTGTTTCATCTTGTTGGCCAGGATGGTCTCAATCTCCTGATCTCGTGATCCACCCACCGTGGCCTTCCAAAGTGCTGGGATTACAGGTGTGAGCCACCATACCTGGCTATGTACATATTTTTCTATCAACCATTTATCCATCAATCTATCCATCTGTCCATCTATTTCTCTTACGTATATAAATACATATATAATCTCTATGTCTTATATCGGTAACACGTATTTTTTCTTTAAATTTATACAACTACATTAATTAAATCCCACCTAATAAAAATTGTATTCTAAAACCTGGTGTAGTAGGAAGCTGAATAACCTGACCCTAGACCAAGGTACACATTGTGTGGCTGAAAATCACTTGGCTTCGTTAGACTTCATCTTTCTCCTACATACGACTAGGTAGCCAGCCTAAAAAATCTCAAAGGTGGCTTACAACCTTTGAATGCATTGGTTCCATGGAAGCAGGAGGTTTAAGCTCTGCCTGCAGGAGATTTTTGTAGACTTCAGACAATCGGGGCAACATCAAAGTCAAGCACTCCCTGGTATAGTGTCTAACAGGGACCATGTAATTAGGGCATGTTTTATGTGAGACTGTGTTCAAGAGATGTACACATGAGAAAAAGGTGTTTTTTTCACAGCAGAGATAACATAATTGAGCTGTTTGGTATAGCGACTCAAAGCCACTGAAAGTTCTAATCAAATGATTCCTCTGGCTTTCACTTTTTTAATGTATTTCACTGTTACTGCCTCTGGCAACTACCATTACAAGGGAGGAAACTTTGTTCCATGAAGAGGCTACTCCATTTCATGAGCTCAAGTCAGATCAAAATAACAAGCTCTCCTACAATTCCAGTGTGTTTCCTGACCATTCCCATTCCCCTCTATGCTTGTCCAAAAATAGACTGTCTTTCAAGTTATCACTTTCATTCACAGCCAATATGAAGGCCTCATAGAAAAACACTGATTTCCAAAAGCAACAGATGTTGGAAAGAACACAGAGAGAAGCGAATGCTTATACACTGTCGGTGAGAATATAAATTAGTACAACCTCTACGGAAAACAGTATGCAGATTTGTCAAAGAACTTAAAACAGAGCTAATTTTGACACAGCAACTCCACCACTGGCTATCTACCCAAACAAAAATGAACTATCATAGAAGGCACCTGTGGCCGGGAGCAGTGGGTCATGCTTATAATCCCAGCACTTTGATAGGTTGAGGCAGGTGGATCACTCAAGGTCAGGAGTTTGAGACAAGCCTGGCCAACATGACAAAAACCCATCTCTACTAACAATACAAAAATTAGCCGGGGATGATGGCAGATGCCTATAATTGCAGCAACTTGGGAGGCTGAGGCAGGATAATCGCTTGAACCCAGAGGGTGGAGGTTGCAGTGAGCTGAGATCATGCCACTTCACGATTTAGCAGCTTGTGTGAAAGAGCAAAATTCCATCAAAAAAAAAAAAAAAAGACACCTTCCTGTTTTATGTTTATTGCAGCACAATTCACAATAGCAAAATCATGGAATGAACCTTAGTGTTTACTGGATAAAGAAAATGTGGTATACACACACCAAGGAATATTATGCATTTATAAAAGAAAAATGAAACTGTATTTTGCACCAAGATAAATGCAGCTGCAGGCCAATATCCTACGTGAAAGAACTCAGAAACAGAAAATCAAATACCGTATGTTCCCACTTAAAAAGTGGAGCTAAACAATGGGTATTCATGTACCTATAAAATGGAATAACAGACCCTGGACACCTTAAAATGGGGAAAGGTGGGAGGGTGTGAGGGTTGAAAACTTACCTATCTGGTATTATGTTCACTGTTTGGGAGATAGATATACTAGAAGGCCAACACCCCTCACTAAGCAATATATCTTGCAACAAACCTGCAAACTTATGGCCTGAATCTTTTTTTTTTTTTTTAAGACAGAGTCTTGCTTTGTCACCAGGCTGGAGTGCAGTGGCACAATCTTGGCTCATTGCAATCTCCCCTTCCAGGGTTCAAGCGATTCTCCTGCCTCGGCCTCCTGAGTAGCTGGGATTACAGGTGTGTGCCACCACACCCAGCTAATTTTTCCATTTTTAGTAGAGGCAGGGTTTCACCATGTTGGCCAGGATGGTCTTGATCTCCCAACCTCGGGATCCATGCGCCTCAGCCTCCCAACGTGCTGGGTTACAGGTGTGAGCCACTGCGCCTGGCCAAATCTATTTGTTTTTTAAACACTGACTTCCATGGTCACTATTTGTCTGTGAAATCAATCCTCACAAACCAGTACTCACATGTTTTTTTGTTTATCAGATGAACTCTGTCACCCATACAACTCAGCTTGCAACCACCCCTGGCCACAACCAGTTTCCCCACACTGAGGTGAATGTTGGACATTACTATTTTAGACATTACCACCTATTCTGAAATTCCACATCAATTTATCTGAGAAACTCTGATGTTCTAGGGCAATTTAACTGGAAAAGATCAGCTGGAGTCATGCATCATTTCTTTGCTGTTTTTGGAGATGGAGTTTTGCTCTTGTCACCTAGGATGGAGTGCAATGGCTCAATCTTGGTTCACTGGAACCTCCGCCTCCCAGGTTCAAGCTACTCTCCTGCCTCAGCCTCCTGAGTAGGTGGGATTACAAATGTGCACCACCACACTTGGCTAATTTTTGTATTATTAGTAAAGATGGGGTTTCACCATGTTGGCCAGGCTGGTCTTGAACTCCTGATCTCAGGTGATCCACCCACTTCCGCTTCCCAAAGTAATGGGATTACAGGCTTGAGCCACCCCAACTGGCTGTGTCATTTCAATCAACAACTGTTTAAAAGGAACAGGCATCAAAACCAATAGTATCAAATTATTTATAAGGGTTGTATACTGGTTTCTCCAAGCATCTCTCCTTCACAACATCATTCCTTTCAAGAGCTGCTTCTTTTTTTCTAATTTAGCTCAGGAATTTAGAAGTTCCAACATAACGGGGCATCCAGTATTCACCCACACCACTTTTTGCAGGAATCCATATGGAGCCACTACCACCATCCCTGCTCTCCTACTGCATAACCCAACAGGCCAAAGTGCAGTGCTCACACCTGTAATCCGAGTGCTTTGCAAGGCCATAGAGGAAGATCACTTGAGGTTAGAAGCCTGAGACCAGCTTGGGCAACATAGTGAGACCTCATTTCTACAAAAAAGTGTAAAACAAAAGGGGACATGGTGGTGCATACCTGTAGTCCTAGCTATTCAGCAGGCTGAGGTAAGAAGATCACTTGAGTCCAGGAGATTTGAGGCTGAAGTGAGCTAGATTACGCCACTGCGCTCTAGTCTGGGCAGCAGAGAGAGACTCCATCTCTAAAAAGACAGATAAGAAGAAGGAGAAAGTGTAGGAGGAAAAAGAAACGAGAGGAGGGAAAGGGGGAGGAGGAGGAGGAATAAGATGAGGAAGAGGTGGAAGAGTAGAAGGGGGAGGAGAAGGAGGAGGAGGAGAATACTGCTTCTTCCTAGACCCAAAGTAAAAAGGATTTTAGTCTCATGTTGATGAGAAAGACACTGATATTTAATTAAGCAATATAAAAAGGATTGTTTTAGAACAGAGAATTAAAGAGAAAGTAAAATTAACATTGAGATAGGAGGACTGAAGACATCAACTGACTTCCAATCCCAATGAAGAGGAGAAAAAGATACAACTATATAGGTGGTATATCTACTTATCACAGAAGAAGCCTTTTGACAGCAAAATAGAATTCATACCTCTTAGGTTTTAAATTCCTATGGATGCTGTAGCAAATAACCATAATTGGGGTGGCTTAAAGTAACAGGTGTTTATTCTTTTCCAGTACTGGAAACAAGGAATCTGAGATCAAGGTGAGGGCTGGGCTGAGCTCCCCCTGGAAGCTCTAGGGGAGGATCTTTCCCGCCTCTTCCAGCTCTTGGTGGCTCCAGTCATGATTGCCCACTGCATTCCAAACTGGGAAACAGAGCAAGACCGCATCTCAAAAAATAATAGTAAATAAATAATTGTATACACACGAGAAAAAGAGAGAGAGAGGAGGGAGGCAGAGAGAGACAGTGTGTGTCAAACTTTGAGGCAAGGAAACTAACCCCACTCCTTGACTGCAGATTCAACCCACATTCAGAAAACAAGGTTAGAATTACCATAGGGGCTTGAACTTTGCTAAACAATAGGCATAAGTAATCAATGACCTGCCATCACTTAGCGTGTTTTCCTGTAAGTTGCTCACTGCACCAGAGTCATGTAACCAGGGATCACTAAAAGTATAATTTCCTGAACCACTCCTATAGATAACATTACTATTGTAAAACCCAAGAATGGTCTTTGAAACATTTTTCAGATCTAGCATTTTGACAGACCAAGAGATGCTACCTGGTCCTGAGATATCCTCTCCTGGGTCGGGCACAAAGAAAGTTTTAGACACTCCTTCGATTTCATCCCCAGCCAACCAATTGTTGCAAGTGTTGCAGTTCCCTAGCCTTCTGACCACCAAAGTACCTTCAAAAACCACAGTTTCCAACTTTTCAGGGAGACGGATTTGATAAATCTCTCCTATTCCCCTCACTTAGCTGCCCCTGCAATTATTAACCTCCTTCTTTGCTGCAACATCCGCTGTTAGCAGTGTGTTGGGTTTTCAGGGAGCAGCAGACAAGAAGAAACCCTCAGGCTGTAACACTCTCCTGCACGCCTTTCCATGGAATCATAAATGTCCTTTCTCTCCTACCATATTCTTTAAATATTTATGTCACAACATTTGGTTTAAGAAATCATCAGTGTTTCCATTATAATGATGATTTCAATGATATTCAAAGATCAACCAGTGACTACAATGATTATGTCTTCTTCTTTTTTTTTTCTTTTTCCTAGAGTTAGTAATTCCCTTTTTTTTTTTTTTTTTGAAACAAAATCTCACCCTTGCAATGGTGCAATCTCGGCTCACTGCAACCTCCACCTCTCAGGTTCAAGCAATTGTCCTGCTGCAGCCTCCTGAGCAGCTGGGAGTACAGGTGCCTACCACCATGCCCAGTTAATTTTTTTTTTTTTTTTGTATTTTTAGTAGAGACGGGGTTTCACCGTGTTGGCTAGCCTGGTCTCGAACTTCGGACTTCAGGTGATCCGTCTGCCTCAGCCTCTCAAATTACTGAGATTACAGGCATGAGCCATCACACCTGGTCTTCTTCTGTATCACTTAAAAAGAAAACAGTCATAATCCACTAAGCTGATTTCATGACCAATTAAGAGATAACAAGAGCTGGGATTACAGGTGTGAGCCACCACAATCATCCTAGTTTTTGTATCTTGAATACAGATGGAGATTCATCAGGTTGGCTAGGCTGGTGACCTCAAACTCCTGACCTTAAGTGATCCTCCTGCCTTGGACTCCCAAAGTGCCAGGATTACAGGAATGAGCCACTAAACCCAGCCTGTGTCTGGTCAGAAAGGTCTTAAAAACACCACCTTAGTACAGACACTCTACATAAACTTTCATATGTAAGATGTAATTTAGAAAAAATGTCCATAATGGATTTATGATGAAAGCAAAATTGTGGACATGTTGATAAACACAATGTTTCTTTGTTCTTTGTTTTCTTTGTGTATGTAAAGAATTAGAAGCCATTTGTGTCAAGGTAACTTCTGGAGAAACAAAAGGTCAGGAAAGGACAATGACCCTACTGGTCACAAACCAGCCCCAATACAAGACAGAGACAGCCGCACAGGGGAATTCCTGCCTGGTGGGGCTCCTATCTTCAGCCCTCAGCTACTCAGGGTATGGCTCCTAGTGAGAACCGAGCCACATTCGTGGTTCCTAAGTGACCTATGTCAGCATCCTGCTTAGGTATTTGTACAGGGACTACTGCCAGCCTTCCAGACAGTCCCTACAAAGAGTCCGGCCCCCAAGGCTCCAACTGGACATGGCTCCATATTGACCCCTTTTTTGTCCTCCAACCCACTGGCAGTAGCATCTTTTTCAATCAGTTCAGTACATTTATTTCCAACTTGCACACAAAACATACTGAAAAACTAAAAAAAAAAAAAAAATCATTAAAAGTAGACCCTTCAAGACAAATATCTCTACCTCCCAAATACAAAGCTAAAAACAGAGGATTTGGTGGATGGTCATCTGTCAGATTCTGATGATTATTCAGAATTCAGTGTGGAAGATGACAAAGATCAGAGGTAAAAGCAGGCACTCTGACTTAAGGTGCTGTTCCTGAGGCCCAAAAGTGTTTGTCAGACTTGTGCAAAGTCATGTATGGAAGTTGGAGACGGGCTCATCATTTTAAACTTAATCCAGGCCATGGCCAGGTGGACCCCGAGATGAGTCCACTCTGAGGCTGCAGCTCAGGCTGCCTGTGCCCCATACTTCCCACAGATGCAGGGTCACTGCACCCTTCCAAAGCTGACAGTGCAGCCCATGCTCATAGCCTTTCTGCCTTCCCTTCCCGCCCTGTCCTGGGAGTTCACCCAAGCCCTCTGTGGCCCCCACCCAAGGCGTGTTTCTTGGTCTGCTCCTCCCATGCCCATTCTGGCTTCCCTGTACCATGCGGGGCAAACAATAGGTGCTCACTGGGGAGTGAAGGAAATGCCCATCACTTAGTGGCTGCTGAGGGGCTGAGAACTGAAACTTTGTTTAGGTTTTCTTCTGTATTTTCCATCAGTGCCTTTGGTTTAAACTTTTTAGTAAAATCTTTATTTTCATGAAGGTTGAAAGATCATCTAGCAAAACCTTTTTTCCCAGCTATATATAAGGTATTTTAAAAGCAGCATAAAATAGTTAAGAAAATGTGCCAAGATTACCTCAGTACTTCTGGTCTGTGTTCTCAGAAGATCCTGAAAATGACCAATGATAAGGTAATGATCTCCCATGGCAGAAAGAGTTTTGCTCAGAGAGTTAGCCAAAAGAAAGAAGGGCCAGGTATAGTGGCTTATGCTTGTAATATAGCACTTTGGGAGGCCAAAGTGGCCACATGGATCACATAAGGTCAAGAGTTCCAGGTCAGCGTGGCCAACATGGCAAAACCCTGTCTCTACGAAAAACACAAAAGTTAGCTGGGCATGGTGGCACGTCTCTAGTCCTAGCTACCTGGGAGGCTAAGGCAGGAAAATCGCTGGAACCCAGGAGGTGGATGTTGCAGTGAGCCAAGTTTGCACCACTGCACTCCAGCCTGAACGAGCCTGGACTGAGACCATCTCAAAAAAAAAAAAAAAAAAAAAAAAAAAAAAGAAAGAAAGAAAGAAAAAAAGTCCATTAATGAAGAAGGATGTTTTTTACTAATGACATTTTACTAGCCAACGTCGTTTTAGCCTTTTCCCATTAAGTGAATTTTTTTTTTCTCTATTGCCTAGGCTAGAGTGCAGTGGTGCTATCTTGGGGCTCACTGAAGCCTCCAACTCCTGGGTTCAAGTGATTCTCCTGCCTCAGCCTCCTGAGTAGCTGGTACTATAGGTACCTGCCACCATGCCCAGCTAATAATTTTTGTATTTTTAGTAGAGATAGGGTTTCACCATGTTGGCCAGGATGGTCTAGATCTGTTGACCTCATGATCTACCCATCTGGGTCTCCCAAAGTGCTGAGATTACAGGGGTGAGCTACAGAGTCCAGCCATTTTTTTTTCTTAGTGCAATAAATGATCCTCCAGAAAACTAAAAAATGAAGATAAGCTAAAAGAAAATGGAAAGAACCATAATCCTCCCACTCACTGATGATCACAGTTAATATCTCAGGTGTCATTTTTTTTCTTTATTTTTATTTTGAGACAGAGTTTCATTCTGTCTCCCAGGTGGAGTGCAGTGGTGCAATCACAGCTCACCGCAGTCTTGACTTCCTCGTTCCAAATAATCCTCTCACATAAGTCTCCTGAGTAGTTCAGAATATAGGCGTGTGCCACCATGCCCAGCCAACTTTAATTTTTTGTAGGGATGGGGTCTCACTATGTCATCTGGTCTGGTCTTCAACTCTTGGGCTCAAGTTACCCTCCCTTCTCAGCTTCCCACAGTGTTGGAATTATAGGCATGAACCACCATGTCCAGCCCTGTTTTCTTCTTTATGTGGGTTTCTGGGGATAGGTTACATAGGGGCTATTCATTATTGTTTGTGGTTTTTCTGACACAATTCTCATTTAAACATCATTGTTATTATCAAATTGGCTTTAGCTACATTGGATTTTTTGGGGTGATTTTTTTAGGTTTTTTTTTTTTTTTTTTTTTTTTTTTGAAACAGTCTTGCTCTGTCGCCCAGGCTGGAGTACAGTAAGCCCTTGAACAACATAGGTTGGAACTGTGTAGGTCCTCTTACATATGAATTTTCTTCAATAAATATATTAGAAAACTTTTTGGGAATTTGTTGACAATTTGAAAAAACCTGAAGATGAACCACATAGCCTAGAAATATTTTTTTGAATATTTAAAGGTTGGTGTAACATGAGAGCATAAAATATATGTAGAAGTCATCTGTCACTACTATAAAATATACATAGATCTATAAACTTATACATAAATATATAAATACATATATCATAAAATTATAAAAAGCTAAAAGTAAAATAAACACACACACACAGACAGTACATGCCATCTTCTGCAGTCCAGAGAAATGCAAACAATCATGAAGATGACATATTAATTCCTAACTGTATCAAACTAATTGTAGTACGTTCTGTGCTACTGGAATAATGGCATAGCCATCTCCTGTTGTGAGATGCAAGGGTCCACTGAAAATGCCATGTGGAACTAATGATCTCTGTGTGAGCAGTTCTCCGCTCCAAGACACTGTGAAGCACAGTAACAAGTGCTTGCTTATGGTGCTCACATATTTTGCATTGTGTTTAGTGCAATACCATGATGTGAACATTGAATAACACCATGCGACCCATAAGAAGTGCCTCTGATGATGCTGGAAATGCTCCCAAGAAGTACACAAAAGTCATGATGTTAGAAGAAAAAGCTAAATGCTTAGTATGTGTGGTAGATTGAAGTCTGCAGCTTGTAGCTGCCCATGATTTCAGACAGACAATTCACCTTGTAAACAGATGATTTCCACTTGTGCTATCAATAAATACAGTATAAGCATATTATATCTAATGTATGATTTTCTTAATAATCTTTTCATAAGCTAACTTTAAGGATACAGTATGTAATATATATGACACATAAAATATGTGTTAATCAAATGTCTGTTATCAGTAAGG